>NW_003315935.1:0-309802 GCF_000001405.40 Homo sapiens
GATAACTAAAAGTGCTTGTTACAATGTCTCAACTTATAATTTATAAATATAATTCTTAAAATTATATTTTTAAAAATAGAATATCTATAGAATATTCTCAGGAAAAAGGAAATGAAAGGGCTTTGGGAAATTTTATCTGTCTAAATATAAGCAGCACTAATATTGGGGGAACTGGCCAGCAGCCCGCAATGCAACAGGGCTCCTTCTTTGTTCCCAGGCGGATTGGCAGGTTGAGAAATAAAAGACACACACAAGATAGTGAAAGCTGTGTCCAGGGGGGTCACCACCTTCTGGTCCTGTGATGCCGCCAATGCACTGGATATACCAGCATTTATTATTAAGTTTAGTGAGGGTGGGGATAGGTTAGTGAGGGATTTATGGTCATTTGATTATGAGGTGAGATGGTCACGAGGGTGAAGTAATTTAACATAACATCAGTATGCAGAAGTACAGCATACAGAGATAAGAATTTACAATATAGTGTGTGCATCAGCAATTTCTAACAGAGCCTTAAAACAGAAACACAGTCTTTCCATAACCTATGATTAGCAAGATATTAATCAGCAGTAACAGTTGCAGCAAAAGCTGGTTGCAAACAATCCATAGAAACAGGACGTGAAGCTAGACAACTGGTTAGACCACAAATTCTCAGAAGGGAGTATGCTTTAACCCTAAAGAGGCCTAGAAGAGCCGAGGCAAGATAAGGGCATTTATAGCCCCATCTTATCCATATAAACAGGCGCCCCTCATGCGTTCGCTTATAGGCTCTCCACAAGAGTCACATTCCATTCCCAGAGCTATGAACATCTGCTTTTCTGGGATAGGAATCATGGTGATGTGAAACCTCCCTGACTGCATATCCGTTCATAGGCTCTCTGCAGGGGGAAGCGTATCACGCACTGTTGGCTTATTCTGGCAGTCCAACCTGGCATTGTCTTTACACAATCCTGCATGCAATTTTGTATTTACAATAATCAGGAGTATTTCACCTTTTATTCCAAAGCAATAGTTTCAAGGGGTCTCCCTACACACTAAGGCTTCTAGTATGGGGTCTTGTATAGGTTAGACATCAGGGTGTAAATCAAATTTTTGTATGTAGTCAAAGTGATTAATCTTTTATTTTATGCTTTTGCATGTGTTGTAATCCAGGGAAAGTTTGTTTCAATTCTGAAGCTCTTAAAAATTCTCTAGTCATTTCTTTTTTACTTTCATGAATTCATTGTGTTCAAATAAATGTTTGAACTTTGGGGAATTTATGCTCTATAGCATTTGAAGTTTTGATTCAATGGTTCTTCAACTGATACCTACTTACAGAAACCCTTTCAGTGGATAAATGTAAAAATTATTCTTTAAGAGGAACCATGATATCCCATTTTATTGAGTGCTAGCTAAAAATTTATTTTATTTAGGTTTCTCATGCTTATGAAAATGAAAATGATCTCTTACATGAAAATGGCATGTTGAAAAAGGAAATTGCCATGCTAAAACTGCAAATTGGACATACTAAAACATCAGCACCAGGAGAAGGAAAATAAATACTTTGAGGACATTAAGATTTTAAGAGAAAAGAATGCTGAACTTCAAATGACCCTAAAACTGAAAGAGAAAACATTAACAAAAAGGGCACCTCAGTATAGTGGGCAGCTTAAAGTTCTGATAGCTAAGAACACAATGCTCACTTCTAAATTGAAGGAAAAACAAGACAAAGAAATACTGGAGAAAGAAATTGAATCATACCATTCTAGACTAGCTTCTGCTATACAAGACCAAGATAAAGTGTGACATCAAGAAAAAACCAAGAACTTGCTTTCCACAGTGCTCATTTGCAAGGAAAAATGAATGTTGATGTGAATAATATATAACAATGAGAAGCTTCATCAACCACTTTCTGAAGCTCAAAGGGAATCCAAAAGTCTAAAAATTAATTTCAATTATGCAGGAGACGCTCAAAGAGAAAATACATAGGTTTTAGAACATGCACAAAGAGACCTAAGTGAAACATAGTGTCAAATGAAGAAAGCTGAACACATGTATCAAAACAAACAAGATAATGTGACCAAGCACACTGAACAGCAGGAGTCTGGAGCAGAAATTATTTCAACTACAAAGCAAAAACATGTGGCTTCCACAGCAATTAGTTCAGGTGCATAAGAAAGCTGATAACAAAAGCAAGATAATAATATTCAGTTTTGAGAGGAAAACGCAACATCACCTCCTAAAAGAGAAAAATGAGGAGATATTTAATAACTGTAACCATTTAAAATAATGTTTATACCAATATGAAAAACAGAAAGCTGAAAGAGAAGTATCAAAAAAAATAAATATTTTTCAACCTTCCTGAAAGAAAATTTAAAGTCATATTTGGCCTTAGATAAATGCTGAATCTAGTTTAATATAGATAATAAATATATTTACCATGTCAGCTTAGAAACATGGCTTATTTCCACCAAATGCAAGTTAAAGCTGAGAGATGTTTTACTTTAAGACATTGTGTCACTTATGAAATTTTAAGAATTTAAGTTAAAGGTTTTTAATAGATTAACATTAATGACATTGGCTTATACTGCTGAAATAAAGGTTTTTTTTTTTTTTTTTTTTTTTTTGAGACGGAGTCTCGCTCTGTCGCCCAGGCCGGACTGTGGACTGCAGTGGCGCAATCTCGGCTCAGTGCAAGCTCCGCTTCCCGGGTTCACGCCATTCTCCTGCCTCAGCCTCCCGAGTAGCTGGGACTACAGGCGCCCGCCACCGCGCCCGGCTAATTTTTTGTATTTTTAGTAGAGACGGGGTTTCACCTTGTTAGCCAGGATGGTCTCGATCTCCTGACCTCATGATCCACCCGCCTCGGCCTCCCAAAGTGCTGGGATTACAGGCGTGAGCCACCGCACCCGGCCAATAAAGGTTTTAATATCTCTTTGTGGCCACATTTTATGACCACGATGAAACAGATAAATGGGAATGCCCATATCAGCAATGAGTATTTTGAAATTGATTCAACAATTTACTTTGACAGTTAATTCTAAATTTTCCAGAGGAACTGAAGTGTATTTGAAGTATATTTTGAAGTGTACATTTCTGCATCTTGTAATACTACTTTTTCAGTAACTTTTTGTATATTTTAGTTGGTAGAATTTTATTTTCATTTATGTCAATTTGACTTAAATCTGAACATATCTGAATCTCAAATTATGTATTGTTATGACAACTTAATTTTTTAAAGCCATCTGTGTTTTATTAAATAATAGCTTAGGACAAATGTAGTGGATTTTAGCAATATCAAATTTGATTTAATCATCCCACTGGTATTTATAATTTACTTTGAATATTGTTACAAATAATTTGCTCATAATTTCTATTTCAAGGCTCAAAGACTGTCATGTGGATAGAACTTTGTCCCAGAGAAAGATCATTGTAGCTATCTGTGATTTATTAGCTTTGCATTGGATCCCCATTTTTCAATTCATGGGGGGTGGCAGGGTTCATGTATAGTACAAAAAAAGTGAGTAGAGGAGAGAAACTTAGCAGCTGCGGTCAGGAGGGATGTGGAGACCAGGTTACCTAGGGCCTCTAAAGCCTTTGAAACAAAAATACTTTTATTCTGAGATAGAAACCTGTTGGAAAAATTTCACCAGGTGATTGAGTATGTGAGGAACTTTGATGTTGATTTGTGCTTCAATAAAAAAGAAGGAAAGCATTCCACAGCATAGAATTTACCACCACTAGTCCTGCCCACATATTTTCTTGAGACTTCAGTAAGTTGTGAAGCATTACAGATTCATTAGGGGACAAATGACTAGTGGGATGAATCTGGTGTCTAGTAAGAGAGTACCAGTTTGGCAGGAAGATAATACCTTCTTGTGTCCTTAAGTGGATTCAGTAATAAGCAGGAATGTGTACACATAAAGAAAATAAGCTGAACCAATATATTTGGTGATATTTTTGAAAGTAAATATTGTTAATTTGATAAGGTGATTTACAAATCAATAACAAACATGTCAGGTCACTGTGAGACAACTTCAAAAAAAATTGGCTGATCTCAATAAACAATGTGTGTCTGAGGCTTCACTAGAAGCTGCATCACATTACCACATTAATCTCAAAGTTGAGGTACAGGATTTAATGAAAAAATGATTTCGAATTGAAAGTCAAGTATGTATTAAAAGTAACATGCCAACAGTGAATCTATAGCTGGTGAAATTATATAAATTGTTTTATGATACTAATCTCCATGGGGAGACTTCTTTTATATGTTCATTATAATTAGTTGTATTACAATTTTATTATCATTATAATGTGCTTATTTTTAAAACTGTGGCTATAATTCTGCAATGTTTTTCTTATGATTAAAAATTTTCTCATAATATCTGCCCTCAAGAAGGTTAAAAATTATACATCATTTATCCCACAAGTTGAGAGACTATTCTTCGGATAAACAGTATTTTTCAGTGATTTATGTTGCCATGGTGAGGCAAGCGTTATTTAATCAGAGAAGAATGTTTAATGGAATATTCCAGAAAATTATCTGTCTGAGAGGCTGCCTTAAATACTTCCTAAAATGCTTGCTGAAAAGTCCGGCAAGATGAATATGACTTGGAGGCTGGGTGGCAGGCCGGTTTTTTGGAGGCCGGCCTAGAGCCTGCCTGCATGGGAGTCTGGTCGAATGACAAGTCTTCTGGCAGGGGGAGAGGCTTGCTGGAACGCTGATCGAAATGCTGGCTGCATGGAAGGCCGGTCTTCAGGCTGGCTGGCTGGCTAGGAGGCTGACATAGAGGCTTGCTGGGAGATTTGCCAAGAACCCGGGTGAGAGGCGGCCGACTAGGAGGCTGGCGGAGAGTCCGTGTGAGAGGGTACCTCAAATTCTTGCTAATTTTGCTTGCTGAGGGCCTGGTAGGCTGAGTCCGGCTAAGAGCCTGGTTGTACCAGGCTCGCTTGTTAGGAGGCTGGCTACAAGATCCCGTGAAAGCCTCACGGCTCTACTCAACAAATTTCTCTAGAAAGAGGCCGGAGTGTACAAGGGCTTCACTAGACCACACTTTTTACTGATGTTGGGCCGGATGTGGTGGCGATTAAGGGCAAGGGCGAGCGGCGGGGGCTGGGGCTGGGGCTGGGGCTGGGGCTGGGGAAGGGCGAGTGAGAGGAGCGGCCTCTCTCTTAAAAGGTGGCTGCAGCCATGCAGAGGCTTTCTGCCACTGCTGTCAAGGGCGTGACAAGCCTGGAGTGCCAGAGAGCCTTCACTCAGCTGGTCTACCACCAAAGACTCTTAAGTCATCCACTATAGGGATATCAGAAAGATGCACAGAGCTGCCTCCCGGGGCCACGCCTGGAAGCTTGCAGGGGATGATGTGAAGACGAGGACCATCGACCTGAACATAAAAGATGCGAAGAAGAGGCGCCGTGCCCTGCCTGAGCTGGGGCTGCAGGAGGAGGTGACAGCTGTGGGAGGATCGCCCCTTCAGCGTGGGGTGTGGTGGGTGTCCCCGGGACAAAGGCAGCAGGTGGAAGAGTGGGTCGGCAGCGGGGCAGAAATCTTGGGCCCCGGTATCTGGGCCTTCTTCCTGGGCAGGCCCCCAGTCCTGGGATGGGGGCGCCCTGCAGGGCACAGGGACAAGGCCTGCAGGGCAGAGGGACAAGGCCACCTTAAAATCAACCTCAAACTTTGGCTGCCTTCTCCTTCACTCCCACTGAGGCTGTTGGAAACGCTGGCTGCAAGGGAGGCTGGTTTTGAGGCTGGCTAGTCAGGAGGCCGCCTAAGAGGCTCTCTAAGAGGCGTACTGGGAGGCTGGCCACGCCATTGGTGGCATGGGAGGCTGATTCTGAAGCTGGTTGGCTAAGCGGCTGGCTAACAGACTTACCTAGAGGCTGGCTGGAAGGCTGGCCAAGGCGCGGGCTGCATGGGAGGCTGGTGTACTGAAGGACTCTCTTGAAAAGTAGCATAGAGGCTTGCTGAGAGGCTGGCTCACTGGGAGGCTGGCCTAGAGCCTGTGGGAGAGGCTTTCTGTCTGAGAGGCTGCCATAAACGCTTGCTAAAAGGCCTGCTGAGATCCTGGCAGGCTGAATCTGGCTAAGAGTCGGAATGCAAGTCTGGCTTGTTAGGAGGCTGGCCTAGAAGCTGGCTGCATGGGAGGCTAACCAAGAGGCTGGCGAGGAAACTGGCAGAGTGGCAGATTGTCTGGCTGTGCAAGAGGCTTGCTGGATGGCTGTTAAAAACGCTGGCTGCATGGGAGGTTGGTCTGGAAGCTGATTGTCTGGGAGATTCGCTTAGAGACTTTCTGAAAGGCTGGATCGGAGGCTGGCTGTCTAGGAGGCTGGCCAAGAGCCTGCGGGAGAGGCTGTGTGAGAGGCTGCCTTAAATGCTTCCTAAAACGCTTGCTGAAGAGTCCGGCAAGATGAATGTGACTTGGAGGCCTGGTGGCAGGCCGGTTTTTTGGAGGCTGGCCTAGAGCCTGGCTGCATGGGAGGCTAATCAAATCACGAGTCTTCTGGCAGGGGAAGAGGGTTGCTGGAATGCTGTTCGGAATGCTGGCTGCATGGGAGGCCAGTCTTCAGGCTGGCTGGCTAGGAGGCTGACACAGAGGCTTGCTAGGAGGCTTGCCAAGAATTAGTTCAACCATCGAGGAAGGAAGTGTGTTGACTCCTCAAAGATCTAGAAGCAGAAAGACCATTGACCCAGCAATCCCATTGCTAGGTATATATCCAAAATAATATAAATCATTATATTATAAAGAGACATGCACATGTATGTTCACTGCAGCACTATTCACAACAGCAAAGACATGAAATCTACCAAAATGCCCATCAATGTTAGACTGGATAAAGAAAATTTGGTACATGTGCACGATGGACTATCATGCAGGCCTAAAAAGAAACAAGATCATGTCCTCTGCAAAGACATGGATGGAGCTGGAAGCCATGATCCTCAGAAAACTAATGCAGGAACAGAAAATCAAACAACACGTATTCTCACTTATAAGTGGGAGCTGAATGATGAGAACACACAGATCCATGAGGGGTAACAACACACAATGGGACCTGTTGTGGGGGCAGGAGGAGGGAGAGCATCAGGAAGAATAGCTAATCAATACTGGGCGTAATATCTGAGTGATGGGTTGATCTGTGCAGCAAACCACTATGACACACGTTTACCTATGTAATGAACCTGCACATCCTGTACATGGACCCCAGAACTTAAAAGCTGAAGAAAAAAAAAATAAAGAAACTTTAGTGCTGTCCAGGGATGCACACTGAACAGAAAAAATGGCCTTGTGATTTGCTTTATAATATTCCTGTAAAGATAGATGAACAGATAGATGAACAAAATGTAGGACAATCTTGATCACAGAAATTGAATAATGGGTATTTTAGTGTTACTTTTACTATTTTCTCTACTTTTGAATAGGTATACAAATTGTAATTAAAAGATAAAAATAAATATATTAATCCCTGCTTTGAAACCACATACAAACAGTACTCTGAAAAGATTCAAGCAATTTACATGGTACTATATGGATCTCCCTCGCACCTCTGTATGTAACATTTAAATATTTTGCAACTGGCCAGGCACGATGGCCCATGCCTGTAATCCCAGCACTCTGGGAGGCGAAGGCAGGTGGACCACCTGAGGTCAGGAGTTCAAGACCAGCCTGGTCAACATGGTGAAACCCTGCAGGAGAATTACTTGAGCCCGGGAGGCGGAGTCTGCAGTGAGCCAAGATGGCGCCACTGCTCCAGCCTGGGTGACAAGAGCAAGACTCCATCTCAAAAAATATAAATATAAATAAAATAAAAGATCTTCTTTCTTAAATTCTTACTTCATGTTATTAGCACCAAATCTGAAGGGCTCCATTACAGAAACTCTTTGAAATAAGAAACAAATGTATTTTTGAGAAACCACACAAGATGTAGTAATTATCATAGCTGTTAAAAGAAATGTGCTCATAAACAAATAACAGTAAAGGATTAGAGGCTTTCGGTCACACCAGGAAGTGATATTAATTATAATTCTTCTGTTAATTCTGAAAGAAAATATATAAACCTACTTCTAACAAACTTCCCATAAAACAAAACAACAACAAAACTCTTGGAGTTGAGAATGAACAGCAGAAGTTCTAGAAAAGCAGAAGTTCTAGAAGTTCTAGATAGCAAGCAACTGTGGAACACAGCGCACTGCCTTCTGCACTGCCCAGTTTCTGGCACCTGACTCACAGGTGCCAAATGGCTGCAGGATTACGACGTTGGAAGTAGTGAATATTTCCTCAATACTTGCAGTGGTTCATAGCAATGAAAAATCTAAGATTTCCTCTCTGCCTTTCAGGAGCTTTAAGGGAAGCAGCAAATACTACTAGCTTCTCACAAGTGGTTACGTTCCAAGATCCACCTAAAGCCATGAGCAGTACAAAGAGAGCCAAGCTTTTATTGTTTACAAGTAAATGATTAATAAACTGTTATTAATAAAATATTGTTTTAGCTATAATAGCCAAAATATTTTCCAATGGCCATATTATGTGAGCAAAATAACTCGACAGTCTCCTCCTTCTATGAGAAAGATGTAAGCTTGCTTGGTGGCAAGGGTCAATGATTCTATTAGGTTTAGCTGATTCTTTATCTTTTTTTGTTAGGGGCAGGGTCTTACTCAGTTGCCCAGGCTGGAGTGCAGTAGCCTCAAACTCCTGGGCTCAGGCAATCCTCCCATCTCAGCCTTCCGAGCAGCTGGGACCACAAGCACATGCCACCACACTTGGCTAATTGTTAATGCTTTTGCAGAGATGGGGCCTCACTCTGTTGCCTAGGCTGGTCTCAAACTCCTGGCCTAAAGCCATCCTCCTGCCTCGGCCTCTCAAAGTGCTGGGATTCCAGGTTTGAGTCACTGTGTCCAGCCAGGTTTAGCAGGTTCTTTTTACCATGCTCAATTTCCAAAAAAACACAGGAGGGCAGAGGTGAGGCCTCTTATGCAGATCCTTCTTCTCAGGTGTCATCTCCTCACGAATCCTAGTGACATCACAGTGGTATCTCTAATGATAAACAATGTTCACCACCTGACCTATTTTATTGCATGACTTAAAAATATAATGATTTGAAAAGTGGGAGAGACTCTTTATTGATCACTGGCTGATTTATAATCAAGTATTAGGGGAGATCAAATATCACAAAAAGTAATGAGGAGTAGAAACTTAAAATTTTCAATTTTTTCAATATATGAATTTTTAGAGACTTAAAGTAGTATAAATAGTTAAAAACTAAGTACATGAATCCTGCAAGTAACATACAAACAGTGACCTAAGTTTGTAGTTGCCAAATGAGTTGCACCTAAAACCTGGTCTTTGAAGACTCAGTGAGTGCCACGCACCCCACTTCAAATCCATAGGGATATAAAACGTCTGACACATGCTGAATATGGTAACGACATGACATAATAAGTAATTAGAAGCTCCCAAAGGGGTTCTAGCACAGAATGAGCGCTAAATAAATAAATAATAAAAACAAGAAAAATGCTTAGTACCTTAATAAAGTAGTAAATAATAAAAAATGACAATGATAATAACAAGGAAGATGCTTAGTACCTTAAAGATACCTGACAGTTATTTGTTAAGTGGACAAGTGGATAAATAAATAAAAAACATTTTTTAGGAAATTCTGTTGGAAAAAATGCAGAAATTCAATAGGGACAGCTCTACTGTATTATGAGCACCTTAAAGACCCAGACTATGTGTATTCCATCTTTGTCTCCTGCAACTTGCAAAACCTAACTTATCGTTTGATAATTTATCCTTTGATAAATATATAATAAAGATGTGCTCATACAGTTCATATTGTACCATGCATTGTGTCACATTTAGATATCACAGTAGCATTTTTGTTATTGTGAAAAATGTTTGTAATTTTATTATAATTTGTTGAGCCTAGAGTTAAGCTATTTGAATACTTATAATGATAATATTTTGGCTATTAGAAACAGAGTATCTTGTTGTAACAAAATTACTATTAACACGCTAATTATCCAGCAGATAGAACAACATATCTTGTTCTAATGAAGTAAATATATCTTATTTGGTTTCAGCTTGGAATGAAGTTGATAATAGTGAGACCTTGTTGGTACAAGACTATGTAACACAACCTGCACTTCTCAACAAAAAATTGCTTTTCTGACTTCTGCACTCAGTAGGTATCTTTGGAAAATAATCTCCTATTGGTACTGAGGCACCCTGGCTAAGTTTTGTAATTCTTGTTGACATTTGTTCGTGGTGCCAGAAAAGTATTATTAAGTATTATTAACTATTCTAAAGATAGTTACTTTTCTTTAAGACAGAGTCTCGCTCTGTCACCCAGGCTGGAGTGCAGTGGCATAATCTCGGCTCACTGCAAGCTCCACCTCCCGGGTTCATGCCATTCTCCTGTCTCAGCCTCCCGAGTAGCTGGAACTACAGGTACCCACCACCAAGCCCAGCTAATTTTTTTGTATTTTTAGTAGAGACAGGGTTTCACCATGTTAGCCAGGATGGTCTCAATCTCCTAACCTTGTGATCCACCCACCTCGGCCTTCCAAAGTCCTGGGATTACAGGCGTGAGCCACTGCGCCTGGCCAAGATAGTTACTTTCTTAGTGACACAAGTCACTATGTCACAAAGTTGATCCTTGAATAAGGGTTTTCACTGTAGGAGCCCACTAACAGACAGATTTTTCTTTTCCTTTGGCACTGCAAGATAGCAAGACAAATCTCTCCTCTGCCTCCTCATCAGACTACTCAATGTGAAGGCAATAAGAATGAAAACCTTTATGTATAATAATTCACTTCCACTTAATAAATAGTGAATATATTTTTTCCTCCTTGTAACAGTTTTCCTCGAGTTCACTTTATTGTAAGAATACAGTATATAGTACATATAAAATCGAAACTATGTGTTAATTGACTATGCTTTCAGTAAGGCTCCAGGTCAACAGTGGACTATTAGTAAAGGTTTGGAGGAGTCAAAAGAAACAGATTTTCATATGAAGCAGATTTTCAGCTGCATGGGGGATCAGCACCCTAACTCTCATATTGCACAAGACTCCATTGTAATTAATTCTCATTTACTAAATGCAAACCGTTTATTGTAAAAATTAAATAGAGCCCAGAAGTTCAATACCAGCCTGGGCAACATAAGGAGACCCTGTCTCTAAAATACATAAATAAATAAAACCATGTTTCTTCATAGGTTATTGTGGGAGTTCAGTCAGGCTGGTGGGAAACATTTTAAGATGAAGTTATAGGACATAGACACAAATCTTCTTGGAATGCCAAAGGTTTTGTAAAAGTCTCAAGATAGGGTTATGGCTGAAAGCAGCCTAATCCTTACCTTGAGTAAGTAGCTTAAAGTGGGTACAAAGAAAGGTAGAGTAGTTTATCCAAATAGCTTGTTTACTCATGTGGTCTTAAGACTACCCTTTGATCACCCACAGGCAAGATGGCTCTCCTGGGGTAGGGGCACCCAGATTAATTACCCACAGGTGTGTTGGCTCAAAGCCTTTATCATTAAAACTTTGCTAATAAATGCCCACAGGGCCAGCTAGCCAGGGCTGTGGCTGCTGACTCTTTACAGCACCTTCCTTGGTGCCTGTAATCGGCTCAGAACCCTTGCTGCTCTTTCACTGAATATTGGTGTCTGGGTATGTGTCTCATCCGTCATGCAGCCGGGGTCTGTGGGACAGACCACCGCAAGTTAAAATATTCAAATGTTACGGTTTTCTGTTATTAATTCCTACTTTTCATTATTAGATGGTCAATTCTTTGTGGCTTCTAATTCAGGGCATGTAAGCTACTTTAAAATTTGTAATAAAATTTATTTATAAATATATTAATTCATTAAATTGGATAACCTGATCATCCCCTATTACTGAGCTCATCAATCACACTAAGGGTTATACATTTTGTAACAAGCCTAAGTTGTTATGACAATTGAAGAAACATACAATATACAAACTTAAACATTGCATTACTTATTTATACAAAAGTATTATGTAGGATTTTAGGGACCATAATTAAACAAATATTTTTTCAGATAATATTTTTTGAGATTATAAGCTACCTACAACTAAATTCTTAACTAATTCTGAATTATAAACTAAAAAATTTAAATCAAAGCTATATATATATATGTATATATGTAAACACATGCTATTTACACATTGCTTTTTGAATTGCTTTTTTGTGATCAATAGTTCCATAATCTTATGATAGCACCACCAAGAGTAGTTTACTATCAGAGGTCTTACCTGGATTGCTATTTTGAGGATTTTTAGATATCTTTCATATATATTCCAAAAGTTGTTGATGAATGCTATGTATAAAAATGTAATAAATAAAATTACTATTTTAACACTGATATAAAAAACATTTACCAAATTTATTATTAGGGTATTTCAGATAATATCAGAGCTAACATCAGAACATTACTTATTTCATAGACTTTGAGTTTGTAAGCTCTATGAACTTACTAAGCTTTTAATTAAAGAAGAAATAAAGTAAGATGAAATACTCATGAATTGAGGGCAGTCTAACTCAGTAAATTAACTAGAGTTAGCTTGGTATAACGGAAAATGCCCCTAACTCAGAAAAACTCCTAGCATGGTAACCAACAGGTATTTTTTCTTGAACAACTTGCTTCTCTTAGGCGCAATGTCTTCTAAAAATGAGGATTTTAGAGCCTTATTTCACTAGGTTATTATAAGAATTTAACAAGAGAACATTTTTAAAATACTCTGAGAAATAGTGAAGCAATGAAATAATTTGTTCTTGAACCTTATTGCTGAAACTATTTTAAAATTCCCAATAAAACCCAATGTGTTGGCCTGGTGCAGTGGCTCATGCCTGTGATGCAAGCACTTTGGGATGCTGAGACAGGGGGATCACTTGAGCCCAGAAGTTCAAGACCAGCCTGGGCAACATAGGGAGACCCTGTGTCTACAAAAAATAAATTTTTTTTTTAAAAAACTGTTTATTCATAGGTTATAATGTTCAAATGTTACAGTTTTCTGTTATTAATTCCTACTTTTGGTTATTATTAGATGTTCTATTCTTTGTGGCTTGTAATTCAAGGCATCTAAGCTATTTTATAATTTGTAATGAAATTTATGAATATATTAATTATTAAATTGGACAATCTGATTATCCTCTATTACTGAGCTCATCAATCACACCAAGGGAAGAAAACTATAGATGTCAGCATCTGGCTTGGACTACTACTAATCTTTCTCTACCTCCCTAAACTCTGAACCAACAAATCTTTCTTAGAATGATGCTTAGTCACTATGTTCATTTCCAGCTGCTGTGGAAGACAAAAACCTACCTTTATTTTTTGTAAGTTCCACAAAGAAGATGCCAGTTGGTATTTTCTCATTGGCCTACTAACAACATATTGCACACAAGATCCTATGTGTTACCATATCTCATTTCATAGATCACCTTACATAAATATTTTTCATATGAAAATCACAATTGCAATACTGGCTGTCACCCATTTTGCTTTGACTCACACCATTTCCTTGGAGCTAGTTAGAAAGTAGTCAAATGTCCTTTTGGGGACTGCAAGAAATATGCAACACTTCACAGATTTCTGTGTCATCCTTGTGCAGGGACCATGCTGATCTTCTCGACATTGTTTCAATTTTAGTATATGTACCCCTGAAGCCAGCACAAATCCCTACTTTTATATGTGAAGACTCATCAGTGATGGATGAGGCTTAGCTCTGTTTAATCTAAGCAACCTCCTTGAGATAGAGTGAAGTCTATTGAATGGCTTCATGGTAATGCAGAATTTGAAAATATTTTAAAAACTCGAGATAGAGATGCAAGTAGCACGGGAGATTTTTAACTTTTGGGAAAAAAAGAATCACTTGAGGGGACAACCACAAGTTGGAACCCACTACAACTTTGGAAAGATGACATGGGATCTTACAGAATAAGATGAGACCTTCCACTACCTACAAAATGGTGCTACACGGGATATAAAGTGCCAGGGATATACATCTGGTAACAAAATAAAAATGGAACTCTAATTCCTTCCTGTAACATTATTTCAACCTGACTTACAGTTTTAAACTGTCGCAACTAATATTTGCTAGAGAAAACAGAAAAGTCACTTAAAGGATAACTTATGAAGGTCTAGGCCAAGTTCAGGCAAGATGTGGGTTTCACATCAGGTTTTGAGTGGGAGAAGGGTCAATTTGCTCACTATGTGTGTGGCAAAAGATAAAAGTCCTAGCTGCCAGAGCAGGGTGCTGGTACTTTGGAAACAATGGCTGAGAATATATATGTGAACTTTAAAAAACTGTAATAAATTTGAAGTCTACATATGGATCACCATAAAATCTGTGTTAGTAAGGGCACCTGGTCACAAAGGTCAATCATTACCAGACTGCAGGAACAGTTTCAATGGCAACGATGCAGCAACAGAATCAATGGAAACAACAAAATGAAGAGAATGGCCATTTTCCCCCCCAATCCTTCTGACTTACACAAAATGAATCTCTTCCTTGTACTTAAGGAACCCGTTAGATTCTTTTTAAAAATTCAAGTATTAAGGTATGGAAGACAGCCCCCAGGGGACACTATCAGGTTTTCTGGTAAAGTGGACATTTCAAGACCCAAATAACTAATTAGAAAAATCAAAATTGTGACACTATGTTTATCCCATGCATAGGGGTTATACTTAAAATCAAGTACACAACATTAGGATCCCTAGGGATAAAGCTGTTGAAAGTCCTAAAATAAAGAATCCTGGACCCATTATTCCTTCTAACTAGTCTAGCTTTTTGACTAGTTTCTGGCCGATGAAGTGAACTAACTCACTGTCATTCAAAAATTACCTGAAACAAACTATAAAATCTCACCTAGTCTTTAAATGTAAACACCGATTAAGTCCACAAGCAACAGCATAACGTTCTGCAGTCATTCCACATGTATCTTCAGCACAGATGTCAACATTTTGCTGAAGAACCATGCCAACTATCTCTCATGCTCCATGACATATGGCAAGCATGAGGGCTGTGCTAAAATAACAAAGAGTTAACTTCATTGTTAGGAACAGAACCAATTTAATATGTGCCTGTCAGTGTAGAATTAACCATTTACATGTACTAACAAACATAACTATCTTGAGTGCTCAAGTGTTTATCCTTGTAAATCACCACCAAGGCTAAAAGGAAGGGGCAAAAAGACTCATGTCCCACTGGAATATGGCATACTAGAATTGGCTAACATAAAGTCCTTTGAGGGGCAAAGACTTATGCTTTGTTCACTAACCTAAAAGAGGCAAAGATTTAAGTGAAGAATTATCTATTTCTTCCTTACTCTGATATAATATTTTGTACTTCAAAATCAGCTAGAAGTCAGACAAATAAGAGCAATCTGAAGGCTTAAAACAGTATTAGGAATAATGATATTAGTAGTAGTTACAGTAAGTTTACTTAATGATGCTGATAAGAATGTATGAAACACTGAATTAAATGCTGTTGATATTTATAATGTTACTTCAACACAATCGTCCTTAAAGGACATATTATTATTCTCCTTTTCATATAGAAAATCATAGTTGGTATTAACTAATGTTTGCAAGGTCACACCTATCAAGTGAGGAAGCTAGAAATTAAATTTAGTATTGTGTGAATCAAAAGCCTATCTCTTTTCTCTTTATCACTCACCTATGGCTTATCTTAATTAACTAAAATGTTAATCCAATTAAAGATGTCTTTCTTCCCTCTACCCATACAAATTAAAAATAAAAATACACTATGAATAAAAAAGAAAAAAATAATAAATTCACAGTATCTGGTGATAGCAATTAATAGTCACGTAGGGATAACCTAAAATTAATACTCTTCAAAGAAAACAAAGCAAACAATCATCCTAAAGACAAAATGATTTTAAACTCCTATTTCTATTTAATATTGCTTTTTCTATGAGACAGAATCTATCTCACTCTGTTACCCAGGCTAGAGTGTGGTGGCACGATCTCAGCTCACTGCAACCTCTGCCTCCCGGGTTCAAGCGATTCTTGTGCCTCAGCCCCCCAAGTAGCTGGGACTACAGGCATGTGCCACCATTCCCGGCTAATTTTTGTATTTTTAGTAGAGATGGGGTTTCACCATGTTGGCTAGGCTAGTCTCAAACTCCTGGCCTCAAGTGATCCAACCACCTTGGCCTCCCGAAGTGCTGGGATAACAGGCAACAGCTACCGTGTCCAGCAAATATTGCATTTTTTTAAAAGTGTATAAAAAAACGGAAGTTAGAAAAATACTATAAAAGTGTTAATCATTCAATATTGAATTACAAAGTAAACTAAAAAATCATACTTCTTAAAACTAATACAGAACCACTTTAGCTTATGGAAGATAATGCAACCAAAAACATCAGATTACACATAAGAATCAATCAATATAATAAGAGAAGTCCTACTACATACTGCTCTTTATGTTGATCAGTCCAAATAATTGCTTTACTTCTGATAATTTGTGTTGATATGTTTCACTATAATCTAATAATTTTAAGTAAATATTAATTTAATATTTCTGACTTGAGTCTTATTTCTCTAGAACACTACTCAAGTGTTTTTTAATAAAAAAAAAGAACTACTATACCATTTAAACTTATTAACTGCATTTGCATTTTTTTTGTCTGTAAAAATTCCACAATTTGCTCACGTCTTTTCATTATGGCCAGTAAAAGTGGTGTGAGGCTAGCCTGTAAAACAGTAAAACGATTTATAATTCATGAAATTACATATTTCTCAGCTGAACTGAATACTTTATATAATATCCTATGAACTTAAACACATAAAATATAAAGTCAATCAATAGCAATCCCTTCCTTCTCCCTTTTCTGTGCTTTCTCATGCACTGCACCTTACCTTGTTTCAGCCTCTGCATCACCAAATTAACTCTGGTTATCTCCAAAAATCATTATATTGTAATGATTTTATGGTTTCTCTTCTAAACCAAGAGCTTCTTGAGGGCAAGGGCTGTATCCTTTATCTCTATATCCTTAAACCCTAAGACATAGTAGTAAATATTTTGTTTTTGACTAAATTAGTAATCTAAATTATTACCTCTAGAGCAGTGTTTCTTAAACTATATTCTAAAAGATAATTACCTTACCAGAAGTAATGTACCCCAACAGATTCCACCATTATCTATGTTGAAGAAATATTATAAAACTGTGAATTAAATGTCCATTATTCAATAAATGACTTGAACTTTGCCTAATCCTTATTTGACAATATATTTTTGTGGCAGACATTAACATTTGACAAATTAGAATTTCAGGGATACAGTTTTGAAAGCTTTGCAAGAAAAATGGAGGTTTCCTCTGGGTGATACAAACTCACTTGATTCTCTTCTACCAATAATCCCAAGATCCCAGATGCCAATGTCAGGCACACCTGCTCTAAATGGGTCACTAAGGAAGTGGCTCTAAATTAAAAGAGTTTGGCTTCAAATGAACTTTGATTGCTTATTATTAAATAATAATGGGGTTTCTCCTATTACAAGACAACAGAATTTTATCTCAGCTATTAGAAATTCAGTATAAAACTTTATTCTCAATTATAATAATCATCCTAGGATCCTAATGCATATCTTTTTAAAATGCAATAATCCATTTTTATTCTGATTTCTATTAGCTGCTACTTAATTTTTGACAAAATATCAACAATATTAATAAAATGGCTTATTAATTAAAGTTCTAACTCATCTATGTGGATTAGCATAATATAAGCCACTAAATCACTTGAATTTTAAGGGACGATTCTGAGGAGAAGGATATAATATTTTCTACAATATGCACAACCTATTCAAATACAACCATGATTAATACAAAAAGGCTTAAAGTCATTCTAATAGAAGATGATTATTTATGGTTTATATACAGAAAAATCATTGTTTAAAAAATCTAAATTCTAGAAGTAGCCCATTATTAATGAATTAATGTAAAATATAAACTATATATTATAAACAGCTATCAACTGTCTTGAATACCTTGAAATCTCTACCAAAATATACTATGAGAGAGGAATTGATAACTGAAATATTTACAGAGGCAAAAGAGGTAAGTTGAGGAAGTGATGTAACTAGGTGGGCACAGTAGCAAACTGGAAACATATGCTTTGTGTAAAGTTAGAACGTCTTCATAGCATACCAAACAGTCATATGGGCTCAAGAGACACCAGATTCAATCCTTTAAGAGGAAATCCAGATTTCTGCATGTCTCCTACATTTTACATGTTGACTCAATTTATGCAGGCAAATTTTGCTTTCCTGTAGTTTCACACTAATTGGAAAGAAAAAAAACTTGGGTAGGAAAGAATATTTGAAAAAGTTTTACCTTTAACAAATTCAAATATTTATCATAAATGCATAGAAAAGCCACACTCTCTGGTAATTCTTGTAAAAATATTAATATTTAAAGTAAAATCTTAGAAAATTAAGTTCTTTCAAACCATTTTCATTCAAGGAATGTTTGAGCTTCCAAATATAAAAAACCTTACATATGTTAATGTTAAAACAAATGGATTTCAAATATTTTGAAAATAACCTTGGTTAACGTCCACCTTGTTTTGCACTTTGATGACTGCACCATGGGACAGCAGTTTTGCCACCATTGACAAATTCTCACTATAAACAGTATAATGGAGAGCCGTGTTGCCATACACATCTACAATATTTAGATCGGCACCAGAATCTGTGAGAATATTTGCACAAGCCTCCCTCTGGCATTGTAGAGCCTGTCAGTATTAAAACAAGAAGTAAATTATAAATTATAGGAAATCAAAATAAATATTCCACAGGTTTCACAAACTAGTTGTATTTCAATGAGATAAATTCATTTTTATTCTATGTATTTAAACCAAATCCATCTCCTGCTGAAAAAACTGGCTACGATTTACCTTCATCAGAGGTGTCCAGTTTTCGCCATCAGGACGTCAAGCTGGCACTTTCTGTCTACCAGAAATGTTACTACTTCCGCATGGCCGTTGACACAGGCCCAGTGTAGAGCAGTCCTACGAGAGTGAGAGGACTTTTAGGCAAAGTATAGTCCACTGTCTCAAAACATACAACGATTTATGTAATTGTAAACATTAAATACCATGCTCTTTCTCTGCCTTCAAAAGAAATATTTAATATTCTCCTGAAGAAAGTACAACATTTGTTCACTCTTATTACTCACTGCATTAATGAAAGAGTGGCCTATTTGAATAGAAAGAGTTTGGCCTTTGGATTCAGTTCAACTTGGGCTTGAATATTACTTTAAGAAGTTTCACTTTCTAGCTGTCACTTAAACTTTCTGCACCTCGATTTTCTCATCAATAAAATGAAGATGAATACAGCAGTTATCTCACAGGACATCACTGTGATGCCTCAATGAGAATCTATGCAAAGTATTTTGGAGAGTTCTTAGCACATGTAACAGCTCAGTAGTTGTTAGATATAATTATGACTACTACTTAACAAAGGCAACATTTTAAGTAAAAGGTGCAATTATGCCTGTTTTGTGGTGTGCTTTAAAGGTTAGAGATAACACGGTATTTTAATGATTCTAAGATGCTCAATTTCTCATATTTTAACATTTCTGACATTGAAATGCCACTTATAATTCATTATTTATTACAACTATATTTAGCAGAAATTTAAACAATCTTTTATTGGTGCATAAAATAAGGAAGCATCACACAATTCACAGTGCCTTCCAAGAAGTGGAATACGGTATATACAACAGGACGATGGCAGTCCCAGTCGCAGGATTAACACTGAAAGAAATTTTAACTTTTAAGAGTACTACGCAAAAAGAGAGTTGAAATAAAAACAACTGTTTAATATTTAATATTAAATTAAATTAATATTTAATAACTTCTTTAATATTTTAAAAACTTCAAGCCAAAGAAAACTTGGGATTCAAATAAATAGGTATGGCTCATTTTATTCTGTATTTAGATTTACAGACTATGTAAATTCATATTTAAATTTATAGAACCCATGTAAATTAGATATTTCCAATGATTAATATTACTCTTTAAAGCTGTTATAAATGTCCAACATCGTGGGTGGTAGTTATCACTTACTAGTTTCCCACTTCAGAATTGTTTTTGTTTTAAAGATGAGAGGGAAAGCTTCAACTGAGATTCAGTCCTAATACTCCAATTTTAAATCTCTCACTTTCCTCAGGCTGAGCAGGTAAATGTGAAATTTTTAAGGATGAAAAGGTCTTCAGAGTTAATAGGATGTCTCTTCTACATAATAGGCATTCAGCTTACATGTGATAAATGGATTAAAAGAATGGATCAATACAGTTGGGAAGTTCAATATCTTAAAAAACTGCTATAAATAAAGCACTTATATTTGCTATTTTATTTTTCTAATAATTACACTAAAATGATTAATCTATAATTATTGGCACATACATAAGTCTATATATGTGTCTAATAAAATGTATATGTAAATCAATAACCACAGATAAAAGATTCTCTTCTGAAGATGCTAAAAGTTCACAGAATATACTAATCCATAAAAAAATTATAGAACATGAGAAATTATTTTTATCTGTGAAAAATTCATATTCCTGCACTTCTCAAAAATTATTTCATTAATAACAAACTTTTACTAACAGCATTGTACATGCTCAATGCAGAAATCAAAGATAATAAAAAGGAAAAACATTTAAATTTAAACAAATGCCCTCAAATAATAAATTTTATCATATTTCATACATAATTTCAGATAACACAAGACCATAGTCTGTATGTGTAATCAAACTGAACTTTACCTTCACTTGATACACCAAAATATATTTTCAAATGTCAACATACTTCTGTATATATTTCTACCTTGAGTGGTCACATATTATCCCATGCTGTAAACTCACTGAAGTGTATTTATAAAAGCCATTATATCGATTCTTCTTAATACATTGATATTTTAAGCAGTGCTCAGAAAAGAAATTGTGTGTATGTTTCATTATTTTGTAAAAACATTTTAGTATAATAGAATTGATCACTAACAGGCATAAACAGTTTTTAAATATGGTACTTACCATCAAATTGTCTATTGAAAAGTCATCTGCAACTTAAACTTTAAGGAGCACTATAAATATCACTGCTTTTTATCCTCACAAACTTTGTGGACAGGAAACAGTATTTGAGTCCTCTTTTAACTTAAATGCCTTCTCTAACCAGGAACACTAAATATTGTTTCCTGTGTGCATAGGCCACTTACAGATCTTAAAAAAGGACTTTGCCCAATTTTAAATTAGAGGTCAAGTAGTTTTTTTAGATCTGCAATTTAGACCTCTAATTTATGTTGCCCAATTTTAAATTAGAGGGTTTTTTTGTTGATTTGAGTGAATTCTCTATAAAATGAAGATTTTTAAATCTAATATGTATACACACACGCATATACATATGTAGTAAATATTTTACAAGTATGCTGCCTTTTATTTTTTCTCATGTGCACGGTGATTTAATTTTTGTTTTACTAAATTAACCTTCAGAATGCTTGCTTCTGAGCTTCTTAGAAAGGTTTTGTCAACATAAAAATGTATCTGTGTGAACAGGCATTTTGTTTTCTTCTGGTATTTTTATCATTTTGTATATTAAAAACTTTGGAATTTTGTGGCATAAAAATCTAGTTTTCTCCAAAAAGCAGGCATTTCACTTATGAAATTAGTTATTTTCCTACTAGTACAAAGTGTGACCATTATCAAGATCTAAATTCTTACATATATTTGGGTGTTTCTGGATTTTCTATTCTATTGTATCCATTTACCTGTTAGCAAACAGTTTGTGATTTTATTTATCTCATTTATTTATTTTTTGAGACAGAGTCTCACTCTGTCGCCTAGGCTGGATTGCAGTGGTGGGATCTCGGCTCACTGCAACCTCTGCCCACCGGGTTCAAGCAATTCTCCCGCCTCAGCCTCCCGAGTAGCTGGGATTACAGGCACCCGACATCATGCCCGGCTAATTTTTGTATTTTTGTAGAGACGGTGTTTCACCATATTGGCCAGGCTGGTCTTAAACCCCTGACCTCAGGTGATCCATCTGCCTCGGCCGCCCAAAGCGCTGGAACTACAGACGTGAGCCACTGCTGCTGGCCCATCTTGTGCAAATTGATAGCACATTTTGACATCTAGAAGGGCAAGACTTTTCTACTCAATTACAAAATATTTAAAATGTCATCACAGTAGTAAAAGACAGCCTGTGTAATTTTTTAAAAAAATGTTAAAACGTTGATAACTTTATTTGGTTTATGTAAAACTGATAAAGAACTCGCATCTTGAGAAAAATGAGTCTTCTTAAATTCAAGAATATAAACCATCTTCCCACCTCAAAGTTTCCTTTCTAAGACCCCTCAGCAAAGAACATATTTACATAGACATTCATTGATATCAAAATGGATATTGGACTTCATCCAAAGAACTTTTAGCCAAGAAGTCCATATATTATAGGAATTATTTCATTATGCACCATTTCATAATGTATCTAACATTATCTTTTAAAACCTGTACATTAAAAGTAAAACCCTGTATGTACTTAATTTTGTGAGTTAAATCACTTTAAAATTTTCTACACAGTGCTCTGTGAGAGGAAGTGGAAGTGAAGGAGAAAGCAGCGAAAGTTTGGGGTTGATTTTAAGGTGGCCTGGGCCCTCTGACCTGCAGGACGCCCCCATCCCAGGCCTGGGGGGCCTACCCGGGAAGAAGGCCTAGACCCCAGGGCCCAGGACGGCCGACCTACCGCTCGCCACTCCTCCACCTGCTCCCCTCGTCCCCAGGCCTCCCAGCACCTCATTCTTAAGGGGCGATCCTCCTACAGCCGCCTCCTCCTCCTGCAGCCCCGGCTCAGGCAGGGCCTGGTATCTCTTCGTCACATCTCTTTTGTTCAGGTCGATGGTCTTCCTCATGGTTATCCCCTCCAGATTCCAGGCTTGGCCCAGGGAGACAACTTTGTGGATCTTCCTGAGATCCCCATAGTGGATCACGCAAGAGTCCTTGTTGGTATAGACCAGCTGACTGAAGGGGCTCCGGCGCTCCGGGCCCTTCACGCCCTTGCCAGCTGCGGCAGAGAGCTTCTTCATGGCTGCGGCCACCTCCTAGAGAGAGCCTGTGCCTCCCGCTCGCCCTTCCCCAGCCCCCGCCGCTCGCCCTCGCCCTTCTTGAGTCCCCACACCCGCTCCAACACCAGTAAAACTTGCTGTCTGGCCAAGCTCTTGGACACTACGGCTTCTCCTGGGAGAAATTCGCTGAGCAAAGCCATTAGGCAGCAGTGCATGCGCAGCTCAGCAGGCTGAGGAGACACGCGCCCTGGCCGCCCTCCCCCGGGCACCGCATGCAGGTGGCACCTGCCGCTGAGGCGCTGTCGGGCTGGCCTCCCTGGAGCAGAACGTGGGAGACACCCTGCCACACGGTCCGCTTGACATAGCCGCCCCTGGCCCCTCCTCGACCCGCGATCCAGGAGCTGGGCCCTGGCGCTGGGCACCGTGCAGCCTCCTCGATGGCGCTGAGTGGCGGTTCCCGCCCTCCTGCAGCTGGGGACCCACCCCTGACTTAGAATCCCTGGACGCTTCTGGCCCAGGGATCCGCGCTGCTGGTGGCGCTGACAGGGTCCGGGTTGGAGCCCCTGCTGCCGCGTGCCATGTTCAGATGAGAGCTGCACCTGAGTCCACGGTGGAGGCTGCAGGGCTGGGCCCAGACCGCTGAGGGTCGTCGAGTGAACCGCCCTACCACCCTGGGCTCTGCTCTTTCTTGGCCGGCGCTGGCAGCTCAGGCTCACGACCTCTGAGCCCCGTACAGCTGCCGAGATGAGGCACTGAGGCAGATTCCCGCCCTCCTGCAGCTGACGTCCCACCGCCTGACTTAGGCGCAGTGACGCCGTCCGACCCTAGGGTGTGCCGCTGCTGGTGACAAGGACAGGTTCTGGGGTTGCCACTGCTGCTGCCACGTTCGAATACCAGCTGCAGCTGAGCCCAAGGCGGAGGCTGCACGGCTGGGCCCAGAGGGCCTGAGGGTCGCCGTGTGGCACACGCCCTCCCTCTCCAGGCCCTGCACTTCCTTGGCTCGCGCCCAGAGCACTGGGTTGCGGGCTCTGGACACTGCAGACGCCAGGATGGGGCAGAGCGGCGGGTTCCTGTCCTGGTGCAGATATGGGGCGGACCGACTGACATCAACGCTGTAGCAGCATCTGTCCCTGGTCCGCGCTGACTGGGCCCATGGAGAAGAAGGAAGTTTAGGGTTGCTCGGCCATATTTGCCTGTTCCCCAAGTGCAGGTAGAGGCTAAAGCTCAGACAGCGGCACGGATGGCGGGTCCGTTTGACGGCTTCAGGTTGCTGAGTGTGCCCCCTGCTCGGCCCCAGAGTCCCTTCCTCGTTCACCCGCATCTGGAATATGGCGGTGGCGCTGGGTAATCTGCAGTCATCCTGGATGTGGCTGAGCTGCGGTTCTCTCCCTTGGGCTGAAAGGGAGACTTAGTTGAGTAGAGCAGATGGAGAAAAAGTTAGATTGAACTCATCCTGCTTAAAGACTTGCAGGCTGGGTGCAGTGCCTCATGCCTGTACTTCCAGCGCTTTGGGAGACTGAGATAAGAGGATCACTTGATCCTGGGAGTTTCAGACCAGATTAGACAACACAGGGAGACTTCATCTCTACAAAAATAAAACGAATCAGCCAGGCATGGTGGTACATGCCTGTGACCCCAGCTACTTGGGAGATTGATTGTGGGAGGATCACTTGGTTCCGGAGGTTTGTGGGTACAGTGATCTGTGATTGTGTCACAAACAAGCAATGAGAGGCCTTGTTGCTCCACATCCTAGACAGATTTGACATTTGCAGTCTTCTGGATTTCCGTTATTATTTGGTTATTTCTGCCCCTGCATTTTAAGCCTAGGCAACACAGACTCGCTCTCTAAATAAATAAATAAATAACTTCTAGTCACTGTATCATATCTATGTTGAATTCTTTACACACGAAGCTTGCAGAGTTGAAACTCCCAGCACCCTCTAATTATGTGATAGGGACCATGTGATTAAAGTGGGTGACCACGTTCTTGCTTTTGGTCATTCCAATAGGTATGCAGTGGTAGTTCATTACTGCATTTCCCTAAGGAAATATTATGTGGCCCATCATTACATATGCTTATTTTTTATTTGTATATTTTATTTGGTGAGATGCCTGTTACAGTCTTTAGTTCACTTTTTAATTGGGTTGTTTGTTTATTATTATTCAATTTTAAGAATATTGGTAAATTTTGGAGAAAATTCATTATTCAAATATGTTTTGCAAATATTTTCTTCCAGTCTGTGGCTTGTCTTCCCTTTCAATGGCTTTCACACACACAAAAAAGTGACATTTTAATCAAGTCCAACTTATCATATTATTTCTTTTAGGTACTGTAACTTTGGCGTTTTTCTAGAGATCATCAAACCCAAGAGAGTCTAGATTTTCTCCTGTTATTTTCCAGAAGTTTTATAGTTTTGTATTCGACATTTATGTCTGTGATTCATTTTGAGTTAATTTTGGTGAGGGGGTAAGATCTGATTTTTTTTCACTTGTGGATATTCAGTTGTTCCAGCACCAATTTCAGAAGAAACCAATCTTTGTTTCATCATATTGCCTTTACTTTTCCATCAAAGATTAAATATATTGATTTGTCTCTATTTCTAAACTGTCTTGTTTCATTAATCTGTCTATTCTTTCATCAACATGATACAGCCTTGATTACCATAGCTTTACAGTTAAGTCTTGAAGTTGGGTAGTGCCTGTCTTTCCTCCAACTTTGTTCTCTCCTTCAATATTGTGTTAGCTATTCAAGGTCTTTTTCTTCTCCATATAAGCTTTAGAATTAGCTTTTCTATATCTATAAAATAATTTACTTCCATGTTGAGTAGAAGTGCATTGAATCCGTACATTGGGAAGAGCTGACATCTTGACAATATTGAGTTTTTCTATTCATTAATATAATGTATCTTCTCCATCTGTTCAGTTCTTTTTTGATTTCTGTCATCAGATACGGACAGTTTATGAAATTACATAACTTCCTCTACCTTGACCAAAGAACAGTGATGAATTCCTCATTCTGCAGCCAACAAGTCACCTGTGAGAGCCATGTGTCTAAACATAGACATGTGGGTAAGAAAATGATAAAGAGATCCTGGGAAACATAGGAAATTCATGAATCAGCAACTGTGTCTAAGTAACTCCTTTCCATATCCCCAGTGCACCTGTTGCTTCAGCCAATACCTGCTGGTGTAGCCGAGGATGCTGGTGCTCCTGGCTTTCCCGGCCCTGCCCCCAGGGCTACCTTCGGGTGTGTGCCTCTTGACCTTAGCGAGAATGTAGTTCTTTATCCCTACCATGGGTGAAATATTTTCGCAAATAAACACTTTTTAAAATAATGTCAACTTTTATATTAGAGGTGCTGCGTGTGCAGGTTTGCATGTGTCTTTTTGGTACAGTGTTGTATTTTCTTTCGGTATATACCCAGTAATGAGGTTGATAGTTCAATTAGTAGCTCTATATTACATTTTTTGAGGAATCTCCAAACTGCTTTCCATAGTGGCTAACCTGATTTACATTCCCAGTGACAGTGAATAGGAGTTTTCTATTGTCTGCAGCCTCGCCAGCATTTGTTAACAAATATTTATATATTTCAGGCAAAGATCATCTGTTAGTTTTTATTTCAGCACATCCTCTGAAGAAGATAGTGTTTTTAACAACCAAAGATGATTCAACATTTCAAACTTGTTTTTTTATTTTTCTTTTTCTGACGCCATGTGGAACTTTCTGTCTGCCTCAGTTTAAGGTATAGGTTAAGAGCACTGTACCTTGAAGTGACCCATCTCAGTGGCCCCATGCAGTGTTCTATCCCAGAACTCTTCACAAGCTTTTGCCCTGTGTGACCAGTGTGGAAAGGAGCCCCCCCAGATAGTGTTTCACCAGGCAAGTGACCAACTAAAGAATTACCACAATTATGTGTGACTGTTCTCAAGGTTCCCAAACATACAGAGGGGGACAGTTGCAGGTAATAAAGCTTTATTAAAGGCAGTAACATCTCAACCCAGCAGGAAACATACTGTGGGCTATGAGAACAGGTTACAATAAATATTGAGGAAGAAAAATTCACTTTAATCAGATATTCGCCCCAAAATCCTCTTGCTCAAATATTAAATGTTCTTCCTGCACACGTGGCAATACCAGACTTACAGAAAGCACACGTGGTGAGAGACAAAGCCTGCTGCCTATCTGTGAGCTTCAGTGCCCAATGAGACTCGGCAAGCTGTTCATCTCTTCTTTCTACACTCCTGCTTTTATTGCACAGTATATTTTCATATATGTTTTATTCCATTTTTGAATGTTGTATTCCATTGGTCTCTCAGACTAATGATGAAACAATATGACACAATTTTAATTTCCAAGTCTCTACAATATTTTACAGGGGAAGTCACTCTCTCAATTTTCAGACTTTTCATGGATATTTTGTTTGCTCTTCTATACAATAAAATTTCTATATTCAGAACACAGATGGTATCTACATTGGAGTTAAACTCAACTTATTTAATTTTCGTTATTTATTTAAATTTTATTTTAACCTTAGGGGTACATGTGCAGGATGTGCAGGTTTGTTACATAGGTAAATGTCTGTCAGGGGTAAGGGTTGTTGCACAGATTATTTCACCACCCAGATATTAAGCCAAGTGTCCATTAGTTATTTTTCCTGATCCTCTCTTTCTCCCCACCTTCCACCCTCCAGTAGACCCCAGTATGTGTTGTTTCCCTCTATGTGCCCATGTGTTCTCATCATCTAGTTCCCACTTATATGTGAGAACATGCCATAGATGGTTTTCTGTTAATGCATTCCTTTACTAAGGATACTGGTCTCCACCTTCATCCATGTCCTTGCAAAGGTACATATACACCATGGAATACTATGCAACCAAAAAATCAGCTTATTAATTAAAGTACCTTTGATGTCTTAATAATGTTGACCCTGCCTAATCATGTAATGTCATAATTTTCATTTATACAAATCTATTTTGATGTTTTCAAGAAATATTTTGCAACAATTCCATACAAATTGATTTAAAATAATTGTTCAGGAAATTTTGGCATTATCTGTTTTCCATCTATGAACATGAACACAAGACAGTCTCATTAATTCAATTAACATAATTTATTGTGTTAATGAATTTCCTAATTCGATGACTCTCACTTGCATTTCAGGCATAAATGGAATTCCTAATGATCTAATATTTTAATGGGTTGACACAATGCTTTTTAACATTTAAAAATTTTACTTTCATATAATATGTTCTTATTATCTATAATATTCTATACAGCATCAAACAAGTAAAGTTGTATCACTTTTATATATCCTTTCTAAAAACTATTGGGAATGTTGGTTACCTTATAACTTTTAAATAGTTTAAGCAGTATTGGTATATTAATTAGTTCATGAGTAAAATTTTCTTCTGGACAATATAAATATGGTGCTTTCTTTTGTGCAAAACTAATCTTAAATAAACGTTCCGTTTCTTCTATGAATACTACTTAATTTAGCACCTCTATCTCTATGAGGTAAATGACCTTAAACTATATATTCCTAGACTATATATGAGCCACATTTTAATACTCATTTGCATTGAATCACACAATTTTGTTCCTGTTTTTCATTTTAATATATGACTTTAAATTCTTCTCTGCACGGAAACCTGTTGACACCTCCTTTTCAAGCTCTTTGTGTGGTCCCATCTGTTTACAATTCACTAATACTTCGGCTCAGGAATTTCGGGGTTAACTGAAAATCAGATTTTCAGCAGAGGCAGATCTCAGGGAAGCACGGAATCTGGTAAGACACATGTGCTTTGCTGTCAGTCTTTCATGTCTCAGACTCAGCATTTCCAGTTCTCTCCATGTGAGCCCCTGTCTGCCTCCAGGGATTACGGAAAAACAGAGCCTCTCCCATTTTCATGTCTTTGAAGGTGCTTGGGTATAACGTTGTCATTTTTTTGGTAATTGGAAACTAAGACAAAGTTATTCAAAAATCACTATAACTCATCAAATATGTACTGTCCTTTTATCTACAGGTGAGATGACAATTGTAGTTCTCTGGGGAAGTAAACTCATAGGATCACAAGCCCCTATCCCAGCGTCTATGCGCTCAATGGCTGTTGTGAACATAAACCTGAGCCCATTGTCCCAGCAGCAGAAAGAAATCAGGTGAGTAGTTTATATTTCAATCTGTAAGCAGAGTCTATTGTCTGTGGATCAATAGACAGAATACGTGCTCTTTTCTTGAAAAAAAAAATTTCTGGGTCACAAACTGACCAGGACCAAATCCACGCATGAAAAAGGAAATAATTACTGAGTCGTGAGCTTAACTTTTGGAGAAATAATGGATGTCCAAGACCATAAATCAATCCGTAAGTGTTCCTAAATTAATTGTATGTCATTCTCACTGTTCATCATTGTTGAATTTTGATGTATGAAGCCATAAAATTTGTTTTCTGGGCGCTGTGGCTCAAGCCTGTAATCCCAACAATTTGGGAGGCAGAGGCTGGTAGAGTATGAGGTCAGGAGTTGGAGAACACTCTGGTCAACATAGTAAAACCCCGTCTCTACTAAAAATACAAAAAGTTAGCCATGTGTGGTGGTGTGCGCCTGTATTCCAAGCTACTCAGGAGGCTGAGGCAGGAGAATCCCGTGAACCGGGGAGGCAGAGGTTGTGGTGAGCCGAGATCACGCCATTGCACTCCAGCTTGGCAGGCTGGGCAACAGTGCAAGACTCCATATCAGAAAAAGAAAAAAAAAAGGTTTCTGAAGGTTCTCTAGTATAATTTGAAAGTGAGGGGCGCCCTTCCACACCGCACGCTTGACAGAGCCACCCCGGCTCTTCCTGGACCCGCGATCCAGGAGCTGGGCCCTGGAGCTGGGCACCCTGCAGGATCCTGGATGACGCTGACAGTCAGTTCCCTCCCTCCTGCAGCTGGGAACCCATCCAGTGACTTGGGCGCCCTGGAGGCTTCTGGCCAAGGATCCGCACTGCTGGTGGTATTGGCAGGGTCAGGGATGCAGCCCCTGCTGCCGCGTGCCATGTTCAGGCAGCAGCTACAGATAAGTCCACACTGGAGGCTGCAGGGTTGGGCCCAGACAGCTAAGGGCCGTCGAGTGCATGAGCCTTTCACCCTGGGATCTGCTCTACCTTTGCCAATGCTGGCAGCTCAGGCTCGCGACCTCTGGGCCCTGTACAGCTGCAGGGATGAGGCTTTGCTGCAGGTTCCCGCCCTCCTGCAGCCCAGGGCCCAAAGCCTGACTTAGGCGCAGTGGCGGCGTCCGACCCTAGGGTTCACCGCAGCTGGTGGCACGGACAGGTTCTAGGGTTGGCACCGCTGCTGCCACCTTCAAATGCCAGCTGCAGCTGAGCCCACGGTGGTGGCTGCAGGGCTGGACCCAGAAGGCCAGAGGGTCGCCGTGTGGAACACACCCTCCCTCTCTAAGCCCTGCTCTTCCTTGGCTCGCGCCCAGGGCACTGGGTTGAGGGGTCTGGGCACTGTGCAGCCGCCAGGATGGGGCTGAGGAGCCGGTTCCTGCCCTGGTGCAGACATAGAGTTGATCCACAGATTTCTGTGCAGCAGCGGCACCTGTCTCTAGTCCGCGCTGCCTGGGCCCAGAGGGGAAGTGGGGAGTTTGAGGTTGCTTGGCCATTTTGCCTGTGCGCCAAATGCAGGCAGCCCCTACAACTCAGACAGGCACGGATGGCGGGTCCCGTTTGGACGGCTTCAAGGTTGTTGACTGCACCTGCTGCCAGGCCTCAGGGTCCCTTCCTCGTTGACCCGCATCTGGAGTATGGCGGTGGTGCTGGGTAATCTGCCCCCATCCTGGATAGGGCTGAGCTGCGGTTCTCTCCCTCGGGCTGAGAAGGAGACTTAGCTGAGTAGAGCAGATGGAGAAAAAGTTAGATTGAACTCATCCTGCTTAAAGACTTGCAGGCTGGGTGCAGTGCCTCATGCCTGTACTTCCAGCGCTTTGGGAGACCAAGATAAGAGGATCACTTGATCCCAGGAGTTTCAGACCAGATTAGACAACACAGGGAGACTTCATCTCTACAAAAATAAAGCAAATCAGCCAGGCATGGTGGTGCATGCCTGTGGCCCCAGCTACTTGGGAGATTGATTGTGGGAGGATCACTGGGGCCTGGGAGTTCGTGGGTACAGTAAACTGTGATTGTGCCACAAACAAGTGGCGAGAGGTCCTTTTGCTCCACATCCTTGACAGCATTTGACGTCTTCATTCTTCTGGATTTTGCTTATTGTTTGGTTATTTATGCCCCTGTACTCCAAGCCTGGGCAACAGAGAATCTCTTTCAAAACAAATAAATACATACATACATACATACATACACACATACATAAAAGAATTCTAGTCACTATATCATATCTAAGTCGAATTCTTTACACATCAACTTGTAGAGTTAAAGCCCCCAGCGCCCTCTAATTATGTGATAGGGACCATGTGATTAGAGTGGGTGACCATGTTCTTGCTTTTGGTCATTCCCATAGATGTGCAGTAGTAGCTCATTACTGCATTTAAGAAAATATTATGTGGAACGTCATTACATATGCTTATATTTTATTTGGCGAAATGCCTGTTACACTCTTTAGTTCATTTTTTAATTGGGTTGTTTGTTTAGTTTTAATAAGATTGGTATAATTTGGATAAAATTCATTAATCAAATATGTTTTTCAAATATTTTCTTCCAGTCTGTGGCTTGTCTTCTCTTTCAATGGCTTTAAGAGAACAAAAATGTGGCATTTAAATCAAGTCCAGCTTGTCATATTATTTCTTTTATGTATTGTAACTTTTGCGTTTTTCTCTAGAGATCATCAAACCCAAGAGAGTCTAGATTTTCTCCCGTTACTTTCCAGAAGTTTTGCAGTTGTCTATTTGACATTTACGTCTGTGATTCATTTTAACTTTGGTGAGGGGGTAAGATCTGATTCATTTTTTTTTTTACATGTAGATATTCAGTTGTTCCAGCAGCACTTTCTGAACAAACCAATTTTTGTTTCATCATGTTGCCTTTACTTTTTCATCAAAGATTAAATACATTGATATGTCTCTATTTCTAAACTGTCTTGTTTCACTAAACTGTCTCTTCTTTCATCAACATGATACAGCCTTGATTACCATAGCTTTACAGTAATTCTTGAAGTTGAGTAGTGCCTGTCTTTCCTCCAACTTTGTTCTCCTTCAATATCGTGTTAGCTATTCAAGGTCTTTTTCTTCTCCATATAAGCTTTAGAATTCACTTTTCTATATCCATAAAATAATTTGCTTCCATTTTGATTAGAAGTGCTTTGAATCTACACATTGGGGAGAACTGGCATCCTGATGATACTGAGTTTTTCTATTCATGTATATAACTCCTCCATCTGTTCAGTTCTTTTTTGATTTCTGTCATCAGATATGAACAGTTTATGGAATTACATAACTCCCTCTACCTTGACAAAAGAACAGTGATGAATTCCTCATTTTGCAGACAAGTCACCTCAAAGGGCCATGTGACTAAACATAGACAGGACGGTAAGAAAATAATAAAGACATCCTGGGAAAAATAGGAAATTCAAGAAATAATAACTCCTGTTAGTGAGCTCTCATGAGACAGGATGGTTTTATAAGGGGCTCTTCCCCCTTTGCTCAGCACTTCTCCTTCCTGCTGCCTTGTGAAAAAGGTGCCTTGATTCCCCTTCTGCCATGATTTTAAGTTTCCTGAGGCCTCCCCAGCCATGCTGAACTGTGAGTCAATTAAACCTCTTTCCTTCATAAATTACCCAGTCTTGAGCAGTTCTTTATAGCAGTGTGAAAATGGACTAATACAATTTTCAAACTACAAATTTAAAGAACATACTACATACCTGGGAAATAATCAGACCAGAATGACCTATACCCTACACCAAGTCATACTCCAGTAAAATTACAGGACATAAAATTGTATCAACAGGCTTTCAGACAATTTATGCCAGAAGCAATAAAGTAACACATCGACAACACTCCAGAAAAGAAACTTTGAGTCTGTATACCTGTAAAATTGATTTTCATGTAAAAAGAACACAAATTTTTATGTACTATCCACAGGAAAAACTGGGAATATTATTCTCTTGATACCTTTCTGAGGAATATTTCAGAGTACAAGCTTCAGACAATCAAAATAAATAGAGATACACTGACCTAAGGACTCTTGATGTGCATAAAAGATAGAGGTGCCTGTAGAACTAAGACTACGTGAGGGCTAAAGGAGAGAAAGTATCATAGGAAATGGCTATATGTGCTGAAAATCTAGATACAGTTCGAGTTCCAAGGAGCAGGGAGCCATATTTCCACAGTTAAAAACAGATTAGAGATGTATCGCATTTCTGGTTAGCAAATAGAGTCTGGAAGTTGTCACTACCATGCTCACAGTAAGAAAAAGGCTGAGCAAACAAAACAAAAAACTATTCCGTAGATTCATCAGAAAATTGAGGTCACAGGGCAAGCCACCATACTGAAAACTAGAGACAGGCAAACACAGAGAATCACAGCATACTAGGAGCAGAAATACCTGCTGGAGCCAGCAACTGGTAAGGATGCTTCAAGGATAACTGCCTAATTGCCAGAGACTGAGTGGTAGACTAGTTTGAGAGATTAAAAACAACAACAAAAAACAACTTCTGGGAGCCTGGTCTTAAGGGGTCTCCTGTACTTTGCTGAGTTTTACCTCCAAGAGCCCTATCGGTTTCTCAGGGTGAAAAAATTAGATAGGAAAAAAAAATCCCTTTGTGCTTCATGGAAGGGGAGAAGAGCAACCACTGTGAAATAAGGCCAAAGTATTCTGCTCTCCTTAACAAAGGAGAAATGATTTTAGCAGAGCCTAGGCTACCTGGGTTTTACCAGAGCCTGACCAATAGGAAGTAATGGAAATACCCAACTCCAGCCCGCTCACACCTTCCTGTCTCACTTGGGGGACATGCAGGGAAGCTGAGAAACAGCTGTGAAGGTCACAGCCAAGGCTCACTAAAGGACAGAGATCTAAGCACAGGATTACAGAGCATTTCCCTTTTCCCGATCCTGTCTTGTCAGAAGGGCTCCTATAAAATAACATGGAATTATGGCAGAACTTCAATGCTCACACAGTATTTAAGGATTCAACAGGGAAACTCTAAGACAAAAGGGGAGGAAAAAACAAGGAAGACAAAAGAGAAAATGTTACCCTCTGACACCCACAGCTACAAAAATGTGAGAACTCACACTAAAAGCCTGTTTACCTCAGTTCATTTTACCCAATGCATCATGTCTGGCTTACAACAAAATTACAAGCTACTCTAAAAAGAAAAAAATACAGGCTGAAGAGAGAAATAAAGCAAAAGAAGTACACTTGGATATAGCAGATATTTTAAAGTTATCTGACTGGTACTTTAAAATTACTATGATTGATATGCTAAGAGCTCTAATAGAAAAGGTAGACAAAATGCAAGAAAAGATGGGTAATGTCAGCAAAGACAAAAGCCCTAAGAGAGAACTGAAATACTAGAGATTACAAACACTGTAACAGAAATAAAGAGAGCCTCTGACTGGCTCATTAGTAGAATGGATACAGCCAAGGAAAGAATCAGTGATCGTGAAGACATGTCAACAGAAACTTCCTGAACTGAAAAGCAAAGAGAAAAAAGAAGAGTGGAAAAGTGAAACAGAATATCTAAGAAAATGGGAAAATTACAAAAGGCATAACATGCACATAAAGGGAATATAACGAGAGAAAGAACAGAAAAAAATATTTAAATAACTCAGAATATTCCAAAATTAATGACAGAGACCAAACCACATATCCAAGAAGCTCAGGGAACACAAAAAAGGATAATTACCAAAAAATCTACACCTACACATATGACATTCAAACTGTAGAAAGTCAAAGACAAAGACAAAATATTGAAGGAAGTCAGAGGAAAAAAACAAAACAACAACAAAAAAAAAACCTTACCTATAAAGAAACCAGAATAAAAATCACATTGGATTTTTCTTAAGAAACCATGCCAGCAATGGGGTAAAATATAAAGTGCTGAAGGGAAAAACACCCTCCAATCTAGAATCCTGTATTCAATGAAATTATCTATCAAATATAAAGAAATACTTTCTCACCAAAATAAAAATTGAAGAGACATAAAATGTGCTAAAAACAAGCTCGTCACAGAGAATAAAAACAATACAGCAGAAAATAGTGTCTACATAAAGGAAGAGTGTTAAAGAATGAATAAAAGTAATATAAAATGGTGTATTGTTCTTATTCTTAATCTAACAGATAACAGATTGTTCAAAATAGTAACAGCAGCAATGTGTTGGTTGATTATAGTTTACGGATAAGTGAAATGAATGTTAGCAGTTCTATAAAGGACAACAGGAAGGAACTGGAAATGTTTGATTTTAAGGCATCTGCACTGGCTCTGAAGTGGCACAGTGTTATTTAAAAGTGAGTTGACATTCATTGTAAATGTATATTGCAAACTCTAGGGCTATCATTAAGAAGTTTTTATTCCTTGCCTTATCCTCCTTCTAAAAAAAATAAATTTTTGGCTGGGCGCAGTGGTTCACGCCTGTAATCCCAGCACTTTGGGAGGCCAAGATGGGTGGATCACGAGGTCAGGAGATCGAGACCATCCTGGCTAATACGGTGAAACCCCGTCTCTACTAAAAATACAAAAAAAATTAGCCACGCATCATGGTGGGCGCCTGTAGTCCCAGCTACTCAGGAGGTTGAGGCAGGAGAATGGTGTGAACCTGGGAGGCGGAGCTTGCAGTGAGCTGAGATCACACCACTGCACTCCAGCCTGGGTGACAGAGCGAGACGCTGTCTCAAAAATATATATAAATAAATAAATACATACATACATTTTTACATGTAAGTTTGCTGAGAGGAGAGAAAATGGAATATGTTTTGAGTAGAGAAAATGAAATCATACAACATGCTCAATTAAAGCCATGGAAAGCAGAAAAAGAGCAGAAGACAAAAAAAAAAAGAACAAGGGCAAGAATAGAAAACACTTATTATGTAGGTATTAATCTAAGCAATATCAATGATCACATTATATGTTGATAACCAAACATATCAATTAAAAGACTATAAAAGACTATCAGGGTGGATTTTTCTAAAAGAAAAAAAACAGGATCTAACGATATGTTATCTATGAGATATCCACTTTAAATATAAAATATAGAAACAAATTAAAAGTAAAGGGATGGAGAAAGATACATGACACTGAACACTAAGCAAAAGAAAGCTGGAGTAGTCATGTTAATTTCAGACAAAGCTGACTTCAAAGCAAGGAAGATTATCAGAAATAAAAGGGGATATTATATAATGATTAAAAGGTAAACTTTCCAAGAAGACACAGTAATCCTTAATGTGTATGCATCCAACAACAGTGTCAAAATAGCAAGACAAAAGCTTACAGAAATGCAAAGAGAAAGAAACAAACCCACTATTATACTTGGAGACTTCAACACTCCATTCTGTTAGTAACTGACAGATCCAGCAGGCAGAAAATCAGTAAGGGCAGAGTTAAAAACACAACACCACCATCAATCAACTGGATATAACTGGCATCTATAGACTACTCCATCCAACACAAAAAAACACATTCTTCTGAAGCTTGCACAGAACATTCATCAACATAGACCACATTCTGGGCCATAAAACACCCCTTAAAGAGAATAGAAATTATATAAGCTCTCAGTCCACACTGGAATTAAACTAGAAATCAAACAGAAAGATAGCTGAAAAATCCCAAAACATCTGGTCATTAACAATGTATTTCTAAATAACACGTCAAAGAAATCTCAAAAAATTTTTTAAAATATTTTAATTAAATGAATATACTACTTATCAGAATTTGTGAAGTGCAGGGGCTGGGCGCAGTGGCTCAAGCCTGTAATCCTAGCACTTTAGGAGGCCAAGGCAGGCAGATCGCGAGGTCAGGAGATCAAGACCATCCTGGCTAACACAGTGAAACCCCATCTCTACTAAAAATACAAAAAATTAGCTGGGCATGGTGGCGGGCGCCTGTAGTCCCAGCTACCTGGGAGGCTGAGGCAGGAGAATGGCATGAACCCGGCAGGCGGAGCTTGCAGTAAGCGGAGATCACGCCACTGGACTCCAGCCTGGGCGACAGAGGGAGACTCCGACTCAAAAAAAAAAAGAAAAAATTGTGAAGTGCAGCAAAATCAATGGTAAAGGAAATTTATAGCATTAAATGCATGTATTACAAAACAAGAAAGTTCTATTAGGTTGGTGCAAAAGTAATGGCTAAACGGCAATTACTTCTGCACCAACCTTATAAAATCAATAATCCAAACTTCTACCCTAGGAAACAAGAAAAATGAGAATGAATTGAACTACAAGTAAACAGAAAAAAAATTAATAAATATTAGGGCAGAAATCAATGATACTTAAAAGGGGAAATCAATAGAGAAAATGTCTGAGTCCAAAATCTGGTTTTTGGAAAAGATCAGTAAAACTGGTAATCCTCTAGGGAGGCTAGCCAAAAAAAAAAAAAAAAGAACTAATTACTAACAACAGAAATGAAAGAAGGGCCATTACTACTGATTTCATGGATGTTAAAGGGATAATAAAGTAACATTATGAACAACTCTATGTCCAAAAATGTTATAACTTAGATAAAATGGACCAACTGCTGGAAAGGCATAATCTACCAAAACTCACACAGGGAGAAATAGATCCTTTTAGTAGGCCTACGTCTATTAAATAAATTGAATCAGAAATATTAATAACCTTCTAAAATAGAAAGCACCATGCCCAGATAGGTTTACTCATGAATTCTATCAAACATTTAAGGAAGAAACTATACCAATTCTCTACAATGCCTTTCAGAAAACAGAAGCAGAGAGAACAATTCCTAACTCATTCTATGAGGTCAGCATTAAGTCAAAGACATTACAAAAAGGAGAAACTACAGAGGAACATCTCTCATGAACATAGATACAAAAATTCTCAACAAAGCATTTGAAATTAATTCAAAAATGTATTAAGAGTATACACAATGACCAAATGGAACTTACTCCAGGTATGCAAAGGTGGTTCAAATTCAAAAATAAAAGCAATCCATCACTTCAAACAGGCGAAAGAAGAAAATCCATATGATTATATCTATAGATGCAGAAAAAGCACTGGACAAAATCCAACACCCATAAAAACTCTTAGCCAACTAGGAATAGAGGAAAATTTTCTCAACTTAATAAAAAAATCTACAAAAAACCTACAATTAATACGATACTTAATGGTAAGGAACTAGTTTCTTTCCTACTATGGTTGGGAACAAAGCAAGGATGTCACCTGTCACAACTTTTAGCCAAAATCATATTGGAAGTCTTAGTTAATGCAGTAAGAAAAAGCAGAAAAATGTATGCAGATAGGGAAGGATGAATTAAAACTGTCTTTATCCACAGATAATATGATGTCTACATAGAAAATCCCAAATCATCAACAAAAAAGAACTGAAACTAATAAACAACTACAGCAAGGTTGCAGGATACAAGGTTATATACAAAGACAACTGCTTTTCTATATAATTAGAATTTTAAATTAAAAACATATCATTTACATTAACACCAAACAAATGAAATAGTAAGATATATAGCTAACAAAATATGTACAAGATCTATATGAGAAAAGTTTCAAAACTAGTATGAAACAAATCAAAGACCTAAATAAACTGTGAGATAGCCCATGTTCATGAATAGGAAGACCCAACATTGTTACAATGTCAGTTCTTCCCAAGTTGATCTACATATCAATTCCAGTCAAAATACCGGAAAGTTTATGGATATCAACAAACTGATCCTAAAATTTACATGGAAAGGCAGAACAGCCAATGCAATATTGAAGAAAATACAATTGCAGCATTGACACTGCCCAACTTCAAAACTTAGAGTATGGTATTGGTGAAACAATAGACAAATAGATCACTGGAATAAAATAGCCCAGAAATAGACCACACTAATACAATCAACTAATCTTTAGCAGAAGTGCAAAGGCAATTCAGTGGGAAAAGGAGTCTTTTCAACAAATGATGCTGAAACAGATGGACATCAACACACACAAAAATCAATCTAGACAAAGACCTAACACCTTTCACAAAAATAAACTCAAATCACAGACCTATTATATAAAACACAAAGCTATCAAAATTTCTAGATATAACAAAGGAGAAAATCTAGTTGACCTGAGATTTGGCAATGACTTCTTAGATACAATACCAAAGGCACAACTTATGAAGGAAAAACTTGATAAGTGGGACTTCATTATATTTAAAAATTTCTGCTCTGTGAAAGATATCATTAGGGAAAAGAAAGACCAACTCAAACAAGGAGAAAATATTCGCAACACACATACCTGATAAAGAACTGGTATCCAAAATATGTAAAGACGACTTAAAACTCAACAACAAAGAACCCAATTAAAAAGTACATAAAAGATCTGAATGAACATCTCACCAGAGAAGATATACATATGGCAAATAAGCATATGAAAAGATGCTCAGCATCATATAGTCACTAGGGAATTGCAAATGGAAACAATGAGATACTACTGCATACCCACTAGAATGGCTAAAATCCAAAACACCACCACCACCAAATGCTGGTGAGGATGTGGAACAACAGAAAATCTCATTCTTTATTGGTAGAATGCAAAATAGTACAGCCACTTGAGATGACAGTTTGATAGTTTCTTCCAAAGCTAAACATAGTCTTATCACATGATCCAGTAATCACATTCCTAGGTATTCACCCAAAATCTGCACAAGAATGTTTACAACAGCTTTATTCATAATTGTCCAAATTTAAAAGCTGCCAAAATGTCATCCAACAGGTGAATGGATAAGCACAGTGTGGTACATCCAGACAACTGAGTATTATTCACTGCTAAAAAGAAATGAGTTATCAAACCACAAAAGGCATGGAGGAATCTTAAATGCATATTGCTAAGCAAAAGTAGCCAATCTGTAAAGACCTTATACTGTATGATTCCAACTATATGACATTCTGGAAAGGGTAAAATTATAGAGACAAAGGCAAACTGTAATATTTCAGTGGTTGTCTGAGATTTAGGAGGTAGATAATGAGGGAGAGGGGATGAAGAGGTAGAGCTGAGAGGATTTTTAGGGCAGTGAAACTGTTCCATATGATACTGTAATGGTGAATACATGATGTTAATTTGTCAAAACCCATAAAACTATACTATATAGAGTGAATCTTGATGTTAGCTATAAACTTTAGTTAATAATAATGCATCAACAGCCAGGCCAACATGGTGAAACCCCGTCTCTACTAAAAATCAAAAAAAAAAATGAGCTGGGCGTGATAGCGCATACCTGTAATCCCAGCTACTTGGGAGGCTGAGGCAGGAGAATCACTGGAACCTGGGAGGCAGAAGTTGTAGTGAGCCGAGATCGCACCATTGCGCTCCAGCCTGGGTGACAGAGCGAGACGCTGTTTCAAAAATAAAAATAAAAACAATAATGCATCAATATTGGTTCAGCAATCATAGCAAATGTAACACACCAATGCAAGATGTTAATATGGAAAACTAGGAAGGGGAGATGGAGGAGAGATGTGAATCTGTACTTCCTGCTCCAGTTCTCTGTAAATCAAAAAGTGCTCTTAAAAAAAAAGCCTATTTTTTTTCAAAGAGGGAGAATGAAGATAGCATATGCATAAAACAATTGTTTTTAGCAATACTGACATTAGTAAAATTAGTATTGTTAATTGTGTGTTGGGTACCAAACACGTGATTGTGAGATGTTCTAATTCTATCATCACCAAAATCTGTGAGAGGCAGGGTTCTGAGAGGAAGGGAGAAGGCCCAGATGAGGCATAGAAGGAGTTAAATAAAAGCTTTGCAGTCTGTTATGTATTTCCATTGGAACTACCAGTATAAGCTCACGATGCTGGCAGTCTCATGACTTAAAGGGAGAGTGATTGGGAAGAGCAGGAGCTCCCAACCTACTAACGTTTCTTGCTTTGAAAATCTGTCAACTTGTACTGTCATATATGCACTTATCTATGTGAATACTTCAGTAAAGCTTTTTGGAGTAGGATTTTTTAAAAACTATGTGTAAGTATTTTCAGAAGATGAAGGTTCCTGTTTCCTTGGTTCAAATGGTATCAAGATAGGTAGGTTGCGTCCCTGAATGCATTCCTAAATTGATACAGAATCATTAGCCCAGACAGGGTAGCTACCATAGCTTCTAGAACATGACCAGATGGCCACAGGCACTCAGCGTGCTCGCTGAATTAGCTGTTCATCTTCTTCTCTTCCACAGGGTATGTGTATATGACTGTCAGAAATGAGTAAGGCGAAACAGGATAAGCTAAGAACACTGCTTCTGAAGTCTGCTGGTGTGGGTTCAAATCTGGGCTCTACCACTTATTTTCTGGGTGACTTTGAGCAAGTTAATGAAGCTCTCTAAATCTGTTTCCTTACCTATTAGATAATAACAATTAAACTGTGAGGTTTGAAAGATTAATCCATACAGAGGGCTTAGCACAATGCCTGGGACATAGTAAATGTGTGTGTGTATTAATACACCCCATGCATATATGGCATGTTATTTCGATCATATTATCTATTATTTTCATCCTCCTAACAAAGGGTGAACAACTTTATAGAATACAAATATATAATAAATCATATAGGTATCTTTGACACGGCCTAAAGACTTAAGCACTTACAGCTGTTTTATTATTTGTTCATTTATTTTGAAACAGAGTCTCACTCTTGTCACCCAGGTTGGAGTGAAATGGCGTGATCTTAGCTCACTGTAGCCTCCATCTCTCGGGTTCAAGTGATTCTCCTGTCTCAGCCTCCCAAGCAGCTCGGATTACAGGCATGGGCCATCATGCACAGCTAATTCTCATATTATTAGTAGAGACGGGGTTTCACCATGTTGGTCAGGGTGGTCTCAAACTCCTGACCTCAGGTGATCCACCCACCTTGGCCTCCCAAAGGGCTGGGATTGCAGGTGTGAGCCACTGCACCCGGCCTCACTTACAGCTGTTAAGAAAACCAAGTTACATAGACTACCATTCAAATATTGAGATTGCAAACCATATTACCATTCTCTGGTCTGCACTATGTCCTGAAAAACCATGAGGCCAAACCCCCGTTGCAAGTAATTGCCCGTTCTGATGTGTGCCTTTCATTTGACCTCACCCTTAAAATTATAAGCTACACAGAGTCCAAAGGAATAATTAATGTATATGCAGAGAAATAGATGAAATAAAAAGGATATTTATGAGGTATGGGTACTATAACTAAAACTACCATTTAATGTAATTCGCGTTTATTCTGTTTGATACATGAACCAATATTTCCCCAACACAATCTTTTCCAGCACCATACTTGGTACTGTTTTAAGCTAATGTTCTAAGTTTGAAGACAGAAGAAAATGAATTAATATATGGTATAAAAAGATCTCACATCTGTTCATTCCATTCTGTTAAGATTAATAGTTTTTTAGGAAACCATGAAGAAAGTGGGGAGGGTTCTGCTAATACTGATCAGATGGAGATTAAGTTGCTTCTTATGTTTTCCTCAATAGTTGAAGCTCTGCAACCATCCTGTAAATCCAAGTTTCCAAGCTGGCAGGGTTTTCAATTATTATCCATACCAACTGTAGCACTGGTTATAATGGCAAAGCAGTGGGTGTTATGGTTTCTTATGGTGAAAATATAACTACTTCACATCTAATAAACACCTTATCGTCATCTTAACACAGCAAATAATACTTTGTCACTAGATAATCTTAAAATTCAATATAAGGCTGGGTGCAGTGGTTCATGCCTGTAATCCCAGCACTTCAGGAGGCCAAGGTGGGCAGATCACTTGAGGTCAGGAGTTCAAGACCAGCCTGGCCAACATGGGAAAACCTCGTCTCTACTAAAAATACAAAAATTAGCCGGGCATGGTGGTGGGCACCTGTAATCCCAACTACTTGGGAGGCCGAGGCAGGAGAATCACTTGAACCCGGGAGACAGAGGTTGCAGTGAGCCAAGATCGCACCACTGTACTCCAGCCTGGGCAACAGAGACTGTCTCAAAAAATAAAAAAATTGAAAAAATAGAAATAATAAAATTCAATATAAACTGCCAGGCTCTGCTTACATAATGCCTATCATAAAAAATACATTCAATAAATTGTTATTGCAGGACATAGAGTATTTTAATTATTACTGGAAAAATTACCAGTTTCCAAAGCATGTCTTTCATTCTCAACAGAAACTTGGCCACAAGCACATCCCAACAAAAATCCTGCTGCTGTTCCCCCAGCCACCCCCTGGGCTATCCACAGCTCTGAACTCACCAGTGTGTGGCCATAGCTGTTCCTCTTGACCCCAGCACACTGGGCCCAGCCACCCAACTTCTCCTGGGAATTCTGAATTAGATGAAGAATGAGGCAGTGGGTGTGCGGGTACAATGAGACCATGAGACAGGTGGGCAAAGACCACTGAGAAGTACCATCACTAAGATTTCCTAGAAATAAAGAGATATTGTTTTGCATTGGTTATATCATCACAGATAAAACGGTTTTTAAAATAGTTATGCACCGCTTAATTATGTTTCACTCAACAATGGACCACCTGGGAGGCCAGCGCAAGCAGATCGCTTGAGTCCAGGAGTTCAAGACCAGCCTGGGAGACACAGTGAAACCAAGTCTCTACAAAAATTATCCGGGAGTGGTGGCAAGTGCCTGTAGTCTCAACTTGGGAGGCTGAGGTGGGAGGATCACTTGAGCCTAGGAAGCTGAGGCTACAGTGAGGCAAGATCATGCCACTGTAGTCCAGCCTGGGCAACAGAGTGAGACCTTGTCTCAAACAAACAAACAAACAAACAATAGACCACAAATATGACAGTGTTCCCATGAGAGTACAATAAGGTACTGTATTTTTGCTGTATCTTTTCTATAAAGACACAAATACCACTGTGTTACAATTCCCTGTGATATTCAGTACAGTCACATGCTGTGCAGATTTGTAGCCTAAAAGCAAAAGCCTTAGTCACAAGCATACCATCTAGCCCAGGGGTGTAGTAGGCTACACCAGCTAGGTGTGTTTAGGGACACTATATGATGATCACACAATGACAAAATCATATTAAGCATTTCTCATAACATATCCCCATCATTAAGTGATGCATGGCTGTACTAATAGCGAGTATTATTAAGACCAATAGGTACCAGGTGGTATGCTAGGCCCTTATAGATATTAACTCACAACGACCCTATGAGGTGCTCTTATTATTCCCAATTTATAGATGAGGCACCTGAGGCACAGAGAGGTTAAGCAACTTGCCCAAGGTTACACAGCTAGTAACAAACAAAAAAGATGCTTACAAAAAAGCCACCGTGGCCACTGGGGCCGGAATGTCAGAGGACTGAAAAACAGTCAAATGTCATTACTGGCTCAGTTATACCAAAGAGGCTACAACTTTTGTTTCAGTGAAACATTTCCAGTTTTAACCCTATCCTACAATCAAAAATAGAAGTTGTCAGTTCCATCTTGTTCCTGATAGCTGGAAACTACTTCACTCTGGAAACCGGGAAGAAGCCTGCAGGAAGGAGACAGAGTACATGCTCTTCCTCCAGAGCTATGCTTTCTTCATTAACTAACCTGAATCTCTTTACTAAAAGCAGTAACATTCTTTCTTCAATAAATTTTTCCCAAGTACTACGCCAAGTAGAGAGACACTTCAGTTAGGTTGGATGGGATGGTGGGTCAGAACTGAGTATACTCAAGGGGCTTCCTAGAAGAGGTGACGTGAAATGGAGTCATGTGAATAAATAAGTCCTTCCTTCTTTCAACAAGCACTAACTGACAAGGGGACAAGGGCTAGCTGGAGACAGAAAAAGGAAAAGAGCTTCTCAGGCCAAGATGTGGCATGTTTAAAAACACAAAGGTGAGCACATACACACAACTTAGAGGAGTGAAAACATAAATGATTTTAAGGCCAGGCACGGTGGCTCACGCCTGTAGTCCCAGCACTTTGGGAGGCCGAGATGGGTGGATCACTTGAGGTCAGGAGTTCGAGACCAGCCTGGCCAACATGGTGAAACCCCGTCTCTACTAAAAATACAAAAATTAGCTGGCTGTGGTGGTGCACACTTGTAATCCCAGCTACTCAGGAGGCTGAGGCAGGAGAATAGCTTGAACCCAAGAGGTGGATGGAGGCTGCAGTGAGCCAAGATCATGCCACTGCACTCCAGCCTGGGCAACAGAGCGAGATTCTGTCTCAAAAAACTAAATAAATAAAAAATAAATGATTTTAATAAAGATTATAGCTAAAATTACAGGTTCTCCCCAGCTCTTTTATCTTTCCCCCAAAGAAGGTCTACATGGATGGCATGTGTTCCAGGCTTAACAAGATTTTGAGACAGCTCTTCCAGATAACCCATGATCATATTTGTTTATTATTTTGCCTGGTCCTTTAGAAAGACCACTTCCTTGAAAGCAGGTTGTTTTCCAAGATTTATCTGAAAAGTGTCAGTCTAACCTGGAAAAAAAATAATAAAGGCTTGACCACCCAGAGAGGGCAATAAACTTGAAGAGATTAAAAAATTAGGAAACAAACAAGAGAAATGAAAGAAAGTTCCTCTGGCTGCAGCTGGGATTCTGTCTCTATGGAAATGGAAGCTGATTACAGGGCCCTTCAAAAAAAAATCAGCTTCATCAACCAGCTGAAGACAGTTGCTGCTTGGGAAAGAGTTTCTACAGTGAAATCTCTTTAATACACAAAATCAGCAGCATTACAATTATGCCTGGAAGCTTTTTTTTTTTTTTTTTTAAAGAGACAAGGTCTTGTCCTGTTGCCTAGTAACAGGATCATAGCTCACTACAAACTCAAACTCCTGGGCTCAAGCAATCCTCCCACTGTAGCCTCCCTAACAGCTAGGACTGCAGACTTGCACACCACCCTCAGCTTGTTTTTTTAAATTTTTGTAGACATGGGGTCTCACTCTATTGCCCACACTGATCTTCTTGGAAGCTTTGAGAATGTGTGTGCAAATTACATGTCATGTTAAAACAAAAAGAAGGAAAAGAAATAAATCAGGACAAATTTTAAATAAATAGCTATCTATATCAATTAGAACCCTAGGCAAAAGTACCAAACACTACAGGTTCTAATAAGCCACACAAAAAATCCCAACACCATTACAAATGCCTTACCCAGTCTAGTTAATGAAGCGAAATTCTTAGTTCAGGCCATTGACTATGTTGGAACTGGGTATGTCTGAGGCATTTGGGCCTGTAGCTGGATATTCACATTAATAGTTAACATTTAATGTACATTATTGCATCTAACACTAACTAGTTAATAACTAACATTTAATGTGCATTATTGCCTTTAAAGTGAACCATTAAACCAGTCTTATGAAGTGGTTACTTAGGTTACCATTGGTTAAGGAACTTGAGGATCAGGGAGGTTAAGTAGCTTCTCTAAGGTTACATAGTACTAAGTAGCAGAATTTGAACCCACATCTATCCAAATCCAAGTTCCCCTCATATGCTCCCTGTATTCCTCTGCCTCTTACGGTAGGAACTGAGCATTTCAAGAATCTGGCTGGACTATAAGAAAACTGTAGAACCTGTCTAATATCTGTCTCCAGCCTAAGAAGTTTTCCCCATCAGAAAGCTCTTGGTACCTAAACTCCTCAAAACAGCTTTCAAAGGTAATTTGCTGTCTCTAAGGAAGTGCTGCGTTAGAAGATACAACTCTCCCAAGAAGAAAGACAGGCATCTCATATGCTTAGTAGTACAATACCTTACTGTTATCTTCAAAGCTTAATTCTTACCTTTTGATAAATTAAAATAATGAACGGAAAGCTTGAGATGCAAGAACTATTCTCTGTACATGCCAGTTAATTGTTCCCTGTGTTTAATCTGGATACTAATATATAAAACTTCCTGGTAACAGCTAAAATGTTATCAGTAAAGAAATATGGAGGAAGGTGTGGTGGCTCAAGTCTGTAATGCCAGCACGTTGGAAGGCCAAGATGGGAGGACTCCTTGAGCCCAGGAGTTTGAGGCCTAGCCTGGGCAGCATAGCAAGACCCCATCTCTACAAAAAAATAAAACCATTAGCCAGGCGTGGTGGTGTGTACCTACAGTCCCAGCTACTCAGGAGGCTGAGGTGGGAGGATCACTTGAGCCTGGGAGGTTGAGGCCACAGTGAGCTGTGAATGCACCATTGCATTCCAGCCAGGGTGACAGAGCGAGACCCTGTTTTCAGGAAAAAAAAAAAATTACACTTATAATTAATGTAGCCAAGTGAAATATTTTAATACTTGTATATATTAAGCACTGTGTCACTGTGTGTGCACTGCTGAGAACTGAGCCCTAGTGGAGGCTCCGAAGAGCATCCTGGAACCCCGTAGGCTCCGAGGAGTCCCGAGGTCAGGGAGTTTGCAGAGAGCAGCCTTGGGTCAATGTTACAGAAGCCAGAGGAAGTGGACTCTTGACATCTCCAAATTCACTTCCACCCAGCTTCCCAAAAAGCACTATTATTCTTCATTAGCTTCTTCTTTAGGAAAATTTAAGAATGATCTTGCTTTTCAGTACCCAATACTGAAATTTACTTCAGGAAGCAAGTGGCTATCTTTTCTTCCCTAATAAAAGCAATGGCTTCAAAGAGATAATAGAGCTCAACCGAAATAGCTAAGCCATTCTCCCCATTTATAAATATCACATAAAGTCTCCTCTTCAAAAGCTGAAGGGTATAAAGCTCCTCTGCTGAAAGCAGCCTCTCTCTTCTACCCAGTGAGAACGAGTGCTGGAGGGAGGAAAGCCATGGGGGCCAAGGGTCCCGCTATGCCAGGCATCATCTTCCCTATCCCCTTCTCTTTCTCCTCTGTATCAACAGTGCTCCCAATAATGACCATGATCATGGCAGAGCTGGGCAGGGGCAGCAAGGGACACACCTAGATCTTCAGTTCCAGAGGCATCTGTTCTGTTGCTGACAGCGAGGACCCTTACGGAATGCAAGAGACCAACACACACCAAGGCTGAGAAGCTAACTAGTACACAACCTAAGTTTAATGGCACGTATTTTCATAAAGGCTATGAAACGCAAATCAACTACATTTCCTCCCTTTTCCTTCTGCCAAGACGTATTAATGGCATCAACTCCAATCTCTATCCCAGGCAGGTTTTCAAACCGGGAAAAGCATGGCTTCACAGTAAACCTGACTCTGCCATTCTTTCCATGTCTCAATGGCTTTCCATCACCTTTCAGGGTCTCCTGAACATCTCCCTTCTTCTCTCGTCACATCCTGGACGTGATCTCACACACTCATGGGCCTAATCCATCATTCTTTCATTTTTTTTCATTCCTCAAACTATTTTTGAGCATCTACTGTGCTCCAGGCACTATTATAAAAAAAAAAAATGCAAGCATGAACATTGCACTGCTTTTGTCTTCCCAATGTCCCAGTGGAGAAGGGAGACTTCTAGATTAAAAAAAAAAAAAATCATTACAATCCTACGTGACAGAAGTCACAAAACAAGGCACACGTCCAACTTCACAGGGCAGGGAGTGGCTATGTTAGCTTGGTGCAGACAGAGAAGATTTTACACAGGTGGTGATGTCTAAGCTGACTCTTAGAAGTAAAACGATTTCAGGTGAAAAAGACTGAGGGTGAGAGAAAACAGAATTCGTAAAAGCACCAAGATCTGAACAAGTAGGCTCCGGTCCAGAAAGGACAATAAATTCAGAATGGCTGAAATGCCAACTGCATGGAAGGGTAAGGTAGTGTTCAGATTCGGAAAGGCCTTGTGCATCACGCCTAGAAACCTGGAGCATTACAGTCGGTAACGGACAACCTGGAAAAGTGTGGAGAGGGTTTAAACCAAAGCCACGTCAGCCTGAAGGGCGTCCGGGTGCAGGGAGGGGATGGGGCAGGGCAGGGGACTGGGAAGGGTCCAGCCCCGGTCCGGCCACGCAGAGAGAAGCAACCCCAAGTGCGACGCCGCACACACTCACCGCAGAGGGCAGCCCCTAAGAGGGTGGGCGTGCAACCACAGGCTTCGGCAGGACGCACTCCGGCTGCGACAGATGCCCTCGTTCCCTGCTACACCTGCACTAAATAACTAACACGCCCTGTCTCGGCACACCGCGCAGCTGCCAGCTCCACGCCCGAACCTACCCATATTAAGAGAACAGCTCGCTAGGCGTGGCTCCAGGGCCAGGTTCCGCCCTTAAAAGAATATGGAAGAGGCTGGCCAATCACGTACGTTATTCGGCTTCGAGACCCCGCGCCACGCTGAGGTTAATTTATCGCCGTGGCGAACACTCCGCGGTTTGGAACTCTGATTGGGCCGAGCTTGGCGCGTGCGCGCGATGTTTGGCGCGTGTTCAGTTGATGGGTCGAAGCCCAGAGGGCTGTGGGGGAAAGCAGAGAAGTTTATGGCGCGACTGCGCAAGGGAGGGTAATGGCTGAGGGTGGGTGTTGCGAAAGCTGGAAGTAAATTGCCTTCGAATGTTTCGCTTCTGTAACTGCGGCTCCACTCGCCAGAAGTTGCTACCCTGAGTCCCACAATGTGCCTCTGAAGGACCTTGTGGGGCACGCAGCCTCTCGCCCTATGAAGAGCTTCTCCAGACAGGAATTCTGGCGTGGTCTACGTTTCTCCAGCGCCCCGCTGGAAATCTTTTTTGACAGGTTTCTAAGGCTGGCTTTTACCCCTGACCCTTTTGCCCTTAAGCAACAAGAACCACCCTCAGGGCTGGAAGCTACAAGTAAAACCCTACCATTTAAAGGTCATTTGAAAACACCACTAAAGCGATGTCTTTCCCGACTATGACTTTTACATCTGTGAAACATAACATTCTGGCTCCCAGGAACCTCCCGCTTTCTCTTCCAAAAGCAACCAAATTTTAAATTCTAGCAAAACTGCTGCCCTCTGCCTCCCTCTTTCCTGACCCAGTCTGTTACCCAGCAATATCCTGTGCTTCTCTCACCAAAAACCCTGTCCTGAGAGACAATTTCATACTATGGAATAAAGATTGGCACCAGGCACTTTTCTCCTATTGTCACCTAAATTGATGATAGACGGATACCACACATGCATTTATATATTGTAGATTGTAGCGGGGATCAAAGCTTTAAGGAGATGTAAAATAATGTAATTCTAGCCCTGAACCAATTGGATTAAAAAAGGATCTGCACTCTTAAATTCGAAAGCAGAAACTTATTGCTTAAAAAACATTCCAGATGAAAGGGTTATTCCTGCATTAGTCTTCTTTGATCTGGAACCGTTCCTTGGCTTTTATATTTATTGAAATGACGTTATTTAAGAGTACAGACCAGGTATTGTGTGGAATATCCTTTAAAGTGAGTTTGTCTGATGTTCCCTTTCAGGTTATGAATTTTTGGAGAAACACCACTAAGTGATGTGTCTTTTCCAGTGCATGTTATCAAGGTAGAGATAACATCGGTTTCTCCCAGTATTGATGATGTTCACTTGGTTAAGGTGGTGTCTGCGAGGTTTCTTCACCATAAAGTTACTATTTTTTCTTTATGATTAAAAATAATGCTGGGGGGAGGTGCTATTGGATTACGTCCCTTTTCTCATCTAATTTTTACCTAGTAGTTTTAGCATCCACTGATGATTTTCTAACTTCATAATTTCATCTGTATGTATTAGTTGGTAATCTCCTAATACATTTATTTCTTGAATCACTAACTCTTCTAAAGCAAAAGAACTTTCTTGAAAAAATTAGAATTGTTCTTGTTCCATCAGTTTCTAATAGTGAATCTTGACTGTGTAGGCTGAAGACAGTAGTACCTGTATTAATCGGCTAGTGCTGTCGTTACAATATACCACAGACCGGATGGCTTAAACGACAGAAATTTCTCACAGTTCTGGAAGTTCAAGATCAAGGTGCCAGCAGATTTGATTTATCCTGTGGACTCTCCCCTTGGCTTGTGGATGACTGTCTTCTCTTGGTGTCCTTCCAGGGTATTTTTCTCTGTGCAATCACACCCTTGGTGTCTCTTCCTGTTATAAGGACACCAGTCCTATTGGACAGCCCCACTCTTGTTTCTCTATAATAACACCCTGTTTTTGTTTCATAAATGTACTCTCTTCTCAAGTATCACTGAGGATAATAGTTTTTAAACCTCTCTTCTGTTCACTAAATTATGTTTCTTCAAGGCTCCATTCTTATGTGTGTTTATCTAGTCTTTCCCCTAGAAAAGAAAAATTCTTCCCCTCTCTGGTGGTTTATTCTTTGTTGTCCTTTTGAGTTCAAGTGTGAAGATCTGAAATGGTTTTTCTAGATAGCTGGAGTGGTTTCTTTCCTCTCGTTTGTGTGTATTGTTTTCCTCCTAGATCCTTGGGCTGATTGTTGAATTTCTTTAGAGGCAAGAACCCAGTGTTATGCCTGCAGGTCATCACCAGGCTACCTTTGCTGGTGGAGGGAAATGATGGATTGTCAGTGCCAGTTAAGGCAACTCCATGACTTTGGTTTTAGCTCCTCACACTGCACCTGCCAGCCCCACATCCAGATAACACCTGGAACAGAGAGTCCCAAACCTCCTGCATTTCTCTCTCAAAGTTATTTTGGGCTGCATGCCTCCATTCACTCCTGCTTCACAGGAATTTGTTTTCACTCCTGTTTGAGATAGTAAAAACCAAACTGTTTTTGCTACTCTTACACGCTCAACACTTCTGACACCAGAGATTCCCCCACACATGAAACAGTTCTCCAGCAGACACCAGCTAAGTGTCCTACAGTTTAACTTAATTCTGATACTACCTCAACTTACAGTCAAATCCCACAAGTTAAGGGTGCATTTCCACAAGACTGTCCCCTACTTTAGGTTGACTGTCACCTATACTTCTGACCACCTATAAATCAGTATTCCCACACCCCCTTCTCGGGTTTGATTAATTTGCTAGGGTGATGGTTAGCCTGTCCAGGGTCCTGATTGCTAGCAGTGAGACTTCATGGTGACACAACGTGGAATCAGGAAACATCCCTTGGCCACTAGATCTGGGAAGTTGACTCAATGTGTGTTTCACCAGATAAGAATATTAAGGTTTTTGCCTTGGGACTGGCTCAGGAAATCAAGCAAGATGGACCTGGGAAGTGTGCTTTGTGAAGTTGGGAGAAATCAGCTGATAGTCTTGTATGGCTGTCTGTTCTCTGCTTTATCCTCAGTGCACTTAGTATATGTCACATAGCTGATGCTCAATAAACATTTGGAAATGAGTGAATTAAATGTAAAGCAAAACCAGAGGATATATGATGGGTCTTACTAATGAGAGTAGAGTCGACTCTTTTCTCCTTCTTCCAGCTGAATTACTCAAAAACTGAATTGCTCAATAACTACTTCCCTTTGCTGTACATGAAAATGTCATGCTTCCAAGCCTGTCAATCCCCTAACCCACTAAAAAATCACTGTTTATTTCCTAGATGGTTAGCCTGGAAGATTTTGTAAAGCTTCATTTTGTCTCTTTTTTCTGTATTTTTAATTTTAAAATTACATAATAATATTGATTATGCTTTCCTCAATTTCATGTACACCCCTCCCAGATATTCCAATATGCCTCCTAGAAAAGCATGCCCTTCTGAGTGGAAATGATACCATTACTCTAATGATGCAATCCATGATCCAAGCATCATTTTTTTGACAGCTACATCATGTTAATCTTGCTTTCAGAAAAGTACTGTGTCATTTCATGTTATTATTAAACTTTCCCTGTATTCTGTACCTTTGCAATTCATTTATTAGATAAAAGAGGAAGATTTTATATCTATCACATTTCATCTGTTACTATTGGCCCATTTTTCTAGCTTATCAAGACCCTTTGGATTTGATGGTGTTACTCATTGCATTTGCTGTCCTTTCCAATAGAAATGTCATCCATAAAGTTGATATATCTATCCATAATACAAAAAGGGAGCAGGAATTTTTTTTGTTGTTTGTTTTCTTGAGATGGAGTCTCACTCTGTCACCCAGGCTGGAGTGCAGTGGCGTGGTGTTGGCTCACTGAAACCTCCACCTCCCTGAGTTCAAGCGATTCTCCTGCCTCAGCCTCCCAAGTAGCTGAATTTTTAAGGTGAGAGTATTTTCTTTATGTACCTCCATACTCTGTCCAGGAATAATTTCTCTGAAATTTGAGTATTAGAGTAAGATGAAGTAATATATTCCACAGCTTCTTTCATTCACTTGGTCTCATGTTCTTAATAACCCTTGATTTTGCATAATTAACATAAAGCAAATTTCCTTTGTAAAGGCTTCTGCTTTTCTAGAGGCAGTGAAAAACTTTATAAAAGCATTGGATGTTCTTATAAAAAGGAAGCTGATAACTACCTCACTAAGTTACATGTCTGGCAGCACTGGAGATAAGGATGTGCTATTGAACTTTCTACTTGTTGTTAAATGGCAAACTATATTGTTTATTTATAACTTAATATATTGTGTTAAGGAATAGGCAGTGGTGCTGCTTATGGAAACTTTGTACTCTTGAGAGTAAATATATAATATAGTTTGGATATTTATCCCCGCCCAAATCTCATGTTGAGTTGTAATACCCAATGTTGGAGGTGGGCCTGGTGGGAGGTGTTTAGATCATGAGGGTGGATCCCTCATGAATGGCTTGGGCCATCCCCTTGGTGATAAGTGAGCTCTCACTCTGAGTTCAAATGAGTTCTGGTTACTTAAAAGTGTTGGCACCTGCCCCCTACTCTCGCTGTCTTGCTCCTGCTTTCACCATGTGACATGCTCGTTTCCCCTTCACCTTCTTCCATGATTATAAGCTTCCCAAGGCCTCCCCAGAAGCCAAGCAGATATCAGCACCATGTTTCCTATAAAGCCTACAGAACTGTGAGCAGATTAAACCTCTTTTCCTTATAAATTACCCAGTCTCAGGTATTTATTTATAGCAATGCAAGAATGATCTAATACAGAAAATTGGTACCAGGAGTGGCGTTTTGTTATAAAGATACCTGAAAATGTGGAACTGACTTTGGAACAAAGTAATGGGTAGAGAAGTTGGAAGAGTTTGGAGGGCTCAGAAGACAGAAAGATGAGGGAAATTTGGAACTTCTTACAGACTGGTTAATAGTTGTGACTAAAAATCTGATAGTGATATGGATAATGAAGTCCAGGCTGCCAAGGTCTTGGATGGTAATGAGGAACTTAGTGGGAACTGGAGCAAAGGTGACACATATTATGCATTAGCAAAGAGCTTGGCTGCATTCTGTCCATGCCCTAGGGATCTGTGGAAGTTTGAACTAAAGAGTGGCAACCCGGGGTATCTGGTGGAAAAAATTTCTAAGCAGCGAAATGTTCAAGATTTGGCCTGGCTGCTTCTAAAAGCATATGCTCAGATGTGGGAGCAAAGAAATGACTTCAAGTTGGAACATATATTAAAAAGGAAAGTAGAGAGTAAAATTTTGGAAAATTTACAGCCATATGTAAATTTTGTGTACATGGAAAATTCTCTGCCATATGGCAGAGAAAGAAAAAGCTTTTTCAGGAGAGGGATTCAAGCAGACTGTGGAGCATCCTCTTGCTAGAGATAGTTGTATAACTAAAAGGGAGTCAAGTGCTAATATCCAAGATAACGGAGAAAAGGCCCCAAAGGCATTTCAGAAAACTTTGCTGAAACCCCTCCCATCACAGGCCCAGAGGCCTAGGAGGAAAGAATGATTTCATGGGCCAGGCCCAGGGCCCTGCTTCCCTGCACAGCCTCAAGACACTGCTCCCCACATCCTGGTCACTCCAGCTCCAGCTGTGTCTCAAAGGGGCCTAGGCACAGCTTGGGCTGCAATTTTGGAGAATGAGAGCTATAAGCCTTGGCAGCTTCCACATGGTTTTAAACCTACAGGCACACAGAGTACAACAGTGGTAGATTCTTGGCAGCCTCTACCTAGATTTCAGAGGCAGTATGGGAAAGCCTGGGTTTCCAGGAAGAAGCCTTCTGCAGGGGCAGAATCCTTGCAGACAACCTCTACTAGGGCAGTGTAGCAGGGAAATGTGGAGTTGGAGGCCCCACACTGAGTTCCCACTGGGGCACTGCTTAGTGGAGCTGTATGAAGAGGGCCACCATTTTACAAGAGAGTGGAGAATACTCAGAGAGATTAAATAACCAGGAGAGCACAGGGTCCTGGGGATAAATGGAGAAAAGGTTCAGCGTGGCCAGGAGAAACAGAAGTTTGAGGCAAATGGGAGGGAAATAGAGAATCAGAGGTTACAGCAAATTTCTCCGTAGTCAAGGCAAGGTCTTTGGAGAAGCTCAGATTGACTTAGGGGCATGGCAAAAGTTAAACATAGGTGAGACTTGGGCCTGGCTTTGGAGTAGGGGAAAAGCAGGTACATCGGTATGTTAGGGAGGTGAGCCATACTACTACTAATTGACATAGAAGCTAGCATTTACTGATTACTTAATATGTTCCAGGTATTGTTCTGAGTCTTTACACATGTACATAATTATTGCAACCCTGTGGGACAGGTAAAATAATCCCCTCATACAAATGAAGAAACTGAGCACCGAGAGATTAAGTAAGCACTTAACTAGTAAAGTTAAAATTCAAACTCAGGCAGCTTGTCTCCAGAATTGATTCTCTGGAAGATTCATATGTATATTAAATTCTTTTCCAAAATGTAAAAATTAAACTTGAAAATTTATGCCCCATAGTGAAAGACAGAGTTTTAATATGTCAAAAATTAATGCAGCATAATTGTGTACAATTCAATAATATTTATTATCCCTAATTGAACATTCACATGAAATTTATACTTCTATATTATCATTAACTTTTGTTGTTGTTGTCGTTTTTGAGACAGGGTCTCAGTCTGTTGCCCAAGCTGGAATAAAGTGGTTCACAGGGTTTCACTGCAGCCTTAACGTACTGGGCTCAAGTGATCCTCCTGCTTCAGCTTCCTGTGTAGCTGGTACCACAGGTCCATGCCACCATGCCCGGCTAATTTTTGTATTTTTGGTACAAATGAGGTCTCACTTTGGGTTGCCCAGGCTGGTCTCGAACTCCTAGGTTCAAGCAATCCTCCTGCCATGGCCTTCCAAAATGCTGGGATTACAGGTATGAGCCACTGTCCCTGGCTATTGTTATTAACTTTGAAAAATGTATGTCACATATGCCATAATCATTTCCAAGTCTTTCAAAGATATTTTTTTAAATTTCAGCTGAAAATATTAGAATGAAATGCACACTCAAGACTAAAGAAGGTATATTCTATGCTCAAGAAAATGTACAAATATTGATTTTTTTTTCTTTTTGTGATGGAGTCTTGCTCTGTCACCCAGGCTGGAGTGCAGTGGTGTGATCTTGGCTCACTGCAACCTCCGCCTCCCAGGTTCAAGCAATTCTCCTGGTTCATCCTCTCAAGTAGCTTGGATTACAGGTGCCTGCCACCACACCCAGCTGATTTTTGTATTTTTAGTAGAGACGGGGTTTCGCCATGTTGGCCAGGCTGGTCTCAAACTCCTGACCTCAGGTGATCCATCCACCTCAGCCTCCCAGAGTGGTGAGATTACAGGCATGAGCCACCATGCCCAACCTACAAATATTGATTCTATCCATGGTTTGGTGAAAACCATAAAAGTACAGCTTATTCTCCATGGCATTGGCAGGGGTCGTGTATAAAGATGACAAAGTCCTGTCTAGCATGCTGCAGAGGGAAAGTGCTGAGTGAACATGCTGAGTTACCCACTTAGCAGTCCCAAGTTAATTGCAATGTGGATGGATGCCATGCATAAGCAGCATGAAATTTTATGAAGACCTGATTTGAGGAAGCCACGAAGGGAGCTATGCTGGTATCCTAAAGTTGAAAAAAAAGTATCAAATTATATACTTCACATATTTGAAACTTTTTCTAGAAATGTTAACCTAGTAACAAAGTACCACATAAAGAAATTTTATAGAATTTACAGTGAACCTGCATATATTTCTTGAAGTAACCTTGCAAAGAATGAATGCAAATGCTTTACAAAGAAATATTTCTGGGCATGGGGAGTTAAGGGAAAATGGGGAAGGACTGCTAGTGGGTACAGGGTTTCTTTTGGGGAGTAATGAAAGTGTCCCAAAATTGGCTGTGCTGATAATGGCCACACAACTCTGTGAATCTACTAAAGACCACTGAATTGTATACTTTAAGGAGGTGAATTGCATGGTATGTAAATTGTATGTATGGAAATGTATGGTATGTAAATTATACCTCAATAAAACTGTTATCGAAAAATTTGAACTTCTTATTCAAGTTCTTACTGCAAATTTAATTTTTCTTAAAGAAACATATGTAAGTGAAATGATCACACTAAGTAAAATATGCTATTTTCATCCTCAATGTTTATAGCTTCCTCTTGGGATTTATTTTCATATACTTCTGTGGAACAGTGTGTGTTTGTCTGTGTGTTGAGGGGAATAGATGGGTCCCCGTTTTCTCTCACTTTCTGTTCATTCATTTGGCAAATATTGATCAAGTCACTGCCACACTGCAGGTATTGTTTTTAGTACTAGGGATATTAAAAAATGAGCAAAACAGGCAAAAAGCCCTGCTCTCATGATGCCCACATTACTGGGTTTTCCTGCCTCAGCCCCACCCCAAGTCATCAAAACACAGACTTATTTCCAAGATACTCACTAATTCAAGTGAGTATAGATTTTTTTCTGTAAGAGATATATCAAGGTATATGCAATATTTTTATTCCTATGCATGTCTACTTTTTACCTCCACTTTAATCTGCTTCCAAATTTCAACAACTTCTTTTATATTGACAAACTAGTATGGACAGTCAACAGAAGTTTTAGAATCTCCTTTGATTCTCCTTGTTTTTCCCATTATTCTTTCATTTGCTTGATGTTCATATTCTGTAGTTGCAAGGGATAGAGGATTTCCCTGTGAACAATGGTATTTACCATAACACAAAATATCTCCCAAATCAGGGGATGGTTTGTATTTATATTAGCAAAATAAGGAGCCACCTCTGTATGTAAATTGTATGTATATAAATGTAAGTTTACATTTTACATACATATTTACATGCATATTTACATACATACAAAAGTTGAATTGTATACTTAAGGAGTATATATAAAAAAGTATATGACTTTTGTATGTGAATATGCATGTAAATATGTATGTATGTAAAATGTAAAAGTTGTATGTATGTAAATATTAGCAAAATATTACAACTTACAAAAAGTTACATACTTACAAAAAGTTGTAAGTATGTAAATATTAGCAAAATAAGAGCTACCTCTCTATGTAAATTGACTATTTTATACTTATGTTTTACTTTTTTAAATTTATGTTTAACATTTATAAAGTGTTAAATCAGTGGTACCTTTAAGGAAAAAAACAATTACACATGAAATTATATCTACATTTATAAAAGAAAATGTAAAACTGGGAAAATACTGTAAACACCAACAGTTTAAAAATTGATGTATCTCGCTATATATTACAGCTTAACGCGGCACTGGATTAAATGGCAATCACTTCTCTCAGTGACTCAGTTTTCTTTTATCTGCAAAGTCCAGGATATACTTGTTCTTTCCACCTTACGGGATTGTCACTGTGGGGATCAAATGGGGTTATATGTTTGCAAGCCACTGAAAACCATGCCCACAAAAAAAAAAAAACCTGTCAATATAAAGTCATGATATTGTTAAAATTGTCTCTTTTCCTCCCTTTTGAAATGTTTGTAAATTTCAATTCAATGTCTAAGAGCTGGTTAGCTTCTAAATCTGATGTGTGGCACATTTACTGGGGTCTCTGTCTGTGGGCCTTCTGTGCAACCCCGTAATACAGTATCTGCTGGTCCTGCGATCACCATTTCTCACCAAGTAATGTAACTCCGTGTATAAAGATATCACTAACAAAAAGTTTATTAAGTGTTGTCTGTAGTTGCAAAAAGTTCAAGAGACCTAAATGTCCACTTAGAGGGGCTTCGTTAAATAAATTAGGCTGCACTTATGCAATGGAATACTCTCCAAAAACTAAATACGATGCACCAGTGTTTTTATTAAGATAAGATATTAATGATGTATTGGTAAGTGGAAAAAACACAACATCAAACAGTAAAAAATATGCATGTAAAATATATGCAAAGATATTCAAAGAAAGGTGTTAAGAATATATGAGAATGCTAGGGTGTTAGAAAAATTAGTCTATTTTCTGATACTTCTGAAAATAGCATTTATCAATTTTATAAATAATATATTTTAAAAAACCATCTAGATTTCCAGCTGATATAATTCTCTGTCTAGTTTGATTACAAAGCCTAAGTGATTAAAGAGCAGAAAAATTAGAAACAGATACCCACTTGCCAGCAGCCACTTTTCCCTTACTTACTCTCTTGTTTTTTGAGACAGAGTCTGGCTCTGTCGCCCAGGCTGGAGTGCAGTGGCGCAATCTCGGGTCACTGCAACCTCCACCTTCTGGGCTCAAGCGATTCTCCTGCCTCAGCCTACTGAGTAGCTGGGATTATAGGCGTGTGCCACTATGCTGGCTAATTTTTGTATTTTTAGTAGAGATGGGGTTTCCCTATGTTGGCCAGGCTGATCTTAAACTCCTGACCTCAAGTGATCCAACTGCCTGGGCCTCCCAAAGTGTTGGGATTACAGGTGTGAGCCCATACTCTCTTTAAGTATCTACTTGCACATAAAATGAGAGGACCGTAAGCACAGATGCCTGCAATATTGAATCAACATCAGATTCTGAGTTGTTGTTTGTAAAGCCCTGATATGAGCTTTACAAAAACAAACTATCAGTCACCATTTCTTCAAAGAATTCCTGCAATTTTCAGCAAGAAGTAGATAAAATAGAGCCAGGTGTCCAAATGTTCTATAGTTTTATTTATGCAGAAATAAACATGGGTATTCAACCCTAGGCGGTGCACTGACGTCACAGAGGGAGCTTTTAAAAAACAGCATGCTGTGGCTCCTCCCCGGGAAATCCTGATTCAATAGGTTTCAGTGGGAACTGGAAGTCTAATGTAAGTAACTCCACAGGTGATTCTGAAGCAGAGCTGATTTTGGTAACTATTAATAGTAATTTAATGCAATGCCCACCAGATGGCACTCATGCTCCGAGAATAGAAAGGCAAGTCGGAAAACTGCTCAATTTGTTAAAGGCTGTGCTTTGTACTCTGCATGTGTCTGCCTTTAAAAGCCTACACCAGGCCGGGCGCAGTGGCTCACGCCTGTAATCCCAGCACTTTGGGAAGCCAAGGTGGGCGGATCACCTGAGGTCAGGAGTTCAAGACCAGCCTGGGCAACATGGCGAAATCCCGTCTCTACTAAAAGTACAAAAATTAGCCGGGCGTGGTGGCAGGCCCCTGTAATCCCAGCTACTCACGAGGCTGAGGCAGGAGAATTGCTTGAACCTGGGAGGCGGAGGTTGCAGTGAGCTGAGGTTGTGCCCCTGCACTCCAGCCTGGGTGACAAGAGCGAGACTCTGTCTCAAAAAAAAAAAAAAAAGTCTACATTAAGTGACTCATTGTCTAAACATAACAAATGGGAATATAAAATGTTTGTTCTACTCACGCCTCTGCAGTATGGTCCATAGGATGGAGAGCTGACGTTGGGCCCATCGTAGAGTGTGAGATAGTTCTGGACACAGTCTCCTGGATCGTCAATGCTGATGAAGTAAAAGTTGACAGTGAGAAGCCTTCCAGCAGGAGCTACCAGTGCCCACTCGCAGTTCGTGTTGTTTGGATAGGTGCCTGGATAGCCAGGGCTGGTGAATGAGCCTCTGTCTCCATAAAGAGTTCCACCACATCCTGCAAGGAAAACAGGACAGGAAGTTTGATTCAACAATGTATAAGCCATCCAGTCTGGCTTGTTAGGCAATAAGACTTCATTTTCTTAAGGTGCTGAGACTCTGCAAGAATAATAGAGGCAGAAACCGCTTTTCCTGTTCCTCTTCTTTGGGCTACACCCTTTCTCCTCACTTCCCCTCTCTTCCCATCGCCACCACCACCTCTTCCATCCTCAACACACATGCCTTTGCCTGCATATCACGATCCAAGGACAACTTCCTCCAGGACTGTACTTTGAAAATCGGGGGTTGACAGCAGAATGGAAAACAATCAAACAAACAAAAACAAAACAAAACAAACAAACAAAAACTTAATAAAGTAACTGTGGGAGAAAATCAAGTTGTTGCCTCTGTGCTTTCGATGGTGCGGAGATCTTTGCTTACCCTGAGTTGATGCCAATGATGTGAGTGAAGTAAAATTAGAAGGAAAATTCAGCACTAAACCAAGAGGAAGTGTGTGATTGTAGGTGGTGGCAGGAATGACTTCATTATAAAAGTAACTTTACCACCCTAATAACTGACATACTTAAGGTCGAATACTTCAAGTTTTGGTGTTAATTTGTTCAATTTGTTAATCTGTATATGAAGGCTGTCATGATTTAGACTACATATAGACTACATATCTGTGGAGATCCAGATCGCCTCCAGGACAGGAAGAAGCTGGCTGTCATAGTTACGGAGCACCTGGCTGGGCCTTTGACCACCGAGGTCTAGTCCCATCTCCACCTCAGTCTAGCAGAGCATTTTGGGCAACTCATTAATCTTGGTGGGTTTTTTTGAGATAGAATCTTGCTCTGTCACGCAGGCTGGAGTGCTGTGGTGTGATCTCAGGTCACTACGGCCTCCATCTCCCAGGTTCAAGTGATTCTCCAGTCTCAGCCTCCCAAGTAGCTGGGATTATAGGCATGCACTACCATGTCCAGTTAATTTTTGTATTTTTAGTGGAGACAGGGTTTCACCATGTGGTCTAGGCTGGTGTGGAACTCCTGACTTCAGGTGATCCAGCTGCCTTGGCCTCCCAGGGATTATAGGCGTGAGACACCACACCCAGCCTAATCTTGGTGTTTTATTTCCTCGTCGATAAAATTTGAGCATTGGAAGTCATCTTTGTCTTCCTTTGGGTGCCAAAATTCCATTACCCACGATTATCTTAATAGAACCATTTTCTTAAGGTATTTAAAGTGATTTCTGTTTATCTTTTTTTATTTGGAATGTATGTTGGTATTTGAGGACATTTCATAAAGGTATTTCTCCTCTCTTGCATTAAATGTATTGACATGACTTAAATTTTCTTTAGCTGTTTGAAAAGTGGCCAACCAAAAATATGAGAGGATACTTACTACCCTAAAAAAGCAATTTCTCTCCAGGACTGCCAACAAATGTCAGGGCCTGTGAGAAGCACAACCATTCATATATATGCCAGAATGTGTTCATAAGTTGGATTTTTGGTAAATATTTTTCCTTAAATTGTCAATGAACTTCCTTGATGGTCAAACCAACAGTCAAAAAGTCTAACAAAATTGAATTTACAAAGGAATTTTTAAATCTTCATACCTTATATGTGCTTCATATATGAATATATATTATTTTATAAACAGAAATAATGAATAAATGTAGAATTTAAAGTAATCTGGCCAGGTGCAGTGGCTCATGCCTGTAATCCCAGCACTTTGGGAGGCCGACACGGGTAGATCACCTGAGGTCAGGAGCTCAAGACCAGCCTGGCCAACATGGCAGAACCCCGTCTCTACTAAAAATACAAAATTAGCTGGGCATGGTGGCATGCAACTGTAATCTCAGCTACTAGGGAGGCTGAGGTGGGAGAATCACTTGAACCCAGGAGGCAGAGGTTGCAGTGAGCTGAGATCGTGCCACTGCACTCCAGCCTGGGCGACAGAGCAAGACTCCATCTCAACAACAACAACAACAAAATAATTTGTACCTTCATTGTTAAAAATCTCTATTCTTAACATGAATTAATCAGTTACACAGGTAGCTAAAAAATATAAGGTTACTTTGCCTTTTTCTATTAGACACCTTATGTTTTACTCACCTACACTGCTTTCCCGTACAAAGTACAAATGTCTTACCAGAGGGTGATGAGGTCCAGATGATTTCATATCCACGATCCGAAATTACACTATTACTCTTAAATCATAGGTATAGTTCATTATTTTGAGAGAAGACAGGGTTTGGCAGCAGAGTACTTGCCAAGTAATGGTGAATTGCTGTTACTTCCATTTCTCACCTTTAGGAAGGAGTCATTCATTATTAAACTTACACTTTCTTCTCCAATGTATATACATTACACTGTGAGACAATTTGAATGATGACACTTTTTGGAAAAGCTTTGTCTTTTTATATACATAAGAATGAAGGGTTTTCTGAAAATACATGCAGAAGTCATCTTCACTTGCAAAGGGGAAAAATGTTCCATGTGTAGATCAAAAAACATTTGTATTTGGATTCAGAAATATCTGTTAACCTGTAGCAATTAAAACATCAGGCTGCTTTTTTATATAATAGTTTTTGCTATGATCCTGCAGCCTTTGCTTTTGGGGAAACATTTGGAAGAATGTAGGTAAAGTGAATTTTTAAAGGGTGGGGATGGGTGGGGGCAATGTTGCCTGCCCTGTTTCCAGTCAACTATTATACATTTTTCATAGTGTGTGTGTGTGTGTGTATGAGTGCGCGCGCACACGGGTTTCCCATTGAAAATTACTTGGCTGTAAAGGGGCTACGAAGAAAATACAATGCAAAGTATAATAAAGTTCAGAACAAAAGGAATTTCTGTATGGGTGAAGGACAGAATTATAAATCTATACAACTTCTGACTGTTGTTAAACGTGTTTTAAAAACACATTCCGAGGCCTTGTTGCTTTTTTGTTTCAACTCCTCATTTTTGAATAGACACATATAAAAACAGGAAATGAGTTGGTGTTTTGAGGGAAGAGAGAACCACACTGTGAATTCAACCATTTTCTGTCCCCCAGCCTGGCTCCTACCCTGCATTCACAACTAGACCTGCTTCCAGGAGGGCTCTCGACGCTTCTAAAGGAAACGTTACACAGGCAATGTATGTTGGAACCAGCCTGACATGTAGAAATGCTGATTTTACTGATCCATGTATTCAAAACACTGGAAGTTCCTCTCTTCCCTTTGTAATTCCATGATTTAAAATTTGGTTAATTGCTGGTATCTTAAGTCACAGAGTTAAGACAGTCTAATCTTGCTGGGCTGTGTTGATCAGGTGAGATTCCTTTTAGGTCTATGTAGTAGCCCATGGGAGAGACTAATGCCTTTCTAGTGCTTCAGGGATTATTCTGCTAAGTGTTTAAATAAAGTAGACTTGCCATGACAGAGTAGCCAGTTATCCACTAGTAGATAGGAGGGCTGCCATATTTAAGACCTTCCAGCACCATACCCTTGAGTTTGGGTGTTTTCACCCAGGGGTCCTCTTTTAAAATGGCGTTGCTCTGAGAGGAGCAGTGAGATACTAATTTTCACGGACACTGCCAACAACTTGTCTTATTCACTTTCGTCTCCTAGGAGGAATGGGGCCACCGAGAGCAGCGGGCATCCCTGCGACATCAGAGGATCCTGGAAGGGGAGGTGAAGGCATGAAAACAATCGCAGATTCCAGGCATGGTCTAGAGCTCGGCCCTCACTTGGTAGTAACACAGAATCCTCAGTCAGACATTTCTGTTCCTACGGCAGTTCACAAGAATGGAATGCTGAGGCTTCCTGGTCCAGCTGCCAATAAACTATGCCCACAGTCTTCCCACCGAGAGCCAGACGGAGCTACATTTTACAGGCCTAAGCTGTGGTTTCCTTTCTTTGCTTATGGGACAGGAAGTTTCAGATCCATTCTACGGAGTAATGAAGGACAGCGAGGAGGAAGAGTTCTTACTGTCCATGGCTGGAAAGCAAGGCTTTGCTTCCCAGCATCTATCAGGCAAATGGCAAATGTTGACTCTGATCAATAATGGTCCATTCAAGCTGGAGTGAGTTAAGAGTTAGTTGCACTGTGACTCCAACCTAACGGGATTATTCCATCTTTCATCCAGATCCCACTCTCCTCATTCTTTCTGCTTTACACTTCATATAAATATATGGATCTCCGTGGTGGGGGAGGTACGTAGGTCCAAGTTGAGTAACCTGACCGGCACAAAGAATACTGTATTTGTCTCTTCGTTTCCTCCCTGCTACATACATCTTTTGGTTTCCTGTCATGGGAATATTCCTTTAGAAAAGGCATGAGCTTCCTCTGAGTGTTATTTATGAAACTACATGTTAAGGCTATTGATTAATAAAGGATTTAGATGAATTCCAAAGGGGAGAGCTTTCCAGGATGATAAAACTGCATCAAGAATCATGTTGAAGCTAAACCCATAGGCAAAGACCATGTGCCAGAACACCCTTCCTCACCAGGCCGGGCAGAAGGTGACAGCAGCCCTAGAAGCCAAATCAGATGAGGTGGGTTGCAGGTGAGAAAAGATGTTTTGTTGGGAACAAAGGCTGCAGCTACCAAGAAACTAGCAGCTGAACAGAAGCCCACTGGAAAGAATCCTCCCACAGAAGGAAAGAAGCCTGCTGCATACACCAGTACATTTGTTTATGCTACAAAGATCAAATCATCTTGGGAAGCTTATTTTGAATGAAGACCTGATCAAAGAGGCAGTGAGAAAAAAAAATAAAACAAAAAATACGACTCCAGATCAGGTGTAGAGGAACAAGCAAACTTTTTGGAAACCTTACTGAAGCCTCTTGTATGGTGAAACAAAGCCAGTTTAGAGAGCATCGGGATGAGGTTTAGATTTAAATTCCACTCTCAGAGGAATTCAGCATCCTTATCCTTTTGAGTCTCAGGTTCCACCTGAGTTTATTTCCTAAGGATGAATGCATTTTCAACAGAGCTTGCAAAGGTCACAACCGCATGAGCTCTGGGGGGTTTTCTGGCAAAACACAGGTGCTGAGTTCCACACACTGGGTCCGCATCAGATGAGTCTTATTCAGACCGTTTCCTGCCTATGAGCAATGATATTCATGTTCCATCTCACATGCTCAATGCAGGTGATGTGGCAGAAAGAGCACAGAGGGAGCTCACCAGGGGCTCTGGAAGACCCCAAAGGTTCAGGCCCACAAGGGGCATGGCTCTGCCTGCTCCAGGTGCAAGGGGGGCTTCTCTCTCAGTGTGTCCTGGGGTGGGAGTTGGGGGTGAATGGGTGGAGAATGGGCAAACAGCAAAGTCACTTCTGTGTCCAAATGAGAGCTCTGGAGTTGTGGTGGAAAAAGGACAGACCACACTTCCTGCAACAAGGGAGCACTTTTTCAAGGCAACACTTGTCTTTAGAGGATGTTGACGATGCCCCAAACTTACTGTAGCTGTCAGGGAAATTAGGTGAGCTATTTAGTATCATTCAGTTTCATTTTACAGAATCAGCTTGTTGTTCTTAGACTTTCCTCTGATCCTTTTAGGTCTCAACTTACATATTGCCCTCTTAAAGAAGCTTTCTAGTTCCCAGACTGAGTTAGGAACCCCTACCCCTGCTGGACTCAGTTAGTCCTTTCCACATTGTGCTGTAATTGGCTATACCCCATCTGTCCTTTCCACCAGACTAGGAGTCTTCCGAGGGCCCTGAGGTTCCCAATTTCCGGTGTTTGGACTGGTGCTCTGTAAATGTTTAGGGAATGAAAGGGTAATGAATAAATTAATGAAACAAGTAAGAATCATAGAGCATTAGAAGCACTAAAGAAAAGGTGTAAAATCCATCATCATTTAAATGATATTCAAATGCATATTACCTCCAAGAAATCGTTTCTGCATTCAATTGAGTTCTCAATGCCAAACAAATGAAAAAAGAGGGTGTGGTTGTGGGGGGCTGTGAGAGTAATGGTGCAATCCATGTCACTGTCGTAGTTATCTGGCCATCCAGTACTCCTCAGGTTGCCAAATGCCTTGTGATAGTCTCTGTTGCAATCTTAGGAGAAAAATATGCATAATTAATGTATGCATTCCAGCGTTCAGTGCTCTTTCAACTTCGCAGGAATAATTCAAAAAGATCATTATATGTGAACAAACTTTAGAAAAAGGTAATCCAGCTTCTTCGTTTACCTTTGAGATAATTGAGACCCTGAGCAGTGAAGTGAATTTCAAGCAGCACACACACATGCAATGCAGCAGCTCATTCACACAAACACCCCTACAGGAAGCATGACACAGGAGCCTTCTCCTTTAAAGACGAATACTCGAGGATCCTTTGAACTTTTCTGATCACATTGAGGTGAAGTGGCTAGCATTCAGACTCTCTTTTAGACAAGGACACTACCTCCAAGACAGAGTTTTGCGCAAGGATTTTAAATCCATTTGTGAGTTATTTGTGGGAAATCGTTCTTTACCTTTTTTTTTGTAAAAAAAATCTAAAGTACTTTTGTTTGTTTAACCAAAGGCAGCTTTCATTTGAATCAATTCAAAATAAATATCAAATAAAGTGTTCTGTGAAAATAAACTTCTCAGTGATAGTAATCAGGTAACTCTTTTAAGGCTTTTTGATTTTTACAAAAATAATTTTCTAAGATTTTCAACCTTGTGAAAATACTAAAAACCTCTGAAATATAAACATTAAATGGGTAAATTGTATGACATGAGGATTATATTTTGATAAAGCTCTTGTAAATATATATATATTTCTCATAAATAAATATGTATATTCAGTGTGGTTAAGTGCGTAAATTAACAAAATAACTGGTATATTTTTAAAATCAACTACATAGACGTTGAAGAAAATGCTAGCATTCTAAGCATCTTGGTTAGTATTGTATTCTCTTTACCTCTTTAGAAACCAACTTTAGTAATTTGCTAAATTGGGCCTGGGTTCTAGTTAAGAGATGGGTGTGGTTTTTGTTAACAAATCTTAATTTACTAACGGGAGTCAATTCTAGAAATAATTGTAATTATTCTAGGAATAATTGTAATGATGGCAGCTTTTCTTAATAAAAGATGAAGTTCTGGGGCTCACCTGCTATCTGATAGGTGAAATTCATTCTAGAATTTCTGTTTAAAACTCCAGATTTGAAAATGACAATTGCAGTACTCATAGAAGAATAAAACACCGGCATAGCCAAAGCATTTCTGCCACAGAACTGAATTCTTGAATTTCCATGACTCTGAAATGAAATGGAAGCCAAGTCATGTTAGATTTATTTTAGAAGAGAACAGCATAACAGAAATTAAACTGCCTATAAAAGTATGGCTTAAATATTTAACCATGGAAACTAGCTCTGTTGTTGGAAGTGCTCTGCAAGAAGACTCACTTTGGCCTTGGAACTGATACAAGTCGCACCTTCCCAGAGGGGAGGGAGGAGGGGAGGCAAAGTTTCTGCTGAAACCACAGACACTTCCCTGCTGAAAACAAGACCCCTCCCCTCTGATGTGACTTCCTAGTCGAGGCCTGTGCCATTGCTCTGAGCACCACTGGGCTGTTTGAGAGTTCACTGGATTTCTCCTCCTGGGGCTTTTGCCAGTCCTGAGCTCCATGAGACTAACAACCATCATTGCCCTGATCCAGCCCTTGCTACCCCTTAGCAAATCTAATCAGAGCCTTTGGTTCCACTGTACATCCCCAAGCCAGCCAGGGCCTGTAATGAGGTGCTGGTTCCCCTTTGTAACACTTGGGCAGCCCTCATTACCTCTCAAAAGCCTGGAGTAAATGCAGTTGAATGCCCATCAGTTCTTGCATAAAAACAAGTTGTACCAAAGTCAGGGTATTTGCAGCCTCCCTGTCACAAGTATGTCTCTAATATCTGCAGTCCTTAGGAACCTACTGAAAGACCCAACCCACCTCTGCTTGCAAACTCCTCTTACTGCTCAGGACTTCCACTCCTCCTCCCAACCGTCTCCTGCTCTTGGTCCTTGTCTAACTTTGCTGTATCCTGTGAACTTTAACTGCACGGTCAATCATTCTCTATATACATCCCCCGCCTTTCCACTTTGTAGCCTTAGCAAAACCTGTTTCTCCACCAGCCTCCTGGTAGAGGCCACTCTTTTCCCATGCTCCACAGTTTATTGAGTAGGAAGGGTGGGGGGTCAGCCTAGGAGGAAGGGAGGGATGCTCCACGTTCCTCACTGCAGCTTCCATCCTTGCCTCAAAGCTGGTTCACCTTTGAGGGTCTCTACGTCTGGTCAAATATATTCTCACCATTGTCATCACTCTCACTTACTTTTCTCCTGGTTACTTCCCAGCATTTATGAAAGACTTGAGGTGTCTCAGCTCATAGTAATCTCCTGCCCCCAATTTCCTTTCTGAACCCTTAGAGGTTTCAGTGTTTATACAGACAAGCCATTAAACACCCTCACTTTATATTTCTTAACACCAGTGACTTCCATCTCTGTGTCTCCGTTCATTCCCAATGCCAGGTAGCTACTGTACATCCTCTATAACAGCCCTACACATCATTCCTTCATGATCTTCCAATTAGACCTTCTCTGTCTATTCTTGGATACCCTGAGAATCCCAGTTTCTCCCAGCTCATCCGTCAATGTTTGTCTTTCCTCCCTACCTACCCAGTCTGAAACCCTTGATTGTTTCCTGTATTCATTCAGTTGAAAACATTATTCAGTCATGACAAACACTGGGTCTTACTCACAGCCACTCCAGCTGCTATTATGTTCCAGCTGGTGCCTAGTGTTCTGTAAGTGGCACGCTGAGTGGTCCACCATGATCCTCATTGTCTTAGCTTCATGAAGCAGGGGGAAAAGGCTTCACCCAAAGGACCTTGTTCCACTTGGCTCTAAGTCCTTCCAGTAAGGGTACCACTGGGTAATAGGGATTTTGTCCTGAAAACCATTACCAACAGAATGATGATAGTCTAGCATCTTGTCCATCTTGAGAGCTTGGGAGCTCATCTCAGCATCTAAGCTTTGCACAAAACTGAGCAAGTCCAGGGCCTATTCAGCTGCCAGCACCTCTCACACCTCTCCACATTGGAGTCAGACAAACGGGACTTTTCTCTCCCCAGCAAGACCAGGTGAGAAGCAGGGGACCCCAGATTTATAATGAAGAGGACCCTGAAAACTCAGAAGACAACAAATGGGACTCTACTATTCCAGCACATGGGGCTTGAACATGACATTCTTGGAATGAACTGGGGAGGGTTAGTTGCTCCCCCGACTGCAGAAAGAGAATCCAGGTATTCTCAAATGTTCTCCCTGGTATCCATCCTCAGTTCACGGCCTCTCCCTTTACATATTTTTCCCTGGATAATCTTATTCTTCTCATTATTTCAATTACTTATCATGATAATGATGATGCACAAAAATCTCTGGGCCTTAGGTCAACATCCCACTTTGTGTCCAACTGTCTCCTCAACATCTTATTCCAGAGGAAATTCAGACTCAGCATTTTGTAAAGCTCAAAATGGCTTTCTTTCTTTCTTTCTTTTTTTTTTTTTGAGATGGAGTCTGGCTCTGTCACCCAGGCTGGAGTGCAGTGGCGCGATTGGGTTCATGCCATTCTCCTGCCTCAGCCTCCCGAGTAGCTGGGACTACAGGCGCCTGCCACCGTGCCCGGCTAATTTTTTTTTTGTATTTTTAGTAGAGACGGGGTTTCATCGCGTTAGCCAGGATGGTCTCAATCTCTTGACCTTATGATCCACCTGCCTCGGCCTCCCAAAGTGCTGGGATTACAGGTGTGAGCCACCGTGCCCAGCCTCTTTGTTTTTGTTTTTGTTGTTGTTGTTGTTGTTGTTGAGACAAAGTCTTGCTCTGTCGCCCAGTCTGGAGTGCAGTGGCGCAATCTTGGCTCACTGCAACGTCTGCATCCCAGGTTCAAGCGATTCTCCTGCCTCAGCCTCCCGAGTAGCTGGGGTTATAGGCACACACCACTGAACCCGGCTAATTTTTTGTATTTTTAGTGGAGATAGGGTTTCGCCACATTGGCCAGGCTGGTCTTGAACTCCTGACCTCAGGTCACCTGCCTCAGCCTCCCAAAGTGCTAGGATTACAGGCATGAGCCACTGCGCCCGGCCCTTTTCTTTTTATCTCTCTTATATTACCATGAATATAGACCTCTGAAACTGGTGCCAAACAGCCTCTTCACTGATTCTCTTGTGTTCTGTATTGACCCTTTCAATTCAGCCTATACATAAATCCTACTAACTATACATATTTCTCCAAGCATGGTCCATGGAGCTCTGGTATTGGCACCAAAACACCAGAGATGTTTGTCAAAAAGTCAGATAAATGGGTGTTATAACTCAGTCTCTGAGGGTGGGCCAGGGAGGATGCACTTTTAAGATGCTTCTTAATGCATTCTTAGGCACACAAAGCTTTGAGAGCTCTGGACCTACAGGACCAAGTTCAAGTTTCTCGACACACCTGATTGGAGGGCTTTGTGTACAGATGAATAACACATTAAGCTGGAAGTAACTTAGAAAATTATTTAATCATGGCCTCATTATTTCAAGTGTTTTGCAAAAGCTAGTGAAAAGATGCGACTGTCATTCATCCTATAATTGTTACCTGTGGTGAGTCCTGAAGCTGTAAGTAATTCTGCATGCAGTCTTATGAGCTCAGCTGTTAACACCCACACAGTTATCTTGACCTGCTGATGTGGAGGGGTGTCAATGACCCAAGTACAGATGGAAAATGGGACATCTGGGTCTGATGAATTGGGTGATGAAATATTTTGTGGGGTCCAAGTTGCATTGTATGTTCCACCACAAGGCACTGGGAAGAAAAAGCAACACAGGAGACAATTTATTCATGTCTCATCTCAGGCAATCTTTAAAATTCTGTCTTCCTCATCTCCCACCCCAGAGGAGCTATATTTTCATCATTCCATTAAGAATTGGGGGTTTATATCCTTGACTAAAAATTGTATCAAATTTTGTACCACAGATTAAACATAGAGTAATTAACATGGTGTTTAGTAATTGACATTGAGTTTAGATAGTAATTGACATTGAGTTTAGTAATTAACATTGAAATTTCAATATAATAAGCAGGGCATTCTTTTCAGTGCCTAAATACATGTGTATTTCATAACATATAAAAATGCTTCTATCTACTCACTGTCCATGATGGTGTATGTAGCATTAAATCCTTCCCTTTCTAATGTTAAGTCACTGATGAATTGAACCATAAGGAAGTTACCAGAAGAGATAAAAGGAGCAGGTACAGTGGAACCACAAAACGTTCCAGCCAAGTTGGCACTTTCACTAACCCCATGGTATAACTGAAAAGAAAAACAATTCATTACTTCTCCATTATTTACAAAAAAGTTGCATCTTTCACACTAAATTGGATGTGAAGTCACAATAGGTCATGATTAAACATTTTTACATGGATGTTCTTAGAGGTGGTCTTAATTTAGGAACAGAATTATAATTGGATTGATGATATTATGACTTTCAGTAAAAACCTGGTATGATGCCTAACATTTTTTTCCTCTTTGGGAAAGTAACCTATGATTTTAAAAAGAATGTGTCATGAGAGTCTGCTCACCCACTGCTACCTTAACCACTGCACCCACTAACACTCTGGCCCTAGTTGCTCTGATCTCTTGCCTTGATGATCACTGGAGACTCCCACAAAGCCCCTGATTCTGCTCTTGTTCCTCTTAGTCTATTCTCAAAATGTCATCGAGAGGATACTGTTAAAATGTAAGTCAGACCAGGTCATCGCTCTGCTGAAACCCTCCTAACTGCCCATCCACTCAATAGAACAAGCAAAGCCATCACAATGGCCTTCTCTCCTCCTCTCCCACCCCTGACCTTTCTGATCTCATTTCTTATTGTCTCCACTTTGTTCATTTTGCTTCTTGAGCCAAACCAGTCATGCTCCTGCTTCTTGGGTATGGCATTTGCTGTTCCCTTTGCCTGGAATGCTCTTCCCTGTATATCCACATCGTTTGTCTTCCTACATTTCTTCAGGTCTTTACTCAGACATCCCCAAATTGGCTGGCGTGATGGTACATGCCTGTAATCCCAGCTACTCAGGAGACTGAGGCAGGATAATCGCTTGAATCTAGGAGGTGGAGGTTACAGTGAGCTGAGATCGTTTCACTGCACTCCAGCCTGAGTGATGGAGCAAGACTGTCTCCAAAAAAAAAAAAAAAAGATAGCCCCAACTCAATACGGCCTTCCTTGTGTAAACTCTCCCAACATTCCCATCTCCTTTCCTGCTTGACTTTTCTCCACAGCAAGTATTACCTTCTTCTACATACTACATATTTAACTTTTTTTTTTTTTGGAGACAAGGTCTCACTCTGTTGTCCAGGCTGGAGTGCAGGGCTACAATCATAGTTCACTGCAGCCTTGAACTTCTGGGCTCAAGTGATCCTCCCACCTCAGCCTCCTAAGTACTGGGACTACAGGTGCATGCCACTATGCATAGCTAATAAAAAAAATTTTAGAGATGTGGTCTTGTTATGTTGCCCAGGCTAACTTGTTTATTTCATTGTCTTTCCCGCTGAAGAGAATACAAGTTCCATGAATGCACAGATTTCTGTTCTGCTCACTGCCATGTTCCCAGTTTTTAGGTGTCTGCACATGAGAGGCACTCAATAAATATCTAATAAATAAATAAACAAGTGCTTTGATTCCTCTCTTCCACAAGCCCTCCCAAAACTGTTCTCCCTGAGACTTCTTTACCTCAGTGTTTCAAGCCTACAACTTCAGTCATCTCTGATTCCTCTCTCTTCACTCCACATCCACTCCATTCTACCTTCAAAACATATCTCAGAGGGCTCCATCTCCAGGTGACCACCATTGTTCTTCACCTGTTCCCACTGAAACATCTTCTTAATAGAACTAATTCCGGAGCAGCCATAGTGTTCTCCACTGAATTGCCTGCATGTCTGCAAACTCCAATGAGATGCTGCTCCTGCTCTGACTAAAATGCTCCGGCAGATCCCTGTTGCACCTAAAGTAAAATTCCAGCTCCTTCTCACGGTCTGCAAGCCCCAGCTGCTCTGGCCTGTGCCTCCTTCCCAGGCCGCCCGCACCTCACTGCTGGTTGCACTTCCTTCATCCCAGGAGGACTCCTGCCCATGGCCCTGCTCCTGCAGCTCTTCCTGCCAGGAGACTTCTTTCCTCAGCTGAAGCTGAACCCGCACAGCTAAGGACTCCCTGTCATGGGCCCTCACCTCACATGTCACCTCCTCAGAGAAGCCCGTGCTATCGAATGTTGCCCTCCCCCAGCATCATCCTGTTTTATTTTCCTATTATAATCAAAACCGATCTTATTTATTGTTTATTTGCTTTGTCCGGTCTCTTTCCCAACAAGGATGTAAGTCCCACGGGTGGGGAGACGGAGACTCTGTCTGACTTCTTCACTGTGGTGTCGCCAGCACCCAGAACAATTCGCAGCCATGGCAGCCTTCTAGAAACATCCTTTGAAATAGTGGGTGCTTGGATTTCTCTCAAACACATAACTAGAAAACATTTGTTTTCTTCTGAGTAATCTTCATTATATTTCTTTTTCTTTTTCTTTTTTTTTTTTTTTTGAAACGGAGTCTCCCTCTTTCTCCAGGCCGGACTGCAGTGGCGCTATCTCGGCTCACTGCAAGCTCCGCCTCCCGGGTTCACGCCATTCTCCTGCCTCAGCCTCCCGAGAGTAGCTGGGACTGCAGGAGCCCGCCACCGCGCCCGGCTAATTTTTTTTGTATTTTTACTAGAGACGGGGTTTCACCGTGTTAGCCAGGATGGTCTCGATCTGCTGACCTCGTGATCCGCAGTGCCCCTTTTCTGTTTCTTTTTTTTTTTCTTTTTTCTTTTTCTTTCTTTTTTTTTTTTTTTTTTTTTTTTTTTTTTTTTTTTTTTTGAGACGGAGTTTCGCTCTTGTCACCCAGGCTGGAGTGCAATGGCGTGATATTGGCTCACTGCAACCTCTGCCTCTGGGATTACAGGCGTGAGCCACCGCGCCCCGCCCTATTGTATTTCTAAATGAGTATCTGTGTGTATCTAACTCCAAATATTAAATTCATAGCAGAGCTATGATGTGCTCAAGGCCACAGAACAGCCATGACCATGACCACTGACATTATCCTAAAGTGCTAGAATTATATAAGGCAGGAATGGCTAAAACCAGTAATTTCAAAAGAAAAAGAAATGCACCACTAGATGGCACTGTCTTTCCAACTTAAATATGATTTCAGTTAATTCAGAATCCGAAGAAGCTCGAGTTTTCTAATCTTCACCCCCTTGTTTCACGGAACAGCACATTTGCCAAGTTTTAGATCATGCACTTTTTCTGGTAAGCAAGTTAAAATTTCATGATAATCATTGCTGTCTTTATGATCACGTTTATATTAGCAAGCATTTTTTTTTTTTTGACATGGAGTCTCGCCCTGTTGCCCAAGCAACAGGCGTGATGCGATGGCGTGATCTTGCCTTAGCTCACTGCAACCTCCGCCTCCTGAGTTCAAATGATTCTCTAGCCTCAGCCTCCCAAGGGATTACAGGTGCCCGCCACCACACCAAGCAGCTCCCCCAGGCTTGCTGCCACCTTGCAGTTTGATCTCAGACTGCTGTGCTAGCAATCAGCGAGACCCCGTGGGCATTGGACCCTCTGAGCCATGTGTGGGATATAATCTCCTGGTGCGCCATTTTTTAAGCCCATCGGAAAAGTGCAGTATTAGGGTGGGAGTGACCCAATTTTCCAGGTGCCATCTGTCACCTCTTTCTTTGGCTAGGAAAGGGAACTCCCTGACCCCTTGCACTTCCTGAGTGAGGCAATGTCTTGCCTTTCTTCGGCTCGCACATGGTGCACTGCACCCACTATCCTGCGCCCACTGTCTGGCACTCCCTAGTGAGATGAACCCGGTACCTCAGATGGAAATGCAGAAATCACCCATCTTCTGCATTGCTCATGCTGGGAGCTGTAGACAGGAGCTGTTCCTGTTCAGCCATCTTGGCTGCAGCCCACTCTATGTCTTTTAATGGGAGAGTTTAGTCTATTTACTTTCAATGTAATTATAAGTAAGGACTTACTTCTGCAATTTTGTTATTTGTTTCTGGTTATTTTGTGGTCTTCTCTTTCTTCTTTCCTTCCTTCTTGTCTTGCTTTTAATGAAGATAATTTTCTCTGGTAGTAGATTTAACTTCTTGCCTTTCATTTTTTGTGTATCTGTTTTGTTTTTTATTTGAGTTTACCCTGAGGTTTGCAAATAATATAACCCATTATTTATGCTGATCACAACTTAACACTAATTACAGAAACAAACTAACAATGAAGCAAAAAGAGAACCAATACAAATGTTACACTTTATTTTGTGCCCCCAACTTTTTGAGGTGCTCCCACCTCAAGAACCCAGACAAAGAAGAGAAAAATAAATTCAAAGCAAGCAAAAACAAGAAAATAATAGTTATAAGAGCAGAAATCAATAAAATTAAAAACAGAAAAACAAAAGAGATAATCAATTAAAAAGAGCTGGTTCTTTGAAAAAATCAATAAATTTGAAAAACTCTATCAAGACTGCCAATGAAAAAAGAGAGAAGACTCAAATCATCAGTACCAGTAATGAAACAGGAGACATTAATAGAGACCCTACAAACATTAAAAAGATAATAAGGGAATGCTAAAAACACTACAGACATAAATTTGACAACTTTAAGGAGATGAACCAATACCACAACTCACTTAATATGAAATAAATTATTTGAATAATCCTATACCAAATAAGAAAATTGAATTCAAAATTTCAAAACTCCCAAAAAGAAATCTCCATATGTTTTAGGAAAAATTGGGTTGTGGCTGAGCATGGTGGCTCATGCCTGTAATCCCAGCACTTTGGAAAGCTGAGGCAGGCAGATCATGAGGTCAGGAGATCAAGACCATCCTGGCCCACATGGAGAAACCCTGTCTCTACTAAAAATACAAAAATTAGGTGGTGGGTACCTGTAATCTCAGCTACTTGGGAGGCTGAGGCAGGAGAATCACTTGAACCTAGAAGACAGAGGTTGCAGTGAGCCAAGATCACACCACTGCACTCTAGCCTGGTGACAAAGTGAGACTCCATCTCAAAAAAAAAAAAAAAAAAATTAGCACCTATTTTATGAAATATCTTACAAAGAAATAGAAGAGACACAAAAGCTTTACAATTCATTTTATAAAGCTATTATTACTCTATTTCAAAAATAGACAGTGATAGTACAAAAAGAAAACTAGAGGCCAATGTCTCTCATAAACATAGATACAAAATTCTCAATAAAAATTAGCAAATAGAATACAGTGATATGTACAAATAACTATATACTATGACAAAGTGGGGTTTATTCCAAGTATGCATGGCTGGTTTAATATTCAGAAATCAATGTAATCTACCATATTAAGAAGCTAAAAAAGAAAATTCACATGATCCTATTATTGGCTACAGAAAAGCATTTGTCAAATTTTTACTTATATTAAAACTCTCAGAAAAATAGGAATATAAGGGAATATCGTCAACTTGCTACAAAAAACCCACAGCTAACATCATACTTAAGAGTGAAATACTGAATGATTTCCCCTGAGGATCAGGAACAAGGTAAGAATGCCCACTCCCTACTTTCATCCAACATAGCACTGGAAGTCTAGCCAGTGCTATGAGACATAAAAAAGAAACAAAAGACACACAGATCAAAAGGAAAAATAAAACTGTTACTATTTGCAGATGACATGATTGCCTATTTAGAAAATTCCAATGAATTTATATACACAAAAAGTTTACAAACATCAACAACCAATGAGTGCGTTCAGCAAGGCTGCAGGATACAAGATCAACATACAAAAATTAATTATATTTCTGTATACTAACAATGAAAGTGTGGACATTGAAACTAAAACATTACCATTTACAATCACCAAATAAAATGAAATACTCCAATTGAATCTAAACAAACATGTACAGAACATGTATGCCAAAACTATAAAATGCCAATGAAAGAAATCAAAGAAGAAAGAGTGGAGCAAGAAGGCCAAATAGAAGCCTACACCATTCATTCCTCCTGCAGGAACACCAAATTTTCACAGCTAACTACACACATAAAGCACCATCACGAGAACCCCAGATCAGGTCAGCAATCACAATATCTGGCTTTAACTTCATATTGCTGAAAGAGACATTGAAGATGGTAGAAAAGACCATCTTGTATTGCTGATGCCACCCTCTCCCCTATCCCCCAGCAGCAGCACACAGCACAGAGAATCTGTGTGCTTTGGAGAGGGAGAGCACAGCAGTTGTGAGGCTTTGCATTGAACTCAGTGCTACCTTGTCACAGTGGAAAGCAGAACCGGGCTGTACTGAGCTGACATCTACCCACGGAAGGAGAATTTTGACTGGTCCTGGCCAGAGGGGAATTTCCCACCTCAGGAGTTAGAGCTTGAGTTCCAACAAGCCTTGCTAAAGTACCCTGGGGCCCTAAGTGAACTTGAGGGGCTGTTTTGGCCATAAGGTTTGCAATTCCCAGGCACATCCCAGTGCTGAGGTGGGCTCAGAGCCAGTGGACTGGTGGAGCATGCAACTTACTAAACACAAGCTGGGGCAGCTAAGGGAATGTTTGAGCCATCCCTTCCCCAGCTCCCAGTAGAGCCATGCAATGTAGAGAAATCTGTTCACTTGGGAGGAGAGCACAGTGATTGGAGGAATGAACTCAGTGCTGCTATGTCACACAGAGACCTGTCAGGGTTCATCACCTGCTGACTAAAGAGCCCCTGGGTTCTTGAGTTGGGAGCTTAGGTTATTAATGCTTTTCCTTTTTTAATATATGTACTTAGGATGTGCCACACAAGTGTTATATTTTTATTTCATTCAGTTCAATTTCTTTTTTATTTCCTCTGAGACTTCCTCCTTGACCCTTTGACTAGTTAGAAGTATGTTATTTAGTTTCCAAGCATTTGGAGATGTTTTCCTGTTATCTTTCTACTATTGATTTCTGTTAATTTCCTGTTATCTTTTTCTTAATGATTGAATACTGGTCGTATAACACATTCTGTATGATTTCAATTATTTAAAATTTATTGGAATTTATTTTGTGGCCCAGAATGTAATTAGTGTATGTTATTTGTAGTGTAGTGTGTGTGGTTGGTGTATGTTTGATGGGCACATGAAAAGAATGTGAATTCTACTATCATTGGGTAGAGTGTTTTATTTTGTTGGATAGGCTTTATTGGTGATTGGTGGTATTGAGTTACCCTGTATTTTTGTCTAGTTGTTCTATCAGTTATTGAGAGAAGAATAGTGAAGTCTAAAACTGTAACTGTGGATTAATTTTTTTCTCCATTCAATTCTACCACTTTGTTTCAAATCTTTTGCAGTTCCATTGTTTGGGATACGCATTCTACACGTATAGAGAATATATATAGAATGTGTAGAATACATATATTACATAAATATTGGATCATTTGTTATAGTCCTACAGGCCCATGAGGCTCTATTATTTCCTTTTTTTTTTTTTTTTCAGTATATATTCTTTTTTTTTTTCTTTTTTTTTTTGAGACAGAGTTTTGCTCTGTCACCCAGGCTGGAGCGCAATGGCACAATCTCGGCTCACTGCAACCTCTGCTTCCCAGGCTCAAGCGATTCTCCTGCCTCAGCCTCTCTAGCAGCTGAGACTACAGGCATGCACCACCGTGCTTAGCTAAGTTTTTGTATTTTTGATAGAAATGGGTTTTTCACCATGTTGCCCAGGCTGGTCTGGAACTCCTGAGCTCAGGAAATTCACCCACTTTGGCCTCCCAAAGTGCTAGGATTACAGGCATGAGCCACCACACCTGGCCTCAGTATATGTTCTTTCTGTTGCCCAAATTGAGTAAATTCTATTGTTTTATCTATCAGTTAATTGATTTTCCCTTTGTCCTCTCCATTCTGCTGTTGAATCATTCCACTGTTTTAAAATTTTAATTTACTCTATTTTTCAGTTCCAAAATTTTTATTTGGTTCTTCTTTATGTTTTCTCTATCTTGGCTGAAACTTTCTATTTTTTGCTGAGACTTTATTTTTAAAATGTATTTCAAGCATATTTGTAATTGCTTATTGAAGCATTTTTGTGATGGCTGCTTTAAACTCTTTGTCATATAGTTCTAATATCTCTGTCATTTTAATGTTAGTATCTATTGATTTTCTTTTTAAATTTAAGTTGAGATCTTCCTAGTTCCTGGCATAACAAGTGGTTTTCAGATAACACCTGGACATTGTGGGTTTTATGTTATGAGGCACTGGCCTTATTTAAACCTTACATTTTATCTGGCTTTCTTTGACACTGCTCTGGCCGAGTAAAGGGGACATCCACCTCATTACTGCCAGGTGAAGCTCTAAGTTCCTCACTTGACCTTTCAACCCCATCTTAGTAGCAAAATGCAATATGGAACTTTATAAACTTGGGGAATTATATGTACTCCATTTTTAAAGATTTTCATGGAGGACACTTTCAGACATTTTCATATGACAATATTTGGACACATAATGAAAGAGTAACTATGATGCTTGTATAATAAATTTCTATTTCCAACAGTGCCCAATTAGCAGCCACCAGGGATCCTAGAGGGACATTGGTCTCTAGATGGCTTTGTTCTCCTAATAATGTCTGGTGTGTCTGGAGTCTGCCCGTTGGTCCTGGTGGATCCTGACTGGTATCAAGAGACAGTCCAATGTTAAGCATATGGTAAGGGAAATTCATATCACTTTTATTTCTGCTTTCAATAGTGTGGTTATTCTTCCCAGTCTGGAGAGGTCAGGGAGTGGCAAACTCAGTGTGCTTGCATGCACTTTGGAGAGATATTATTTATGTATGAGACACCAGTTTAAGTGAGGATGTTGTTGTCTCCCACCCTGCCCTGGAGTATTTGCCCACCAATTACTGTCTCCTGCTGGTGTTGGCAGACACAGGAGGAGGATGGTGGTCTGGGGGAACCTAGGGCCTACAAAGAGAGTGTGAAAGCTTTTTGGAATTCCAAGTGATCTCACTCCCAGGTTCCTGCAGGATGTTGGGAAAGTATGCTCTTTGCTTTCTTTCCCAGGATTTCATCAAGCAAGGTGGCCATGAAGCTATCACTTTCACTTATCTCAGTTTAGGAAAGCTCTGAATTCATTGATGAATTATGCTTAGCAGGCATGATGCACATGTTGAACTTTTCTCCGGGACAAATTAGGGACATCTGAGATGGAAGTGTGTATTTTCTTACACATCCAATGGCCTGGAACAGCATCTTGGTTTTTTGGAAAGCAGGGGCTAGAGCTCTGGTTGCTGTAAACTGCTTGGGGTGAGTACATGACCTTAGTGTGACTGGAAAATCTTTCCACTCATTTTCTGTGAACCCAAACAGACTCTGTTCCTCTTCAATCTGATCTCACACACTAAAAAAGAGTAGGAGTATTGGGCTGGGCTAAATTAGACAGTGAGTTCAGAGATCTGAGATGAACATTAGTTGACCAGAGTGACAAAAGCTCACCTAAGAGAAGTTTATAAATTTAAAGGATGAAAAATAATATTTATTTTGCCTAGGTGGATAATAGCAAGGAGCATGAATCAGAAAATAATTGCTGCGTTGAAGTCATACAACCCTTCTTTATATATTGTGGTTGTCATTCCTTAAATATATTTGCACACATAATGAAAGGGTAGCTATGATACTTGTATAATAAATTTCTATTTCCAACAGTGCCCAATTAGCAGCCACCAGGGATCCTAGAGGGACATTGGTCTCTAGATGGCTTTGTTCATCTCCTAATGATGTCTGGCGTGTCTGGAGTCTGCCCGTTGGTCCTGGTGGATCCTGACTGGTGTCAAGAGACAGTCCAATGTTAAACACATGAAAAATAATATTTATTCTACTTAGGTGGACAACAGCAAGGAGCAGGAATCAGAAAATAATTGCTGTGGTCAAGTCATACAACCCTTCTTTTTTTTTTTTTTTTTTTTTTTTTTGAGACGGAGTCTCACTCTGTTGCTCAGTTGCTCAGGCTGGAGTACAGTGGCACAGTCTCACCTCACTGCAACTTCCACCTCCTGGGTTCAAGTGATTCTCCTGCCTCAGCCTGCTGAGTAGCTGGGATTACAGGCATGTGCCACCATGCCCAGCTAATTTTTGTGTTTCTAGTAGAGACGGGGTTTCACCATGTTGGTCAGGCTGGTCTTGAACTTCTGACCTCGTGATCTGCCTGCTTGGCCTCCCAAAGTGCTGGGATTACAGGCATGAGCCACCGTGCCCAGCCATAACCCTTCTTTTTATATTTTGGTTGTCATTCCTTAAATATATTTGCACACATAATTAAAGTGTAACTATGATGCTTGTGTAATAAATTTGTATTTCCAACAGGCCCAATTAGCAGCCACCAGGGATCCTAGAGGGACATTGGTTTCTAGGTGGCTTTGTTCTAGATGAAAGTGTAACTAGTGAACTGGAAGGGTCAGAATATATTCCTCCCTGGACTGACCACTTAGCATGGCATGAAGGGAAAAACAAATTCAGCAAAGGTCAGAATGGCCCAGATGGAGTTTGTCTGTGACTCTTTTAGTCTAACTCACTTCGGAGGGCTGCAGTTGGGGCCACAGTATTTTTCCTATATATGGTATTATGATTCCCCCAAGATGGAAACAAACCCTAAGACATGATGAAGAAATACTTTTTGTGGGATGACAGACTTAAATGACCTCAAGTTTTTTTTAAGTTACACATTTATTTTTGCAATATTCATCTTGTGACTGCATGTCATGAGTGGTATCTTCTCAGCAATGTGTTACATGATCAGATACGTAAGTAAAAGAAGGGATTTTTTTCCTGCTTGGCAATAAACTGTATAGGAAAATGACTAATACTTTTAAAATTACATTATCCTTTATGAAGACTAATAGCTACATGCACAGTTATTTTGGGCTGCATGTAATATAAGTATATTCATAGATAAAAATCATAATGTTTACATAACAAAAATTACATAAAATATAATGTTTGAAAATAAACAAGTCCAATTGCCACACGGATACTGTTTTACATGTTTAATAAAATAAAGTTCTCCATTCTTTAATCATGACACTGTAAAATAGCTCACTGAAAATTGATTGAAGAAATGGAAAACCAATGATGGGAGAAGCAAGGAACAGGACAGTAGTCCAGGAATTTATCCTGGAGGGATTTCCTGCTGTCCAGCATCTGGGGAATGTCCTTTTCCTGGTGCACCTGCTGGCATACCTGGCCTCCATCATGGCAAACATGCTCATAATCACCATCACCTGGGCTGACCATCACCTCCAGACACCTATGTATTTCTTCCTCAGCAGTTTTTCCTTCTGTGAATGCTGTTTTATCACCACAGTTATTCCTAAACTTCTGGTCATCTTTCTTTCAGGCAGGCAAATAATCCCCTTTACTACTTGTCTCATGCAGTCCTTTTCATTTTTATTTCTTGGGTCAACAGTTTTCTTCCTTATGGCTGTGATGTCCTTGGATTGATACCTGGCCATTTGCAAGCCTCTGCATTACTCCACCATCATGAGCCTGAGGACTAGCTTCCACCTGGTCACTGCCTGCTTTGTCGTGGGCTTCACTCTCATCACTGGTCTCATGGTGAAGGTTTCCCAGTTATCTTTCTGTGGACCCCATGTCATCCCTCACTTCTTCCGTGACCTCGGCCCTCTGATCCAACTCTCCTGTTCTGACACCAGATCTACTGAAACGTTGGCCTTTGTCCTTGTTTCATTCGTTCTTTTTACATCCCTCATTATAACCATCATTGCATATGGCAACATAGTAGTCACAATTGTACGACTCCCATCAGCCAAGGAGCGGCAGAAAGCTTTCTCCACCTGCTCCTCTCACCTCATTGTCCTCTCTCTGGTGTATGGCAGCTGTGTCTTCATATATGTGAAGCCGAAGCAAATGGACAGGCTGGACTCCAACAGAAAGGCTGCTCTTGTGAACACAGTGGTGACCCCACTGCTGAACCCGATCATTTACACTCTGCGGAACAAGCAGGTCCACCAGGCTCTGAGGGATGCTCAGTCCAGAATGAAATTGTAAAAACAGAATCACAACCTCCCAGTGAAGGAATGCACCTTCTCCTTGATCTAATCCAATCTTTCTCCTGTTTCTGGAATCCTTTATAAAAAATTTGCAAATATGTTTTTTTTAGGTTCTGTTTGTTTTTTCTTAGAATAAGGGCTAATTGTCCCTCTCCCTCTCCCTCTCCCTCTCCCTCTCCCTCTCCCTCTCTTTCCACGGTCTCCCTCTCCCTCTCTTTCCACGGTCTCCCTCTCATGCCGAGCGGAAGCTGGACTGTGCTGCTGCCGTCTCGGCTCACTGCAACCTCCCTGCCTGATTCTCCTGCCTCAGCCTGCCGAGTGCCTGCGATTGCAGGCGCGCGCCGCCACGCCTGACAGGTTTTCGTATTTTTTTGGTGGAGACGGGGTTTCGCTGTGTTGGCCGGGCTGGTCTCCAGCTCCTAACCGCGAGTGATCCACCAGCCTCGGCCTCCCGAGGTGCTGGGATTGCAGACGGAGTCTCGTTAACTCAGGGCTCAATGGTGCCCAGGCTGGAGTGCAGTGGCGTGATCTCGGCTACAACCTCCACCTCCCAGCCGCCTGCCTTGGCCCCCCAAAGTGCCGAGATTGCAGCCTCTGCCCGGCCGCTACCCCGTCTGGGATGTGAGGAGCCCCTCTGCCTGGCTGCCCAGTCTGGAAAGTGAGGAGCCTCTCTGCCCGGCCGCCATCCCACCTAGGAAGTGAGGAGCGCCTCTTCCCGGCCACCATCCCATCTAGGAAGTGAGGAGCGTCTCTGCCTGGCCGCCCATCGTCTGAGATGTGGGGAGCACCTCTGCCCCGCCGCCCTGTCTGGGATGAGAGGAGCGCCTCGGCCCGGCCGAGACCCCGTCTGGGAGGTGAGGAGCGTCTCTGCCCAGCCGCCCAGTCTGAGAAGTGAGGAGACCCTCCGCCTGGCAACCGCCCCATCTGAGAAGTGAGGAGCCCCTCCGCCCGGCTGCCACCCCGTCCGGAAGGGAGGTGGGGGTCAGCCCCCGCCAGGCCAGCCGCCCCGTCCGGGAGGGAGGTGGGGGGTCAGCCCCCCACCCGGCCAGCCACCCTGTCCGGGAGGTGAGGGGCGCCTCTGCCCGGCCGCCCCTACTGGGAAGTGAGGAGCCCCTCTGCCCGGCCAGCCACCCTGTCCGGGAGGGAGGTGGGGGGGTCAGCCCCCGGCCCAGCCAGCCGCCCCATCCGTGAGGGAGGTCGGGGGGTCAGCCCCCCACCAGGCGAGACGCCCCGTCCGGGAGGGAGGTGGGGAGTCAGCCCCCTGCCCGGCCAGCCGCCCCGTCCGGGAGGTGAGGGGCGCCTCTGCCCGGCCGCCCCTACTGGGAAGTGAGGAGCCCCTCTGCCCGGCCACCACCCCGTCTGGGAGGTGTACCCAACAGCTCATTGAGAACGGGCCATGATGACAATGGCGGTTTTGTGGAATAGAAAAGGGGGAAAGGTGGGGGAAAGATTGAGAAATCAGATGGTTGCTGTGTCTGTGTAGAAAGAAGTAGACATGGGAGACTTTTCATTTTGTTCTGTACTAAGAAAAATTCTTCTGCCTTGGGATCCTGTTGATCTATGACCTTATCCCCAGCCCTGTGCTCTCTGAAACATGTGCTGTGTCCACTCAGGGTTAAATGGATTAAGGGCGGCGCAAGATGTGCTTTGTTAAACAGATGCTTGAAGGCAGCATGCTCGTTAACAGTCATCACCACTCCCTAATCTCAAGTACCCAGGGACACACACACTCTGCCTAGGAAAACCAGAGACCTTTGTTCACTTGTTTATCTGCTGACCTTCCCTCCACTATTGTCCTATGACCCTGCCAAATCCCCCTCTGTGAGAAACACCCAAGAATGATCAATAAAAAAAAAAAAAGAATAAGGGCTAATTTATCTAATAATTCAACCTGAAAGCTCCTATATTACCTTTATTTTGAGATGAAAGTATCTTCCTGAATCTTTTTACTAGTTTTAAATAAATAGGATTCAACAAATTTTAGTGAAGAACCTCATATACATGAGTCTGTTTGATGCATGTGGAATTTCAAAGCTGAAATGATGTAGTTTTAAGTATTTACTTGTGGTAAGTGCAAAGGGATGAAGAACAAACTTCATAAGTATTAAGAGTATCAAGTTAGTTCAAGGGTAGATATAACATGGTCATTGTATAAAGTTTTGAAGGAAACATATATACACAGCTGTCAGGATATCAATATAATTACTTAAGATGACTCAGTGCAATTGCTTTCAATGTTGAATATTCTGTATATAAATCTTTACACTTTTTGTTCCCACTATGATAAAAACATATAACTGTCTCTAGATGAAGTTGCAAGTCCTTGTTGGTTTCAATGGTTTGCAAGATTGATTTCAGTGCCGACAAACCTGAAAATGAAGCAGCACAGGGGGAGAAACATTACAATTTTTGGAACAAGGAATTAAATAGTTAATATTTGTTTCCCTACTACAGAAAGTTTAAAGGAATTGGGAGAAATATAATCAGAGATGGGAAGAAGTCTGTGACTGTGAAATCTCTGCAAATGAATGTATAAACAAGTCTCTTCATTTGTGGAATGAGAGGTTTGGTTGTGTCACCTCGGGATGTTCATTTTAGTACTAATGTGAAGTGGCGCTATTGATACTGAATGTGACACAGAAACATGCTGTAACAGAAATATAATTTGAGAATGGCAGAGAGAAGATGATGAGATGTTTTAATGGAAGAACTTATGCTACAACTGAAATTTAGTTATTCAAGATTTTGATAGGAAATGAATTAGAGACAAAACCCTGGAGCTAGGATTTGTTTTGCGTACTTGGTTAATGGCAATGATCATGTTTTGTTTTGACCACATATTTCTGTGATTGTGGTGGAACAGGAATCAAAAGAAATTAAAGAATGTGTAAGCAGAAACTCAGTTGTATGTAAGAAAGCCCAATTCCCCCTGAGAAAGAGAAAGAGCTGGAGTCCTTTAAAAATTAACTGCCTGTTTTACTGTGGCTAGTAAGCCTTATCTCTCCTCCTTTCCCAGGCATTGTGAAGACCCTGTTTCTCTAGCTGTACAGCTGCAAGGTCACTAGACAGATAAGCCATAAAACATGTTTTTCCTTGGAAAGTAAGAAATGTTGTAATGCATGTCTCAATTAATTAAATAACTCTCTTTGTTTCTTGCTTCCGTAATATATTTCCCCTGCACAGGTCTCCCCCCACCTCACGAAATGCTTAAAAGGTAACTTAACTGTTTGTTCAGGGCTCAGTCCCTTGGATGTTAATCTGACTGGGCCGGCGCACCTAAATAATAAATATCCTCCTCAATCCCATCGGTCTCTCTGATTCCTTATCAATCCCACTAGAGGGGGGATAATAAAAGATTACGATGGGAAAGTTTGAGGGACATAATTATGTAAGAATTAGAAAAACACACTTCATTGAACTAGCAGAACCCAAATTTTTGTTCACCCTATGTGTATATAAGGATTTTCATACAACTTTGTGTAGACTTGTTTCTTTTTCTCACATTTGCAGTGTTCAAACTGCTAAAGGGACTGACAAAGCAATACCAATGAACTGAGTGGTCATTGCATTTTTTTTGCCTTTAAAATTTTTAAACATTACTAGTCTGACATAGTGAATCATATTTATCTACTTTGAAATAAATGGAAAATATATACAATGTTTTCATTTACTTTCATCTATACATATAAAGTTACATAGCTTAAAAATAATTGCATTGTTTGTGATTAACACAATTTGTTTACAATTTAGTATACTAAAGATATTCCACAATTTTTAATACACTTATTTGTTGATACACATTTGAGCTATTTCTGCCTTTTGGCTATTGTGAATAGTACTGTTATGAACATGTGTGTACATTTACTTGTTTGAGTACTTGTTTTCAAGTCTTTAGGGGTATATACCTCGGAGATAAATTGTGAGGGTAGGGGAACAGGCAGCAATAGCTTAATGGGTATGGGGTTTCCTTTGGAGATGATATTATAAAAATGTTTTGGAACTAGATAGAGGTGGTGGTTGTATAACATTTTGAACGTACTGCATGCCGCTGAATTGTTCACTTTTAAATGATTAATTTTATATGTACATTTACCTTAATAAAAAATTCCATAGTTCTGAAAGTTTTACATATTGTTGAAAGTTTTATAATGAAAAATAATAGTCCCTCTTTACCAACATGGCAGAGTAACAGGTATCACCCTACAGCCCTCACCTCCCCCAAAAAAACAAATATAGACTTGTATCCACAAATCAAAATGGCCCTGAGAGGACTCAGGGGCCCATTTAATAATCTACAGCAATACCATGGAGTGAAAAGAGAATATTCACGCAGAAAGGACCACTGGTGAGACTGGCATACCTGAGATACCAGGAGATGGCTAGGAACAAAGAAGAAAGGTGAGATCTATTGGTATCAGCTATGTGGTGGGAACCACCATGGCTCCCAGTGGCCTGCTCTGCAGAGGACACTGACATTCCTGCCAGGAACCCCTAGATTGGAAGATGGGGCTGTACATACCTGTCTCCCCAAAAGCAGCTGCTGTTATGCCACTCTGGGACCAGAGCTGCCATCTCAACCAACTCTGTGTATGGCCCTGACTTCTGAGCCTCAGCTGCTCCATGAGTGCCCACACTTCAGACCCCAGCTCTGTGGCTGAACCGTACCTGACTATGCCTCAGACACTGGTTCACATCCTGAACCCTGGAGCCAAGGTCTCTCTGCATGTGCCCACAGTTTAGATACCAGCTCAGCTGCCATTGTGAGCTAGCTTATGCTCTGAATCTGTTTCTGAAGCAAGGCTGCCTAGACTCATGCTTCATACACAAGAGCCACCACTATGGTGAGCTAGCTTGTACCCTGGTCCTTGGGACCAAGATCTCTCTGTTTGTGCCTGTGCTTAGGGCACCAGCTCAGCTGCCATAGAGAACTAGGATTAACCTGACTCCAGAGGCACTGTAGCTCTGTGCATGTCCATGTTCTCATCCCCAGAGCCCTGGCTGCTCTACAAGCATCTGACATGGCATACCATTACCAATTTGTCCATGGTGGTTTCTGTGCCCTGGGCACTGGTACCATTACCACCTCATACCCCAGATGTGTATTTCCTCCACATATGTTCATGCTATAGGATTAGGCTTTGTGGTTGCTCCACAGGTACCACTAATCAGACACCAGTGCCACTGCTACTGCAAGTAGGCATGCAAACCAGATTCAATGTCAACAGGATCCCCTAAGCCCCAACTTTCCCAGTGGGAGAAAAAGAGACTCAGAGGACCTTAACAGTCATTACCACTGGAGAACCTTTTAGCCCTCACTGCCACTGAAGACATCCACAGTGTTGGTTGCTTTGGATCCTTGCAATCTTTGTCAACACCAAACTCATTTGACAGAGCTGCATGGGGACTACATTGCCGCACCATCATCAATGCTAGAACTGCTGTGCCCCACCCAGAGAGTGCCCTTGAACCCCATGTCTCTGCATAGTAAAGATCTTTCTTCACTGAAACTAGCCTATAAGGTCTGGAAAGGGTTACAGACATCAAAGTAAGGCAACAAGAAACATGGGAAACTAAGGAGAAATATTACCACCAAAAGAACACAATAATTTCCTACTAGCTGACACCAAAGAAATGGAAATCTACATACTGCCTGACAAAAAATTCAAAGTACTTGTTTTAATGATGCTCAGTTAACTTCAAAAAATACAGAGAAACAATTCAATTAGATAAGGAAAACATTAAATAACTCAAATAATAAATTTAACAGAGATATTGAAATAATAATAAAACAAAGAAATTCTGGACCAGAAGAATGAAATGAATGAAATGGAGAATGCAACACAGAGAGAACATCAACAGCATAATTAATGAAGCAAAAGAAAGAATCTTTGAATGCAAAGATAGGTTATTTGAAAACATTCAGTTAGAGGAAAAAAAGATAAAAAATTGGTAAAAAAAAAAAAATAAACAAGATTTATGGGACAGTATCAAAGGACCTAATATTCAAATTATACTAGGTAGAGAAGAAAAAGAGAAAGCAATAGGGATAGAGAGCTTATTTAAAGAAATAATAGCTGAAAATTCCCAAAATATGAGGAAAGATATAAATATCCAGGCACAGGAAAGTCAAAAGACTCCAATCAGATTCAACCCAAACAAGACTATGTCAAAATATATTGTAATCAAACCATCAAAAATTTAAGACAAAGAAAGAATTCTGAAAGTAGCAAGAGAAAAGAAGTATATTATATATGAAGGAATCCCAATAAGAATAGTAGCAATTTTCTCAATGGAAGCCTTACAGACAAGGAGGGAGTGGAATGCTCTATACTAACTGTTAAAGGAAAAAAAACTCAACCAAGAATACTTTACCTGGTAAAGCTGTCCTTCAGAAATGAAGGGGAGAAAAAGCTGAGGTGTTTCCTTATAGGAAATGTTAAAGGGACTTCTTTGAGTAGAAAGTAAAAGGACACTAATTAGTAACATAAAAAAATATGAACATGAAAAACTTGGGGGTAAAAGTAAAAACACAGTCAAATTCAGAACGCTGTAATACTGTGATGGTGGTATATATCACATATGTTTACTATGAAGGTGAAAAGACAAAACTATTCAAATAATGACAGCTCCAATAATTTGTTAAGGGATACACAATATAAAAAGATCAGGAGGTTGCTTCCAAGATGGCCAAATAGGAACAGTTCCAGTCTGCAGCTCCCAGTGAGATCAATGCAGAAGACAGGTGATTTCTGCATTTCCAACTGAGGTACCTGATTCATCTCATTGGGACTTGTTGGACAGTGGGTGCAGCCCACAGAGAATAAGCTGAAGCAGGGCAGGGTGTCACCTCACCCAGGAAGTCCAACGGGTGGGGGATTTCTCTTTCCTAGCCAAGGGAAGCCATGATGGACTGCACCTGGAGAAATGGTACACACCTGACAAAATACTGCACTTTTCCCACAGTCTTAGCAACCGGCAGACCAGGAGTTACCCGCCTGTGCCTGGCTTGGCAGGGCAAATGCGCATGGAGCCTTGCTCACTGCTAGTGCAGCAGTCTGAGATCAACCTGAGATGCTGCAGATTGGCGGGCAGAGGGGAGTCAGCCATTGCTGAGGCTTAAGTACCTCACAGTGTAAACAAAGGGGCCAGGAGAGGCCAGGAAGCATGAACTGGGTGGGGTCCACCTCAGCTCAGCAAAGCCTACTGCTTCTATAGATTCCACCTCTGGGGGCAGGGCATAGTAGAACAAAAGGCAGCAGACAGCTTCTGCAGACTTAAACGTCCCTGTCTGATGGCTCTGAAGAGAGCAGTGGTTCTCTCAGCATGGCGTTTGAGCTCCAAAAACAGACAGACTGACTACTCAAGTGGGTCCCTGACCCCCGTGTAGCCTGACTGGAAAACACCTCCCAGTGGTGGCCAACAGACAACTCAAACAGGTGGGTACCCTTCTGGGATGAAGCTTCCAGAGGAAGGATCATGCAGCAATATTTGCTGTTCTGCAGCCTCCAATCATAGTACCCATGCAAACAGGGTCTGGAGTGGACCTCCAGCAAACTCCAATAGACCTGCAGCTGAGAGGTCTGACTGTCAGAAGGAAAACTAACAAACAGAAAGGAATAACATCAACATCAACAAAAAGGACATCCACACCAAAACCCCATCTGTAGGTCACCAACATCAAAGACCAAAGGTAGATAAAACCACAAAGATGGGGAGAAACTAGAGCAGAAAAGCTGAAAATTCCCAAAAACAGAGTGCCTCTTCTCCCCAAAAGGATCACAGCTCCTCACCAGCAAGGAAACAAAACTGGATGAAGAATGAGTTTGATGAATTGACAGAAATAGGCTTCAGAAGGTCAGTAATAAGAAACTTCTCCAAGCTAAAGGAGCATGTTCTAACCCAATGCAAGGAAGCTAAAAACCTTAAAAAAGGTTAGATGAATGGCTAACCAGAATAAACAGTGTAGAGAAGACCTTAAATGACCTGATGGAGCTGAAAACTATGGCAGGAGAATTTCATGATGCATGCACAAGCTTCAATAGTTGATTCCATCAAGTGGAAGAGAGGACATCAGTGATGGAAGATCAAATTAATAAAATAAAGCTAGAAGACAAGCTTAGAGAAAAAAGAGTGAAAAGAAATGATCAAAGCCTCCAAGAAATATGGGACTATGTGAAAAGACCAAACATATGTTTGATTGGTGTACCTGAAAGTGACGGGGAGAATGGAACCAAGTTAGAAAACACTCTTCAGAATATTATCCAGGAGAACTTCCACAACATAGCAAGGCAGGCCAACATTCAAATTCAGGAAATACAGAGAACTCCTCTAAGATATTCCTCGAGAACAGCAACCCCAAGACATGTAATTGTCAGATTCACCAAGGTTGAAATGAAGGAAAAAATGTTAAGGGCAGCCAGAGAGAAAGGTCGGGTTACCCACAAAGGGAAGCCCCTCAGACTAACAGTGGATCTCTCAGCAGAAACCCTACAAGCAGGAAGAGAGTGGTGGGCAATATTCAACATTCTTAAGGGAAAGAAATTTCAACCCAGAATCTCATATCCAGCCAAACTAAGCTTCGTAAGTGAAGGAGAAATAAAATCCTTTACAGACAAGCAAATGCTGAGAGATTTTGTCGCTACCAGGCCTGCCTTACAAGAGCTCCTGAAGGAAGCACTAAACATGGAAAGGAACAACCGGTACCAGCCACTGCAAAAACATGCCAAATGGTAAAGACCATCAATGCTATGAAGAAACTGCATCAATTAATGGGCAAAATCACCAGCTAACATCATAATAACAGGATCAAATTCAAACATAACAATACTAACCATAAATGTAAATGGGCCAAATGCCCCAATTAAAAGACACAGACTGGCAAATTGGATAAAGAGTCAAGACCCATCAGTGTGCTGTATTCATTAGACACATCTCAAGTGCAAAGATGCACATAGTCTCGAAATAAAGGGATGGGGGGAGATCTACCAAGCAAATGGAAAGTGAAAAAAAGCAGGGTTTGCAATCTTAGTCTCTGATAAAACAGACTTTAAACCAACAAAGATCAAAAGAGACAAAGAAGGCCACTACATAATGGTAAAGGGATCAATTCAACAAGAAGAGCTAACTATCCTAAATATATATGCACCCAATACAGGAGCATCCAGATTCATAAAGCAAGTCCTTAGAGACCTACAAAGAGACTTAGACTCCCAAACAATAATAATGGGAGACTTTAACACCCCACTGTCAATATTAGACAGATCAATGAAACAGAAGGTTAACAAGGATATCCAGGACTTGAACTCAACTCTGAACCAAGCAGACCGAACAGAAATCTACAGAACTCTACACCCTAGATCAACAGAATATACATTTTTCTCAGCAGCACATCACACTTATTCTAAAATTGACCACATAATTGCTAGTAAAACAATCATCAGCGAATGTAAAAGAACAGAAATCACAGCAAACTGTCTCCCAGACCACAGTGCAATCAAATTAGAACTCAAGATTAATAAACTCACTCAGAACCACACAACTACATGGAAACTGAACAACCTGCTCCTGAATGACTACTGGGTAAGTAAGGAAATGAAGGAGGAAATTAAAATGTTCTTTGAAACCAATGAGAACAAGGACACAATGCACCAGAATCTCTGGGACACATTTAAAGCACTGTGTAGAGGGAAATTTATAGCACTAAATACCCACAAGAGAAAGTAGGAAAGATCTAAAATCAACACCCTAGCATCACAATTAAAAGAACTAGAGAAGAAAGAGCAAACAACCTCAAAAGCTAGCAGAAGGCAAGAAATAACTAAGATCAGAGAAGAACTGAAGGATACACAAAAAAACCTTCAAAAAATGAACAAATCCAGGAGCTGTTCTTTGAAAAGACCAACAAAGTTGATAGACCACTAGCAAGACTAATAAAGAAGAAAAGAAAGACGAATCAAATAGATGCAATAAAAAATGATAAAGGGGATATCACCACAGATCCCACAGAAATACAAACTACCATTACAGAATACTATAAACATCTCTATGCAAATAAACTAGAAAATCTAGAAGAAATGGATAAATTCCTGGACACACACATCCTCCCAGGACTAAATCAGAGATAAGTTGAATCTCACAATAAACCAATAACAGGTTCTGAAATTGAGGCAATCATTAATAGCCTACAAACCAAAAAAAGTCTAGGACCAGATGGATTCACAGCTGAATTCTACCAGAGGTACAAAGAGGAGCTGCTACCATTACTTCTGAAACTATTTCAATCAATAGAAAAAGAAGATATCCTCCCTAACTCATTTTATGAGGCTAGTATCATCCTAATACCAAAGCCTAGTAGAGACACAACAAAAAAAGAAAATTTTAGGCCAATATGTTGATGAACATCAATGCAAAAATCCTCAATAAAATACTGGCAAACCAAATCCAGCAGCACATCAAAAAGCTTGTTCACCATGATCAAGTCAGCTTCATCCCTGGGATGCAAGGCTGGTTCAACATATGCAAATCAATAAACATAATCCATCACATAAACAGAACAATGACAAAAACCACATGATTTTCTCAATAGATGCAGAAAAGGGCTTTGACAAAATTCAACAGCCATTCATGCTAAAAACTCTCAATAAACTAGGTATTGATGGAACATATCTCAAAATAATAAGAGCTATTTATCACAAACCCACAGCCAATATCATACAGAATGGGCAAAAACTGGAAGCATTCCCTTTGAAAACTAGCACAAGACAAAGATGCCCTCTCTCACCACTCCTATTCAACATAGTGTTGGAAGTTCTGGCCAGGGCAATCAGGCAACAGAAAGAAATAAAGGGTATTCAACTAGGAAAAGAGGAAGTCAAATTGTCCATTTGCAGATGACATGATTGTATATTTAGAAAACCCCATCATCTCAGCCCAAAATCTCCTTAAGCTGATAAGCAACTTCAGCAAAGTCTCAGGATACAAAATCAATGTGCACAAATCACAAGCATTCCTATACACCAATAATAGACAAACAGAGAGCGAAATCATGAGTGAACTCCCATTCACATTTACTACAAAGAGAATAAAATACCTAGGATTCCAACTTACAAGGGATGTGAAGGACCTCTTCAAGGAGAACTACAAATCACTGCTCAATGAAATAAAAGAGGACACAAACAAATGGAAGAACACTCCATGCTCATGGGTAGGAAGAATCAATATCATAAAAATGGCCATACTGCCCAAGGTAATTTATAGATTCAGTGCTATCCCCATCAAGCTACCACAGACTTTCTTCACAGAATTGGAAAAAAAAAAAACACTTAAAAGTTCATATGGAACCAAAAAAGAACCCACATAGCCAAGACAATCCTAATCAAAAAGAACAAAGCTGGAGGCATCACGCTACCTGACTTCAAACTATACTACAAGGCTACAGTAACCAAAACAGCATGGTACCGGTAGAAAAACAGATATATAGACCAATGGAACAGAACAGAGGCCTCAGAAATAACACCACACATCTACAACCATCTGATCTTTGACAAACCTGACAAAAACAAGAAATGGGGAAAGGATTTCCTATTTAGTAAATGGTGCTGGGAAAACTGGCTAGCCATATGTAGAAAGCTGGAACTCAATGCTTTCTTTACACCATATACAAAAATTAACTCAAGATAGATTAAAGACTTAACTTTAAGACTTAACACTGTAAAAACCCTAGAAGAAAACCTAGGCAATACCATTCAGGACATAGGCATGGGCAAAGACTTCATGACTAAAACACCAAAAGCAATGGGAACAAAAGCCAAAATAGATGAATGGGATCTAACCAAACTAAAGAGCTTCTGCACAGCAAAAGAAACTACCATCAGAGTGAACAGGCAACTTACAGAATGGGAGAAAATCTTTGCAATCTACTCATCTGACAAAGGGCTAATATCCAGAATCTACAGAGAACTTAAATTTACAAGAAAAAAACAACCCCATCAAAAAGTGGGCAAAGAATATGAACAGACACTTCTCAGGAGAAGATATTTATGCAGCCAGCAGACGTATGAAAAAAGTGCTTATCATCACTGGTCATCAGAGAAATGCAAATCAAAACCACAATGAGATACCATCTCAGGCCAATTAGAATGGCAATCATTAAAAAGTGAGCAAACAACAGATGCTGGACAGGATGTGGAGAAATAGGAATGCCTTTACAATGTTGGTGGGTGTGTAAACTAGTTCAACCATTGTGGAAGACAGTGTGGTGATTCCTCAAGGATCTAGAACTAGAAATACCATTTGACCTAGCAATCCCATTACTGGGTATATACCCAAAGGATTATAAATCATGCAACTATAAAGACACATGCACATGTATGTTTATTGTGGCACTATACACAATAGCAAAGACTTGGAACCAACCCAAATGCCAATCAATGATAGAGTGGATAAAGCAAATGTGGCACATATACACTATGGAATAGTATGCAGCCATAGAAAAGGATGAGTTCATGTCCTTTGCAGGGACATGGATGAAGCTGGAAACTATCATTCTAAGCATATTGTCACAAGGACAGAAAACCAAACACCACATGTACTCACTCATAGGTGGGAGTTGAACAATGAGAACACATGGACACAGGGCAGGGAAAATCACACACTGGGGCCAGTCAAGGGGTGGTGGGCTGGGGGAGGGATAGCATTAGGAGAAATACCTAATGTAAATGACGAGTTGATGGGTGCAGCAAACCAACATGGCACATGTATACCTATGTAACAAACCTGCACGTTGTGCACATGTATCCTAGAACTTAAAGTATAATAAAATAAATAAATAAATAAATATAAAAAAGAGAAGCCCAGGACCTGATGGCTTCACAGTCGAATTCTACCAAACATTTAAAGAAGAACAAATACCAATCCTATTCAAACTATTTCAAAAAATATAGAGGAGGAAGGAATACTTCCACACTCATTCTACCAGGCCAGTATTACCTTGATATGAAACCAGACAAAAATGCATCAAAAAAAGAGAGAAAAGTACAGCCAATATGTCTGATGAATATTGATGCAAAAATCCTCAACAAAATACTAGCAAACTGAATTCAACAGCACATTAAAAAGATCTTTTCTCATGATGAAGTAGTATTTATCTCAGGGATACAAGGATGGTTCAAAATATGCAAATCAATTAATGTGACACATCATATTAACAGAATGGAGGACAAAAACATATGATCATGTCAATTGATGCTGAAAAGGATTTGATAAAATTTTAACATCCTTCATGATAAAAACCCTTTAAAAAACTGTCTATATAAGGAATATACCTTAACATAATAAAAGCCATAAATAACAGACACCCACAGGGTAGTATCATACTAAATGAGGAAAAACTGAAAATTTGTCTTCTAAGATGCAGACCAAGACAAGGCTGCCCACTGTCACAACCGTTATTCAACATATTACTGAAAGTCCTAGCTAGAGCAATCAGACAAGAGAAAGATATAAAGGGCATCCAAATTGGTGCTAGAGCAATTGTACTTTTATAGGCACACTCACACACACACATAAACACACACACACACATACACACATACATACACAAAAAAGAACTTCACCTGTCTCATATTTTATACAAAAGCTAACTCAAAAATAGTTTATGTTCTTAAATGTACAACATAAAATTGTAAAACTTTTAGAAAAAAAGAAAAAACTTCAAGATTTAGGGTCAGGTAAAGTGTTCTTACAAAACAGCATGATACATAAAAGGAAAAACTCATAAATTGGACTTCATCAAAATGTAAAACTTTTTCTCTGTGAGAATTAAAAGAAAAGCTACAGACTAAGAGGAAATATATGGAAACTACATTTCTAACAAAGGACTCATATCTAGGATATATTAGAATTCTCAAAGCCAAACAGTAAAAATAAATAAATGATATAATTAGAAAATGAGAAAAAAACATGAAGAGACATTCCATGGGAGAAGCTATACAGATGTCAGATAAGCACAAGAAAAGGTGTGCAACATCTCTAGCCGTTAAGAAATGAAAGTTAAGATTACAATCAGATATAAAATAAAAAACTGTGACAATATCAACTGCTGGTAAGGATGCAGAGAAAATGGATCTCTCATACATTTTGGGGTAGGAATGTAAAATATTACAGTTACTCCAGAAACAGTTTGGCAGCTTCTTTAAAAACCAGACTTGCAACTACCATAGACTCCAGCAATTGTCTTCCTATTTATCCCAGAAAAATGAAAATATATGTTCCCTCAAAAACTTGAACACAAATGTTTATAGAAGCTTTATTTGTAATAATGAAAAACTAGAAACAACCCAGCTATCCTTCCATGAATGAATGGTTATTGTGGTACATCCATACAATAGAATGACACTGAACAACACAAAACAGTGAACTATTAATACACAACTTGTATAAGTCTCCAGAAAATTATGATGATTTTTAAAAATCCCAAAATGTTATATATTGTTTGACTCTATTTATATAACCTTCTTGAAATGATAAAATAATACAAATGGAGAGCAGATTTGTGGATGCTAAGGGTTAAGGAGATGATGGGGTGAAAGAAAAGTAGTTGTAGCTATAGAAGGACAACATGAAGAGTCTTTGTGGGAATGTTCTGTATCTTCACTGTATTAATGTGAATATCCTGGTTGTGATATTGTAATGCAGATTTTCAAGATGCTACTATTTGGGGAAATTAAATGAAGGGTATATGAGATTACTCTGTATTATTTCTTACAATTGCATATGAATCTACAAATATAAATTTTACCTCAAAATACAATTTTAATTTTAAAAATTGTAGTGATAACTAAATATCCGTAACATATTTCACTGCATATTCCTCCTTCCTTTTCTTTTATCCTGAAATAAAAGTAAATTCATTCCTCATAGTCCACATTTTTAAAGTCTAGAAATCCTCCTCCCATAATGTATCAGTTAGCTTCTTTGGCCTCTGACAAACCAACACAAACTATAATGACATAAAACAAAAAACAATGTTATATTACTTTTGTGAAAGGAAAATAAATCTTGGGGCCCCAAAATCACTAAGCTAAAGGGAAAATTCAAACTGGAAACTGCTTAGAGCCAACTGCCTCCCACTCGATTCAAAGTCACTCCTCTGCTCACTGAGATAAATATCTCATTGCCTCCTTTGGAAAGGCTAATCAGAAACTCAAAAGAATGCAACCATTTTTGTTTCACCTATCTGTGACCTGGAAGCTCCCTCCCTGCTTGAAGTCTTCCTGCCTTTGCTTCAATTTATCCTACCTTTCCAGACTGAACAAATGTACTTCTTACATATATTGATTGATGTCTCATGTCTCCCTAAAATGTATAAAACCAAGCTGTGTCCTGACTGTAAGAGTTAAAGAAAGAGGAACAAACATGAAAAGCAGCTCAACAGTCAAAGACAGGTTTATTTTGGAGAATAAACCTGAGAGGGGCTTCTGGACAATCTCTCTGGCTGGAGGGGAGATTATCTCAGGGCTGACATGTCTCTGGTTGGGAAAGGGTTTGGAATCTTTCTGGTCAGAGATGTCATTTGTGGTTTATGGTCATGTGGACCTTAGCCATTACACTGATGCCCTTTGGATTTAGGCGGTTTTTGATCAAGGGGAACTTTAGAATGGTGGTGCTTGTTCAAGATGACAATGCGGCTGCTCTGTCAGTCCAGACCCTATAGTTATAAAAAGGCAAGGGGCAGTGTGTTCTTTCTGGCTACTTCCTGCTGATGAGGGGACAGAATTTTCTGGTCTTGAATTCATTGCAGGAGTAACACCATCTGTAGGTGTTTTTGGGTAGTTGTCTGTGAAATGGCCATGATCATCTCAGTTAAAAATCTTTGAAAAAGGTTAATTAGGCAGGGTAAGAACATTAGTCCTAGGCATATTATTAGGAGAGGGCCCAGGAATGGGATGACCCATGTTATGATTTTGTTCCCAAACTAAGAATCTATTTGGTCGTTTTGGTATTCCTTAGCTTTTTAGCCCTTTCTTTAAGTTTTTCAGTAGCAGCTCTTACTAGGCCTGATTGGTTGATATAGAAACAACATTCCTTACCTGATGAGAGCCAGAGGTGCATGTTTGGAAAGGCCCATATGTTATTTTCTGTTAGTAACCATTGTTCCTGCTATGTGGATAATAATTAAGCAAAATGATACAGTAATTGAGATTTTCTATTAGATATTCTACCCTGAGGGTGCTACAGCAGAGTAAGGCAATTCCCACAAGGGTGGCATAGTAAATAATGTCCATTAAAAAGTTTTAATATTTTGCTTAGAAGGAGAGGTAGGAATGACAAAAAGTATTTGGTGAGGTAGGGGTGAGACTGAGTAAAATGAGTAGTTCTCGCTCACTTATTTTTTATGATTTTCTGCTAAAGATGTCCTATTTCTTTATTTCCACTTGTGAGGATCAGAGGGCTTAGAGGCAGTGCCTACTGAAACATCTAGCTTTGAGTTTATAGGGCTTTAAGAAAGCACAGTTTAGGCCAGGCACGGTGGCTCACACCTGTAATCCCAGCACTTTGGGAAGCCGAGATGGGCAGATCACAAGGTCAGGAGATCGAGACCATCCTGACTAACAGGGCAAAACCCCATCTCTACTGAAAATACAAAAAATTAGCCAGGCGTGATGGCATGTGCCTGTAGTCCCAGCTACTTGGGAGGCTGAGGCAGGAGAATCTCTTGAGCCCGGGAGGTGGAGGTTGCAGTGAGCCGAAGTCTCACCACTGCACTCCAGCCTGGGCAACAGAGCAAGACTCTGTCTCAAAAAAAAAGGCACACCTTATTTTGGAAACTTGTAGCGAGAAAAATCAGAATTTAAACTGTATAAAATAATAAAAATTGAAAAATATTAGGCAAATTAGAATTTAACAAGAAGTGTGCTATAGTTTTTGAAACATAATTTTCTCTCTCCAGTTTCCCATTTTTATTAAAAGACAAGTCATGGTAAGACTGATTTACTTTATTATACTTGGCTTAATTATTTGCATACAGCACAGCAAGAATAATTATTTGTTACATAGGCCTTTTAAATTGGCTTTGATGGAACTTTGTTCCATAGAAGGAATCTGAGATAAGAACTTTTTAAAGCCAAGCCCAGCCATGGATTTGTACTATCAAATACCTATGAGTTGGGTGAATTTCTCTCCTCTTGAGGATCCAAGATAACTTGGGGTTCCCAGCCTGTGAGAAAGTGACATTCTTTACTTACCACAGGTCAGAAACCCTGTACAGGGATTGTGTACACAAACCATGAGGCCAGTTTTCCAAGGGTTTTATTGGCTCCATAAGTCAAGTTTGATTCCTTAAAGGAAAGTACACCATTCCAGTCAAAGCCTTGGTAAAATAACCAGTTTTTCCAATTGTGTTCTGTTACAAAAAAAAAAAAAAAATCTTATTGCACTTATGCAAATAACTATATTTCCATAACTTAAGAATACTCACAGATAGTTTCCAAATTCTGGAGAAAATCAGGTAGAGAGAAACAAGTATGCTCCAAATTTTGTTTATGGGAGTATACTAAATTGCTAAAAGCTGTCAATACCAGCAATCCCATTACTGGGTATATACCGAAAGGATTATAAATCATGCTGCTATAAAGACACATGCACACGTATGTTTATTGCGGCACTATTCACAATAACAAAGACTTGGAACCAACCCAAATGTCCAACAATGATAGACTGGATTAAGGAAATGTGGCACATATACACCATGGAATACTACACAGCCATAAAAAATTATGAGTTTATGTCCTTTGTAGGGACATGGATGATGCTGGAAACCATCATTCTCAGCAAACTATCACAAGGACAAAAAACCAAACACTACATGTTCTCACTCATAGGTGGGAATTGAACAATGAGAACACATGGACACAGGAAGTGGAACATCACACACCGGGACCTGTTGTGGGGTGGGGGGAGGGGAGAGGAGATATACATTTGGAGATATACCTAATGTTAAATGACAAGTTACTGGGTGCAGCACACCAACATGGCACATGTATACATATGTAACTAACCTGCACATTGTGCACATGTACCCTAAAACTTAAAGTATAATAATAAAAAAGTGAACAAATATATAGTAACAATCTGAACTAACAGAAAAAATAATACTTATTAAAAATTCTTCCAAAAAAAAGCTGTCAATAGCTCAAAAGAAAAGTTTCTTTGACTTTGAAAAGCAAAACAAAGGATTAGCACTATTTTAAGCAAAACATCAAAAAGATCACTCCAGTCTCTTATTAGTTCAGTTCATGCAGTTAATTCCTGTCCTGCTTGATATTAATGAACATTTTAGCTCTTCAAGAGTCCTGAACATTTTTCCTCTATTTTGATGTCACAATCTCCAAAGTTATCAGAAACCTGCATTTAAAAACACCTGTTAGAGCTTTATAGCTGATTATAAAACCACCTTCTAAAGAGGACCAAAACAAGACAACAATTGTTTATTGATGGCCAAAAGTTTTAGAGTAGCCGTAGTTAAAGATGCAGTTGACAGGCAATCTGCTACCTCTGTGGCACACAATAATTTTAACATAACAATTATAATCACTACTAATAATGTACACTAAGATATATCAAATTATAGGAGTCTCCCATAACTTTGGAACACACACCTTATATGTGTCCATATAAGTCCATATAACTTTGGAACAACATATTTATACAAATATAGCCCAAAGAAAGCCAAACCCTATTTTCTATTTGACAATGCTTTCTGTATGATTTTATACCAAATAAGCCAAATTTTACCTTTATATTAGTGTGCTATTAATGTTAAATGCAATTTTTAGTAAAACTTTGTAGACACATTTACCCAATTTTAACACTTGACCATAGGTAAGATTTTTATACACCCTTTTTAACTATCTACAGTTTCTGTTAAAAGCAGGTAGTGCTGTAAGAAAAACCTGTTGTGCTTTTATTTTAGTGTTTGATTTACAGAAAAACTGGATGATACCCTTTCAACTTTAGCCAATATATTTACACACAGAATTTCCTTTACAATTAATCTTTTGAAACTTGCTTAAACCTTCATTTTTATTTTATTCAATTTAAAACAATTCTTTTACCTTTTAATCCAGTTAAAAATCCCACATTCTTATGCCTCCTTATAATCTTTTTACCAAAAGTATATTTAGATTATTTTTAATAGTCTTAAATACATGTTACACTGTTAACTTTTAGCAACCTTTACTTTTGTTGGTAAGTTTGGGATTTTAATTCCATACTAGGGGTAGAGCCTAGGACCTAGACAGATGTGCAAATAAGGTCTGATTTATTCCAGCATTTAACTCCATGTGTCCTAGGTCTTACCTAGCTGCAAAGCCAGCAAGTTGTACAGCTAAGAGTTATACTGGCATTTTATAAAGCATTCAAGAGGCCTAATTACTTTTAAATTGTACAACATTTCTTGCATAAATTCCCTTTTATAAAATTTTTCACAACTTTCACAGATAATCTCTGACATGCCTCAACTTTCTGACTTGTTGTAAACATCCCTCCTTTTAAACAACCAGTTAATTTACTTTAGGACAAGAATTTATCACATAAGATTTTTTATATAAATTCTATTTTCTTTAGTATCAAAGATGATAACAGTCCTTTCCCAAAACAAACTTCCTTCATGTCTGTGAACTAGACTGCCTAAGGCCACAAGATTAGAAGTTAAGGTATTTCACTAAATAGTTCAAGATGTAGCTATCTTCTTAAAAAAATTTATGTTTCATTCATTTAAAAATTACACAAGCAAAGATTATTCTGTTTGGGTTGAGTTATAGTTCTGTAGCCTCTATGCCAAATTTTGAGTTTGTGGGCAAACTCGTATCTGCACCTTCCACCAGAAGGTATGCTGAGGGCAATCCCTCCCTGGCACCATGCTCCTTGAGGTTATCTGCTGGAACATCTGGAGCCTGCTGTTCTAAGAAAGCAGTCATACAGGCCTGCACTAAATCAAGCAGCTGACCAACAACCACTCCCTTCTTCCTATCTCCTTTATTCAATAAATGCAAAGGGCTCTAGAAGCTCAGGGCCCTTGTTCACTAGAAGCAAGGAGCCCCCGACCCCTTCTTCCAAACATACTGTTTTGTCTTTGTCTTTGTTCCCACATTCGTCCTCCTTTGTTCAGTCCACCAGGGTGTGCGGCAAAGTGGCATCACGAACAGGGACTTCAAGGATGTGAACAAAGAAGGTCTGCTGGAGCACAGGAAGTAAAATTGACCAGACCAGTGGGGACCCCGGGATGAATTTGCTGGCAGGGAATATAAAGTCAGTACTCTAAAGAAGTACTGGGAATGAGAACTTTCTGAATCAGGGTAACATGGAGCAGAATTTGTCTGTTGAAGAAAAGCATTATGTGCAGTTGCTTAAAGTTCTGTTGAAACAGTCTGGAGCTCAAGTTAATTCACAGACATTAACTAAGCTTCCACAGGAGGTTTTTACGCATAACCCATGGTTTCTGCAGGCAGACAGTCTCTATGTAGGAAATTGGGACAGAGTAGGAGAGGGATTGAAACAGGCTCATCAAAAAGGTTTCAAAGTAGACCCTTCTGTTTTATCTGCTTGGGGTTTAGTTCACATGGTCCTACTGCCATTGTCTCCTTCTTATTCTGTCAGACAGCAGGAGTCAGGTTCTGAGTCTCAAGAATTAAAAAAATCATTTGTTCCTCTGACAGTGCCTATTGAAAATAATGAGCAGGAGGAAGGGGAGGAGAATTGGCTGCTTGCTAAGCAGGAAAAATGATAGGAGAATTGGCCTCTGCCACTCCCTCCAATAACAGAAGTAGAAACTCTCATACAAAAAATTTTGCACACTGCTGCTATGGCTGGGGAACCTTTAGACCCTTGCACTTTTCCTATTACTATAAGACCTGATCCGAATGATCCACAACATCTTTTACATGAACACACTCCTGTAGAATTTAAATTACTAAAAAAATTAAACGCTAGTGTGGTTAATAATGGAGTGCAAAGCCCATTTACTATAGGGCTGTTAGAATTGGTGTTTGGAGCCATGCACCTCCCACCCTTTGATATAAGACATTTGGCTCACACTTGCTTGTCCGCCAGTGCATATCTGACAAGGAGTTTAAATTGGCAAGAAATGAGTGCAGACCAGGCAAGGCAGAATTGTGACGCTGGTCAAGGAAACATTACAGAGGAAATGCTGATAGGCAGTGGCCCCTTTTCAGATCTGGTACAACAATTAACACTCCCAGAGGCTGCTTATCACCAGTCTGCCTTAGCCACCAAGCATGCTTAGAGCACAATTCCTGAAGAAGGAGTTCCAGTGCTGTCTTTTCTACATGTCAGGCAGGGATCATGGGGACCTTATGCACAATTTATTGCACAGCTGCAAGACACAGTATGGCATCAGCTCCCTCATGCCTCTGCTAAAGAAATACTTACCATAACTCTAGCCTATAAAAATGCAAATGCAGATTGCAAGCATGCAATGGCTCCTGTGAGAGCCACAAAGAGCTTGGGGAATTACCTTAAATCCTATCAGGATATAGGAACTGAATTTCATTGTTCTACGATATTAGCTCAAGGAATGGCTAGTTTAGTACTTGACAAATCTTAAAGGAGCCAAGGGTCAAACCCTAAAGTGGGAAAATGTTATAAATGTGGAAAAACTGGACACTTTAAAAAGGAATCAATTATTCAGAGAAGTAAAGCGAGCTTTTGTTAAATGGAATCTCAAAATTACTCCAGAGAAAGTGCAAATAACTTCCCGACACCATTACTTAGGAACTATTGTTACAGAGAAGAGTGCAGATCTCAGAACAGAAAGGACCTTACAATGTGAAGCCCCCCTCCGACCCTGCCCCCAGTGGAAAAAATGTCAGGACTCTGTCCTTGCTGTAACAAAGGAAATCATTGGGCTAATCAATGCCACTCAAAACTTCATCAGAATGGCACCCCTGTGTCGGGAAACGAGAAGGAGGCCTGGACCCAGGCCCTTCAAATGAGGCATTCCCAGTTCAGACCAGAACCCCACTTCAGGGGTGGGTCCCAGGAGGAACATTGATTCCCTCTCCCCAGGAACACCAGGATGCACAGGATTAGATCTCCCCACCAGAGAAAGAAGTACACTAGTTGGAGGAGACAAATCTACCAAAATTCCCACTGGCATTTGGGGACCTTTACCAGCAGGATACATGAGACTAATTTTAGGCAAAAGCCAACCTTAACTTGCAAGACATCATGGTAGTCCCCAGAGTAACTGACTCCGATTATGAAGGAGAAATTCAAGTAGTTTTAATGTCACAAGACCTTTAGATTTTTGAACCAGGGGAATATATAGTGTAATTATTGCTTATCCCCTGCAAATTACACCCTTCTCCATGAAAGGAGAAAAGAGGATACAAATGGTTTGGGAGCACAACTACATGAGAAATCTATCTATCACAACCCATAGCCTCTACCAGACCCACCTGTGTAGTACAAATTAAAGGAAGGAAATTCTATGGGCTTGTGGACACAGGAGCTGATGTGTCAGTAATATCCGGTAAGGATTTGTCCCCATCCGGGCCCCTCAGACTAACTCCACATCCCTAGTGAGAGTAGGAGCAGCTCAAAGTGTTCAACAGAGTGCTGAGATTTTACCTTGTCTTGGTCCAGATGGACAATCATGTACTTTCCAGCCTTATGTTGCAAATATAGCTTTCAATTTATGGACTCCAGAATTACTTACAGCATGGGATATGAGACTTACAAATGAAAACTTTGATAACACAGGATTTAAAATGTTGAAGGACATGGGATATCAGAGTGGGAAAGGTTTAGGAAAATTCCAACAAGGAAACCCTAACCCGATATCAATAACTGGAAAGACAGAAAGGACTGGGACATCAGGATTTATGATTGGGTTCATTGATACATCTCCTCCACCCATTGCCTTACCTTTAGAATGGCTCAGTGACAAACCTGTGTGGGTGGATCAGTGGCCCCTAACACAGCAGAAGCTAGGTCAACTTCATCTGTTGGTGAAAAAACAATTGGATGCAGGACATATAGAGAAGTCAGTTAGTCCCTGGAATTAACCAATCTTTGTTATCCCAAAAAAGTCCAGATGATGGTGACTGCTGCGTGATTTGAGAGCTATTAATGCACACATTAAGTTGATGGGTGCATTACAGCAGGGCTTGGCATCCCCAGCAGCAATTCCTAGAGACTGGCCTCTTGTAGCAATGGATCTTAAAGATTGTTTCTTTTCTATACCATTACATGAGGAGGATAAGCCTCGATTCGCCTTCTCTGTGCCTTCTATTAATCAAACAGAACCTGTTTCTCGCTATCAGTGGAGAGTTTTACCTCAAGGCAAGCTTAACAGTCCTGCATTATGTCAGCATTTTGTGGGAAGAGCATTAAAAGAGTCTCAAAATATGTTTCCCTCTGCATATACTGTTCATTACATGGATGATATTCTTTTGGCCACTCCTACAGATCAAATATTGTATCAATTATTCATAGAAGTAAAGCAAGCTTTTGTTAAATGGAATCTCAAAATTGCTCCAGAGAAAGTGTGAACAACTTCCCCATACCATTACTTAGGAACTATTGTTACAGAGAAAAGTGTATGGCCTCAGACAGTAGTTCTCTGTAAAGACAGGTTACAGACTTTAAATGATTTCCAACAGTTATTAGGGGACATTAATTGGCTATGCCCAATGCTAGCTATTGCTACTTATAAACTTGCACATCTTTATCAAACCCTGCAAGGAGATTCTTCTTTAAATTCCCTGTGGCAGCTTATGAAAGAGGCAGAAGCTGAGTTACAACTTGTAGAACAGATGCTTCAGCAGAGACAGGAATCCGGCTACAGCCACAAAAACTTTTGCTTTTGTTTATTCTTCCTACACCCCATTCTCCAACAGGACTCCTGGGCCAATGTTTAGACAAATCTGTAACAGTGATAGAAAGGCTCTTTTTACCTAATCAAACAGTAAAAACTTTGCAAGTCTATCTTTCCTTAATTACACAAATTGTGACTTTGGGCAGGCATATTTCAAAAATGCTTACAGGATATAACCTTGATAAAATTATTGTTCCGTTAGACTCCCAGCAACAGGCTGCAGCATGGGAAATGTTGACTGCATGGCAAATTGCTTTCACTGATTTTGTAGGTGCAATAGATAATCATTATCCCTCAGACAAAATTTTGCAGTTTTATAAAGTCCATTCTTTCATTCTTCATGTGATTACTCATCACAAGCCTATTCCAGGTGGCCAGACCTATTTTACTGACAGCTTTTCCAAAGGTTGCACAGCTATTTATGGACCTAAACATACTCAGAAAATAAGGACCTCTGGGGTTTCAGCTCAACTCTTAGAGTTAATTGCAGTCATTCTAGTTTTAGAGCTCACAGCTTCAACTCCTATTAATATTGTCTGTGATTCAGCTTATGTTGTAAATGTTGCCAGTCCATAGAAACTGCTACAATTAAAAGTACACTAGAGCCAGAACTGCTTAACTTGTTTCTAAGACTTCAAGCTCTTTGATCTTGTATAGCTCCTTTTTATATTTCTCATATCCATTTTCACACTCAATTCCCTGAACCATTATCTTTAGGCAGACAAACTTATCGGTTCTGTATTTCAACAAGCTCAAGCTTCTAATGCATTACTGCATCAAAACACCTCTGCCCTTACTCGTATGTTTCATCTGCCTTGCAGCCAGTCTTGAGCTATTGTACAAGCCTATCCCTCTTGTCAGCGTGTCCCTGGTGTTGCACCTGTAGAAGGCTGTAACCCACGAGGTTTGCTCCAAATGAAATCTGGCAAAATGGATGTTACACATATAGCAGACTTTGGCAAGCTTAGCTATGTTCATGTGACCATAGACACTTATTCTCATATGCTGCATGCTACATGCCAAACAGGTGAGACAGCTGGTCATGTACAGTGACATTGTCTGTTGTTATTGGCTCATATGGGGGTCCCTAAACAATTAAAGACTGACAATGGTCCTGCTTATACTAGTCATGCTTTCAAAATTTCCTACAGCTTTGGGCTATTACTCACAAAACAGGAGTTCCTTACAACCCTAGAGGACAAGGAATTATACAGCAGGCACATCAAACATTACAATGAACGTTGAAAAAACAGAAAGGGGGAATAGGCCACCTCAAACAAAACTACATTTAGCCCAATTTACTTTAAATTGTTTGACTTCTGGTATGGATGGTAAGACTCCAGCAGAAAGACATTGGCAAGTGTTAGAGGAAAAAAGGAAAGTTTGTCTGAAAGTGTTGTGGAAATCCCTGGAAGAAGGAAAATGGAAAGGTCCAGTGGATTTATTAATGTGGGGATGAGGATATGCTTGTGTTTTTACAGGAGATGGACAAACCATGTGGGTGCCCTCAAGGTGCATGCGACCATGGAACAGGAGACTGGAGGGACCCATGGTGACCAACCATGGGCCTGGTCCCTCCAGTACAGGCCATGAGCCAGCTGAGCCTGAGTGCAAAGACTGAGAGAAGGCCAGCTGGAGTCATGACGACATCAAGCCCCATAACCTGGGGGCAACTCAAGAAAACCATGCAGGAAGGTGAGACACTCCTGGATTGTCACGATGAGGCAAAAACCCCTGATTCCATGTTCTTGGCCATATTAGCCATAATGCCCTGTGTGGTATATTTTCCCTGTTCAGAGGCAAAAACATTGGGCATATGTCCCTAATCCCCTAGTAGTATGACCTGTATTTTGGAGTGACACTCCTCCTGAGTTCTATCATGATCAGGGAGCATGGGATCCAGGACCCCTAACTCCCCCTGACATAGAACAGTTAGACTCTCAGAACAATGTCATCAATTATACCACCCCACTGGAAGGACTCCCCTTGTGTATCACTACAAAGATGTCACTCAACCATAGTTGTCTTACAATTCAAGCTCAAGCATGGTTGAGTCGGCATGGAAAAGTCAGGTACTTATTAGGTCTTAGTTCTATTAATGTAACTAGTGTGCTAACCTGGCCCACTGGCTAGAAAACAATCTATGTTAACTGGAGACATTGTGGATTAGAGACCTAAAGTTCAACTAGATGGAAAAGAGGAAAATCTGACATCATGGCACAAACTTTGTTGGCATTGGTGGCAGGCTTTTAATGCTTCTTCTTTATGCCACACGGGGATCCAATCCCAATCTGCCACCCAGATTGCTTGGCATGGAGCTGGCTTTAGCCTGCCTCTTCCTCAGTAACAATATCTAGGGAGGAAAGGTCCAATTCAAGAAACAATATGGAACGCTGCACTCCTGTTCACAAATGGTAGTATCTGGGTAGGGGTACTCTCTAATACTAATACTGCTACTCGACATAGTTTTGATGTTACATTTGTAAAGAGTATCACCTCTCAATTTACGGTTTGTGTTTTTAATCCTTATGTCTTTTTGGCAGCCAGGAAGGACCAGCTCAGGTAAATGATATCCAATTCACCCATAAACCTTGTCAGTTATATCATTGCATTAATCATAGCATATTGCAAACACATAATATCTCTACTTTGATAATTTTGGGTCACATCCCTGGGCTATGGATTCCCATTAATCTCTCTGAGCCTTGGGCCACCACCCCTGCTTTGCACTTTGTGAAACTTCTTTTAACTCAACTTACTCATGGTGCCCATAGAGCCTTAGGCACGATAATTTTTGCTATTGTTTCCTTGGTCACACTAATAACTTCTGTTGTAATGTCCTCTGTAGCTTTGCATAGTTCTGTTCAAACAACTCAGTATGTGGAGAACTGGATGCATACAGCCAACCAAGCATGGCTACTTCAGAATGAAATTAACACTGAGTTACAAATTGAAGTGGCAATGTTGAAATCCACAGTTCTATCATTAGGGGAACAAGTAGAAAGCTTACAATTGCAACAGCAATTGTGCTGTCATTTAAATCACACTCATATTTGTGTAACCAACTTAGAATACAACCAAAGTGAGTATCCATGAGACCTTGTGAAAGCTCTTTTGCAGGGAGCTTTCACATCCAACATCACCTTTGATATTGGTGAATTACAAAACAAAATTCTTGATTTAAATAAGCAAACTCAAGAGTTTCAGCCTTCTTTAGAAGCCTGGACCAAATTTCAGCAAGGTCTGGAGAGCCTCAATCCTCGGGCCTATCTAAAGCACCACATTAACATCTCATATATAGTTCTGGGAATAATGCTGTTATGTCTCTTGTTTTCTGTTCACAGTCTGTAAAATTAGATGGTCCACAAGTTGGAAAATGAGAGCTGTCCAGCCTGGTGTTACATTCATTCAATTAATGCAAAAACAGAAAGGGAGAGATGTTGGGAGCCAAGAGCCTGAGGGTCATGACCAACTCAGCATTCCACTGGAGGCTATATGATCAAACAGCAAACTGTTTATCATGAATGCAGGATGTGGGCAAACTCACATCTGCACCTGCTGCCAGAAGGTATGCTGAGGGCAATCACTCCCTGGTGCTGTGCTCCTGGGTGCCATGCCCCTTAAAGTTATCTACTGGAACATCTAGAGCCTACTGTTCTAAGAAGGCAGTCATGCAGGCCTGCACTAAATCAAGCAGCTGACCAACAACTGCCCCCTGCTCCATATCTCTTTTACTCAATAAATATGAAGGGCTCTAGAAGCCCAGGGCACTTATTCACTAGAAGCAAGGAGCCCCCTGACCCCTTCATCCAAACATACTCTTTTGTCTTTGTCTTTATTCCTGCATTCATCCTCCTTTGTTCAGTCCACCAGGGTCTGCAGCACCTGAGGGCTTTGAGGGCTCACTGCAGGGTAGCCCCAGCCTGAGCCTTGAAGTCCCCTTCAGATTAATTGTCCTCCCCACACAAATTGCTCAAAAATTGCTCAAAAAAAGGAGACAAGATGGGGTGGGTGCAGTGGGATGAGCAGCTGCTGTCCACTGCTTCCTGGGTTGCAACACAGCCTCTACCCCCAACACCCATCCCAGGTTTCAGCACCAAATGTAAGAGTTAAAGAAAGAGGAAAGAAACACAAAAAGTGGCTCAACAGTCAAAGACAGGTTTATTTTGGAGAATAAACCTGAGAGGGCCTTCTGACCGATTTCAGTCAGGAACACTCTCTCTTACAGACTAAGAGTATTTATTGGTTTTAGGGTGAGGAGAAGTCTATTGTGGGATTGGAATATCTCTGGTTGGAGAGGAGGTTATCTCAGGGCTGACATCTCTCCAGCCAGAGGGGAGGTTATCTCAGGGCTGGCATGTCTCTGGTCTGGGAGGAGTTTACCTTATGGTTGGAATGTTTCTGGTCAGAGATGTCATTTGTGGTTTATGGTCATGCTGACCTTAGCCATTAGGCTGATGCTTTTTGGATTTAGGCAGTTTTTAATCAAGGTGAACTTTAAAATGGTGGTGCTTGTCCAAGATGGTGATGCTCCTGCTCTGTTATCCATCACAACTGTTTCAGTACTGACTGAGTGGTTAAGTTAAATATAAAAAGCTAAAAAAGCCAGTGCCCTTATACAAAGGCTGGAATGTAGCAAAAGTCCATCAAGAGTTTTGCCTAGGCCTTTCCTGGGCCTTAAAGCATGATAAAGTAACAAAGAAATTCTTAGCAGGACCCCCTTAGGATTAAACAAGTTTTATTAGGGGTCTGAAGAAACTCCACAGGCTTCCACAATCAAGTTTATTGGAGGTCTGAAGTAACTTCCCAAACCCCCGTGATTTAGCAAGAGACAAGATAAGGGTAATCACCCGAGCACCTAGACCCATTTAGATTAAGTAAACTTAATGAGGCTGTAGAAGAAGGTCTTCAGGATGACCTTCAGCCATGAAAAGAACATGCCACAGGTAGCCTCAGATCTAAGCATGAAAAGACACATGGAACACTTACATGTAGACATATAGCTTGGAAGGTATATAGCTCTGAAAAACTTTGTAATTTTGAGTTGGTCTGGTGAAAATTTCTGGGCCTTCTCCCTGTAACTGGTTGCAAAAAATAAAACTCTCTTCCTCCCGAGTTCATCTGCATCTCATTATTGGCAGCAGGAAATAGCAGCCCAACCCTCAGTTTGGTCCAGGAACACTCCTGCCTTAGCGTCCCGAGTAGCTGGGATTAAAGGCATGTGCCCAGCTCACTGCTACACTCCCACTAGTGCCATGACAGTTTACAATGTAGGGATGTAAACTGTCATGGCACTAGTGGGAGTGTAGCAGTGAGGACAACCAGAGGTCACTATCATCGCCATCTTGGTTTTGGTGGGATTTAGCCAGCTTCTTTACTGCAAGTTTTATTAGCAAGCTCATTATGAGCTGTATCTTTGTGCTAGCCTCCTATCTTATCCTGTGTCTTAGAATGCCTAATTATCTGGGAATGCAGCCTATAGGTTTTAGCCTTATTTTACCCAGCTGCTACTCAAGATGGAGTTGCTCTGGTTCAAATGCTTCTAACAAACTCAAGCATTTTTTTATGCTGAATTCAATTCTTAAAGCAGAGCTTAACTCTTTCAACCAACTGCCTGTCAGAGAATCTTTGAATCCACTTATGACCATGAATCTCCACCCTCTTTGCTTCAAGATGTCTCACCTTTCTGGGCCAAACCAACATATACCTTATGTATATTGATTTATGTCTTTGCCTGTAACTTCTCTCTCCCTAAAATGTATAAAACCAAGCTGTAACCCAACTACTTTAGGCACATGTTTTTAGGACTTCCTGAGGCTGTGCATGGGTCAAGGTCTTTAATCTTGGCCAAATAAACCTCTAAATTGATTGAGTCCTATCTCAGATACTTTTTGGTTTACAAGGGTTATTGTGGCAGATTAGACTATTGCTCCCAATTCTTTGCTCCTTCCCTGTAACAATTACACAGCCATGATACAAGTACAGGTTTAAATAGGTTTGCTTGGTTTGGTTTGTCTCTCCCACTACATCCATCAGCCATGAAAAGAACATGCCACAGGTAGCCACAGATCCCAGCATGAAAAGACACATGGAACATACGTGAAGCCAACCTTCAATGAGAGCCTCACCAATCCAATCCCAGTGGAACCTAGTGGAGCCCAGCCAATCCACCAACTTGTGAATGAGAAAAAGATATGTTTGTCTTTGCAAACTGCTGAGTACAGCTTGAGGATAAGCTTTACTCACCTCCAAGTACAGGGGGTAAGCACACAGCATTATCACAAAAAAAAATTACTGAAAACCATGATAATTGTGGGGCTTTAACTCCACTAAATGCAAAAGAGGATACAAGCATTTGGATTTAACTTAGCAATTTTTTCCTCTGTTTGTGGGTAAAGGTTTAACAAAACCCTGCCTTTCTGCAAGAGGTACTGACCTTCTATTTACTTTCTAGCTTGATTCCTCTGGAAATCTGATAACTATGGAAAGCCTTGTGTTACTAGGTAGCAATGCTTAGGTAAAAGAGACCCCTGAGTGGCTGATTGCTTGTGGATGTGACACCAGATAAGTCATAATTTGAGACTTCTCTTCCACTAGAAGCCACCTACATTAGTTTCCTAGAACTGTCATTAAAAATTATAACACTGGTGACTTAAAACAATAGAAATTTATTCTGCCATAGTTCTGGATATTAGAAGTGTAAAATCCAGGCGTGAGCAGGGCCATGCTCTCTCTGAAGGCTCTAGGGAACTGTCCTCTCTTGCCTCTTCTGGCTAGTGGTGGTTTCTGGCAATCCTTGTTGTTTCATGGCTTATGAAGGCATCGCTCCAATCTCTTCCTCTGTCTTCACATGGATTTCTGCTTTGTGTGTCTCTATGTCTGGCCAGTTTGTGGTGCATATGTTTGAATTGCATCAGTGGGAAATTGAGTTGAGTGGGAACTTAAGTCACTTAGATAAACCAAAATCTATTTACATATCGGTAAAAATCAACTCAAATGGTATGCTTTTCTCATGAGAGGCCGCATGTTCAAATGTAAGAAAAAGATGCAATTACAAATTGGCCTGATTTTATTTCACTTCTTGGGTTGTGTTAGGATATAATGTATCCTCATGGGAAAAAGAAATTACAGACTTAATTTGCATAGTAGACTGATTTACACACACACACACACACACACACACACACGAAGGGAGAGAGATGTCATCAGTTCTGAGAGTATTATTTGTTCATCTACATTTGAGAGGTCCAAGAGTCTCCACCATGTAAAAGCCCCAAGAGATCATCAGTAAGAGACTGGGCTCTATTGACATCAAGAGAAATTAATATGATTAATTAATGAGGCCCCTTTTGTTGCTGAGAAATTGTAGGTATAAGCATTTTTAATTGTTTTTAGGGATATGAGGTTTTTCAATTGAGTAAGTGAAGAAAATAGGTAGAATATATCCCTCCCAATACCCATTGGATAAAACTGTTGGTGATGGTCGTTTTTCCACCATTTTAGTCCAGATTGACCGCTCTTGATTTCTTTCAACTGGGTGTATGAGCCACACTCACTCTTGCCAGACACTCTTGCCAGGAGCCTATAATACTCTCTCCCTCCCCACTTCAACACTAAGTTATCCTGTCTGTCTTCCACTTATCCTTAGGAGCACAGCCTAAATGACACTTGTCACAGGAGGCCTACTTTAACCCCCACAAGCAGGGGCATTTCCCTTGTTATGGGGATTTTATTGTTGTTGTTTACTAAATTGTCTTCAAAACTAAGAGCTCAGGCAATGTTTACCAATCTTGCTCACTGCTGTATCCTCAGAAAGTATTACAGGGCTTGATGAGGGCAGAATAAGGATTTATTATAAGAGGAAGGAAATAATGAAAGTCTACAATGACATAGTTAGAACTGAGATTATTATGTGATTGATCTTCACCAAACAACCCAACCAGCAGGAAAAGAATATTTTCAGGAGTAAATCTAGGCTTTATGACATATATTGATCCAATTAGTAGCCTCTTGCTCTCACTTGGTTTATGCATACTGTATTGTAATCTTGAGTTCTCTAAAAGGTAAAGTTAACCTTGAGCAATATGAAAACTATAGTTCTCATCCTTTGACCACATGACTGACCAAGGCAACTGTCATGGTGACTGGACCCCAAGGTCCAGCCAAGGGCGCTGCTCTGCACACCCACCATAGCAACTCCATGATATACAGGAAGGGTTGGAAATGAGTGAATGTCATAGGGAGGATGTCTGGATGGGAGTATGAAGGAGAATGTAAAGCAATGGTTAGGCTTCCAGACACCAAAATAATCACATTTATGTCTAAAGGAGAGATAAAATCTGCACCCCCTGCATCCCCAGTGGTAGTGTTACAGGAAAGGGGTTCCAATCCAGACCCCAAGAAAGGGTTCTTGGATCTTGCACAAGAAAGAATTCAGGGCAAGTCCACAGAGTAAAGTGAAAGCAAGTTTATTAGGAAAGTAAAGGAATAAGAGAAAGGCTACTCCATAGACAGAGCAGCCCTGAGGGCTGCTGGTTGTCCATTTTTATGGTTATTTCTTGTTTATATGCTAAACAATGGGTAGATTATTCATGCCTCCCATTTTTAGACCATATAGGGTAACTTCCTGATGTTTCCATCACATTTGTAAACTGTCATGGTGCTGCTGGGAGTATAGCAGTGAGGAAGACCAGAGGCCATTCTCATCACCATTTTGGTTTCCATGGGTTTCAGCTGGCTCCTTTACTACTACCTGTTTTATCAGCAAGGTCTTTATGACCTATATTTTATGCTGACCTCCTTTCTCAACCTGTGACTTAGAATGCCTTAACCATCTGGGAATGCAGCCCAGTAGGTTTCAGCCTCATTTTTCCCAGCTCCTATTTAAGATGGAGTTGCTCTGGTTCACATGCCTCTGACAGTAGGTGCCTCAGGAAAGCAAGGACATTCATCTTGGGATGAGAGAATAGGGTTACAAACACCATTCTGAAACCAAGAATCAGGTCAGGAGAGAAAGCAATCTAGAGCATTCAAAGAGATTCCTCTCTAGCCCAGCCCCATGATGAGAAGCATGTTGACTTCTTTGAAGAGGTTCCAGGAAATCTGGAAGAGGAAGTCTAAAAGAACTTTTAACTTTTATAGGAGATACCATCCAAGGGCATGAGAAGTGTTAACAAACTCAGGATGAGCTCTCCTCACTCCTGGGACTGAATGAGCTCAGCCCTTTATGGGCACAGATTCAGCCCATTGTTGTGTTCAAAGCAGAAATAGCTGGAGCAGGACCTGGATCTGTCAGAGCCTGAAGAACTCACACCAGAGACCACAGGGAGCAGCACAGGAGCATGGAGCCTACAGGCCCCAGAAGGGAGGCCTGCATCAGTTGGCATCTGGGTGAGAAAACAGAAACCACACTACCAATTTAACAGAGAGGACCTAATATAGGGAACTGGCCAGAGACATTTGGGAGGACTGCAGAGCACAAGAGAAACTGCCGTGCTGCAAAAACAGCAACCACAGAAAGCAGCTTTATATCCTGGGACTGGAGGAGCAAAGAGAGTTTGAGGCCATGGTCAGTGAGAAAGCCAGTGAAGGGACTGCACTGAGCTGGACCAGAGACCCTGAGGAGAGTGGCTTTCCTGGGTGGCCTTGGTCTTCCTGTGGCATAAAGAGATCCCACAGGGCTTCAGCCTGAGGATGCATGCTACTCAGTGCATGCTGCTTCCTCAGCAGCTCGGAGGAGAGCCACCCTCGACAGGGATTGAAACCCCAGAGTAGGCAACACTGGTGACTATGTGCCAGCATCTCTGAGGGGCCAAATGAGGCTGCTCCTGCAAGTGTAAAAGCTGAGAGCAGCTGCTGTCCTTGGACCAAATCACTGCTGCAAAGCTAAGGAATCATCCTCAGGATGATGCTGACAGAAGCTGGAAGCAAATGGGACAGAGCAGGTCCCTGCTCTCTCCCAGCCTTCCAGGATCCCTCTAGGGCCCACTCTGGGCAGAGACTAACAGAAATCCAGCTGCAAAGGAAAAATAAGGTTTGCAGCATCCCAGGCTCAGAGTTGCAGAGATGGGTTTGGAACTGAAAGACAATAGGTTAAGAGTGAGCACAGTTGCTGCCCAAGGAACTCAGGACCCTCAGGTCTGGACCGGCTCAGGCAGCTACCTGAGCACAGAGGGAAGCAGGAGGATGTGGTTTGTTCTCTGACATGCAGACCCACATAACGGTCCTGGTGGGCAGCCAAAGTAGCATCCCAGGGAAGCTGAGTGGAGGTTGGATCATCATTTGGGCTCTGAATTTTTCCACTTATGATATAGCTAACATAGGTGACAATTCCATCTTAGAAATCACACATTTGCAGTGCTATCTAATCACAACTGTTGATTCTAATTCAGAAAAATGAAGCATTCTGATGGGCCTAATACTCCTGATTTTTCTATTATATGCTGAGGACAACTGTTTAAGAGGGAAAAGACAGCATATAGGAGCATACAAATGCAGATCAATTCAGCATAAAACTACCAACAAGTTCCGACTCAGATGTATGGTCTGCCAAAGACATGAGGCTCACTCACCCTAAAACAGGACAAAAGCAAGACCCCATCACAAGTTGGCTCTCGAATGTGACATGGAGCAAGCATAAGGAGATGTTGTCTTCAAGACCCCAGTCCCCTTCCTTATGCCGTGTTTGTATAGAGAGTGCCAGGGGCTCTGTCTATCTGGGCTGCTGAGATGCCAGGATGCAGCTGTGGTGCCTGTCTTATGGGTAGAGCTCTCATTCAAAGAGGGAACTGGGCTCACCTAAGTTGGTGGTGAAGGATGAAATCCTAACCCTGCCTCTGGGCTATGTCCCCTCCCAAATGGGGTGTGCCAAATGCCATTCTTGCTTGCCTTTGATAAAAATAACTCCTCCTCCACCAGCATCATTTTCCAAGAGAAAGAGGGTCCTTAGATTAAATTTAAAAGTTCAGTCAGGAAGACTAAAAATATAAGGGCTTGTGGTTGGAAAATTACTGAAAGAAAGAACGCATTTTCCTTGACTAATATACATTATGAAAGACAAAAAGCAGAGAAATGGGTAAAATGGAAATTCTGTCACTTCTCCATGGCTCTTGAAGCCATGATACTGTGAAGTCATAGCCACTCATTGAAGGTACTGCCTGCAGGATGCCTATGGGGTCATAACATTGTCTTGTTTAATCACAGGACTAATATTAAGTGATAGCATAATGGGGAAGCAAGAGCTGCTTCCCAGTCTCAGCTAAAGGAGGCAAACTGGCTCCAGTTCCTGCAAAAGCATCCAAGAAAAGAACAAAATCCTAGTTGTTAGGTCGGTTGGAGAAAAAGGATGCATTTGTTCCTGAGAAGGCAAACCACCAAGCAAGATAGCATCCTAGCAAGGAGAGATGCTCTGCCTGCACCAAGACAGCTACAGAGTGAAGGACCTGCTGCTTATGTAGGGCTCAAAGGACAAGATAAGCCAAGACCAAGGTAGGGGGCTCAACTGAACTAGGAAGAGCAAGAGATCCAAAGACTGAAATGGACCTGTTTAAGTTTGGAGGACAGGAAAAAAAAAGGTGTTGACCCTGAATGAAGGTGGGTTTTGGGATCAGGGAGATAAATCAGATCTGAGGAAAGGATGATGGTCCAGCTCTGTCAGGTAATTCTCCCAATTTGCCTTTCTTGGGTAGAAGTGGTGTCATTCATCAGCCTGAACATTCCTAAGAAACAAGGTTCACTTTTGTATTGGAGACCACTGAAATGGTTTCTCTTTTACCCACCCGAATTGCTTCACCTCAATGAGTCATTTTTATACAGCCAAGACCACAGCTGCTCACAGCCCTTACCTGTGTGGTCCCACACCACCCAGCCCCACTTACACTTCCCAGCCAGCCACGGCAACCATCACTCCAAGCCAGGCAGAGGTGAGGGGCTGTGACATCCAGGCTTCCTCAGTGATCACACACCAACAGTGAGATCTTAAACTTATATAACACTTGATATCATTTTCTTCACTTCTGTTGATCAATCTTGGCACCATCTCTAGTTTGATTTATTGCCCTCGTTATAGTTAGAAGGAAATGGAGGCTCCAATGGGTTGAGTGTCTGAGTCTGCACTTGAACCCAGATCTTCCCCCTCTCAGTTCAGGGCTCTTTCCACACTCACACTTCTTCTCTAAGCATCTACAACACCATCACCCCACACATGAAATGCAACACTCATTTTTTTTTTTTAAGTTCTGGGATACATATGTGGAACGTGCAGGTGTGTTACATAGGTATACATGTGCCACGGTGGTTTGCTGCACCTATCAACCCATCATCTAGGTTTTAAGCCCCACATGCATTAGGTATTTGTCCTAATGCTCTCCCTCCCCTTGCCCACCACCCTCCGACAGCCCCTAGTGTGTCATGTTCCCCTCCCTGTGTCCACGTGTTCTCATTGTTCAACTCCCCCTTATGAGAAAGAACATGCAGTGTTTGGTTTTCTGTTCCTGTGTTAGTTTGCTGAGAATGATCGTTTCCAGTTTCATTCATGTCCCTTCAAAGGAAATGAACTCATTCTTTTTATGGCTGCATAATACTCCATGGTGTATAAGTGCCACTTTTGCTTTATCCAGTCTATCAATGAAGGGCATTTGGATTGGTTCCAAGTCTTTGCTATTGTAAATAGTGCTGCAGTAAACGTGCGTGTGCATGTGTCTTTATAGTAGAATGATTTATAATCCTTTGGGTATATATGCAGTAATGGGATTGCTGGGTCAAATGGTATTTCTGGTTCTAGATCCTAGAGGAATCACCACACTGCATGCCACAATGAGTGAACTACTTTACACTCCCTCCAACAGTGTGAAAGTGTTCCTATTTCTCCACATCTTTGCCAGCATCTGTTGTTTCCTGATTTTTTAATGATCACCATTCTAACTGGCATGAGATGGTATCTAATTATGGTTTTGATTTGCATTTTTCTAATGACCAGTGATGATGAGCTTTTTTTCATATGTTTGTTGGCCACATAGATGTCTCCTTTTGAGACATGTCTGTTCATATCCTTCACCCACTTTTTGATGGGTTCTTTTTTTCTTGTAAATTTGTTTAAGTTCCTTGTAGATTCTGGATATTAGACCTTTGTCATATGGATAGATTGCAAAAATCTTCCCCCATTCTGTAGGTTGCCTGTTCATTCTGATGATAGTTTATTTTGTTGTGCAGAAGTTCTTTAGTTTAATTAGATCCCATTTGTCAATTTTAGCTTTTGTTGCCATTGCTTTTGGTATTTTAGTCGTGAAGTCTTTGCCCATGCCTATGTCCTGAATGGTATTGCCTAGGTTTTCTTCTATGGTTTTTATGGTTTTAGGTTTTATGTTTAAGTCTTTAATCTATATTTAGTTAATTTTTGTATAAGGTACAAGGAAGGGGTCCAGTTTCTGTTTTCTGCATATGGCTAGCCAGCTTTCCCAGCACTATTTATTAACTAGGGAATCCTTTCCCCATTGCTTGTTTTTCTCAGGTTTGTCAAAGATTCGATGGTTGTAGATGTGTTGTGTAATTTCTTTTTCTTTTTCTTTTCTTTTCTTTTTTTTTTTTTTTTGAGACAGAGTCTCGCTCTGTCACCCAGGCTGGAATGCAGTGGTGTGATCTTGGCTCACTGCAACCTCTACCTCATAGGCACAAGCAATTCTCCTGCCTCAGCCTCCCGAGTAGCTGGGACTACAGGTGCCCACCACCATGCCTCGCTAACTTTTTGTATTTTTGTTAGAGAATTGGTTTCACAATATTGGCAAGGCTGGTCTCAAACTCCTGACTTTGTGATCTGCCTGCCTCAGTCTCCCAAAGCACTGGGATTACAGGCATGAGCCACCACACCTGGCCACATGTGGTTTTATTTCTGAGGCCTCTGTTCTATTCCATTGGTCTATATATCTGTTTTGTTACCAATACCATGCTGTTTTGTTTACTGTAGCCTTGTAGTATAGTTTGAAGTCAGGCAACATTATGCCTCCAGCTTTGTTCTTTTGGCTTAGGATTTTCTTGGCTATATGGGCTCTTTTTTGGTTCCATATGAAATTTAAAGTAGTTTTATCCAATTCTGTGAAGAAAGTCAATCATAGCTTGATGGGAATAGCTTGAATCTATAAATAACCTTGGGCAATATGGCCATTTTCATGAAATTGATTCTTCCTAGCCATGTGCATGGGATATTTGTTTGTGTCCTCTCTTATTTCCTTGAGCAGTGATTTGTAGTTCTCCTTGAAGAGGTCCTTCACATCCCTTGTAAGTTGCATTCCTAGGTATTTTATTCTCTTTGTAGCAATTTTGAATGGGAGTTCACTCATGATTTGGCTCTCTGCTTGTCTATTATTAGTGTATAGGAATGCTTGTGATTTGTGCACATTGATTTTGTATCTGAGACTTTGCTTATCAGCTTAAGGAGATTTTGGGCTGAGATGATGGGGTTTTCTAAATATACAGTCATGTCATCTGCAAACAGAGACAATTTGACTTCCTCTTTTCCTAACTGAATACCCTTTATTTCTTTCTGTTGCCTGATTGCCCTGGCCAGAACTTCCAACACTATGTAGAATAGGAGTGGTGAGAGAGGACATCCTTGTCTTGTGCCAGTTTTCAAAGGGCATGCTTCCAGTTTTTGCCCATTCAGTATGATATTGGCTGTGGGTTTGTGATAAATTGCTCTTAATATTTTGAGATATGTTCCATCAATACCTAGTTTATTGAGAGGCTTTAGCATGAAGCGGTGTCAAATTTTATCAAAGGCCTTTTCTGCATCTATTGAGATAATCATGTGGTTGTTGTCATTGGTTCTGTTTATGTGATGGATTATATTCATTGATTTGCGTGTGTTAAACCAGCCTTGCATCCCAGGGATGATGCTGACTTGATCCTGGTGGATAAGCTTTTTGATGTGCTGCTGGATTCGGTTTGCCAGTATTTTACTGAGAATTTTTGCATCAATGTTCATCAGGGATATTGGCCTGAAATTTTCTTTTTTTGTTGTGTCACTGCCAGATTTTGGTATCAGGATGATACTGGCTTCATAAAATGAGTTAGGGAGGAGTCTCTCTTTTTCTATTATTTGGAATAGTTTCAGAAGGAATGGTACCAGTACCATTTTGTACCTCTGGTAGAATTTGCCTGTGAATTTGTCCTGTCCTGGGCTTTTTTGGTTGGTAGGTTATTAATTCCTGCCTCAATTTCAGAACTTGTTATTGGTCTATTCAGGGATTCAACTTCTTCCTGGTTTAGTCTTGGGAGGGTGTATGTGTCCAGGAATTTATCCATTTCTTCTAGATTTTCTAGTTTATTTGCATAGAGATGTTTATAATATTCTCTGATGATAGTTCGTATTTCTGTGGGATCAGTGGTGATATCCCCTTTATCATTTTTATTATGTCTATTTGACTCTTCTCTCTTTTCTTCTTTATTAGTCTGGCTAGCAGTCTATCTAGTTTGTTAATCTTTTCAAAAAACCAGCTCCGGGATTCACCAATTTTTTTAAAGGGTTTTTATGTGTGTCTCTTTCTCTTTTGCTTTCACTTCTCTAGTTCTTTTAATTGTGATGTTAGGGTGTTGATTTTAGATCTTTCCCACTCTGATATGGGCATTTAGTGCTAAAATTTCCCTCTTAACACTGCTTTATCTGTGTTCCAGAGATTCTAGTACATTGTCTCTTTGTTCTCATTGGTTTCAAAGAAGTTCTTTATTTCTGCCTTAATTTCTGCCGTTATTTACCCAGTAGGCATTCCAGAGCAGATTGTTCAGTTTCCATGTGCTGTGTGGTTTTGAGTCAGTTTCTTAATCCGCAGTTCTAATTTGATTCCACTGTGGTCTGAGAGGCTGTTTGTTATTATTTCCATTGTTTTGCATTTGCTGAGGAGTGTTTTACTTCCAATTATTTGGTTGATTTTAGAATAAGTGCTATGTGTTGCTGAGAAGAATGTATATTCTGTTGATTTGGAGTGGAGAGTTCTGTAGATGCCTATTAGGTCTTTTTGGTCCAGAGCTGAGTTCCTCAATACCCTTGTTAATTTTCTGTCTTGTTGATCTGCCTAATATTGTTAGTAAGGTGTTAAAGTCTCCCACTATTATTGTGTGGGAGTCTAAGTCTCTTTGTAGTCTCTAAGAACTTGTTTTATGAATCTGGGTGCTTCTATATTGGGTGCATATATATTTAGGATAGTTAGCTCTTCTTGTTGCATTGATCCCTTTACCATTATGTAATGTCCTTCTTTGTCTCTTTTGATCTTTGTTGGCTTAAAGTCTGTTTTACCAGAGACTAGGATTGCAACCATGCTTTTTTTCTTTCTATTTGTTTGGTAAATATTCCTCCATCCCTTTATTTTGAGCCTCTATCCCTTTATTTTGAGCCTATGTGTGTCTTTGCACATGAGATGGGTCTCCTGAATACACAACACTGATGGGTCTGGACTCTTTATCCAATTTGCCAGCATGTGTCTTTTAATTAGGGCATTTAGCCTATATATATATTAATGTTATGTTTGAATTTGATCCTGTCATTATGATGCTAGCTGGTTATTTTGCACATTAGTTGATGTAGTTTCTTCATAGAGTCATTGGTCTTTATATTTTGCTGTGTTTTTGCAGTGGCTGGTAGCGGTTTTTCCTTTCCATATTTAGTGCTTCCTTCAGGAGCTTTTGTAAGGCCTGCCTTATGGTGTCGCCTCATGGTGACAAAAATCTCTCAGCATTTGCTTGTCTGTAAAGGATTTTATTTCTCCTTCTTTTATGAAGCTTAGTTTGGCTGGTGATGAAATTCTGACTTGAAAATTCTTTTCTTTGAGAATGTCGAATATTGGCCCCACTCTTTTCTGGCTTGTAGGGTTTCTACAGAGAGATCTGCTGTTAGTCTGATGGACTTCCCTTTGTGAATAACCTGACTTTTTTCTCTCTGACATTTAACATCTTTTCCTTCATTTCAACCTTGGAGAATGTGATGATTATATGTCTTGGGGTTGCTCTTCTCAAGGAGTATCTTAGTGGTGTTCTCTGTATTTTCTGAATTTGAATGTTGGGTTGTCTTGCTAGGTTGGGGAAGTTCTCCCGGATAATATCCTGAAGTGTGTTTTCCAACTTGATTCCATTCTCCCCATCACTTTCAGTTACCCCAATCAATCTTAGGTTTGGTCTTTTCACATAGTCTCATATTTCATGGAAGGTTTGTTCATTCCTTTTCATTCTCTTTTCTCCAATCTTGTCTTCATACCTTATCTCAGTAAGTTGATCTTCAATCTCTGATATCCTTTCTTCTGCTTGATTGATTCAGCTATTGACACTTGTGTATACTTCACTAAGTTATCATGCTGTGTTTTTCAGCTCCATCAGGTCATTTGTGTTCTTCTCTACACTGGTTATTTTAGTTAGCAGTTCCTGTAACCTTTTATCAAGGTTCTTAGCTTCCTTGCATTGGGTTAGAACATGCTCCTTTAGCTCAGAGGAGTTTGTTATTACCCACCTTTTGAAGCCTACTTCTGACAATTCATCACATTTATTCTCCAACCAGTTTTGTGCCCTTTCTGGAGAGGAGTTGCGATCATTTGGAAGAGAAGAGGCATTCTGGTTTTTGGAATTTTCAGCATATTTGCGCTGATTTTTCCTCATCTTTGTGGGTTTATCTGCCTTTGATCTTTGAGGCTGATGATCTTCGGATGGGGGTTTTGCGTGGGGGTTGCTTTAGTTGATATTAATGTTAATGCTGTCTGTTTGTTAGTTTTTCTTCCAACAGTCAGGCCCCTCTTCTGCAGGTCTGCTGAAGTTTGCTGGGGGTCCACTCCAGACCATTTGCCTGGGTATCACCAGTGGAGGCTGCAGAACAGCAAAGATTGCTCCCTGTTCCTTCCTCTGGAAGCTTCCTCCCAGAGGGGCACCAGCCTGATGCCAGCCAGAGTTCTCCTGTATGAGGTGTCTGTCAACCCCTGTTGGAAGGTCTTTCCCAGTCAGGAGGCATGGGGGTCAAGTACCCATTTGAGTAGTCAGTCTGTCCCTTAGTAGAGCTCAAGCACTGTGCTGGGTGAATCCTCCTTGTGAATCTGGGTGAATCTGCTCTCTTCAGAGCCAGCAGGCAGGAACATTTAAGTCGGCTGGAGCTGCACCCACAGCTGCTCCTTCCCCCGATGCTCTGTCCCAGGGAAATGGGAGTTTTATCTATAAGCCCGTGACTGGAGCTGCTGCCTTTCTTTCAGAGATGCCCTGCCCAGTGAGGAGGAATCTAGAGAGGCAGTCTGGCCACAGCCTCTTTGCTGGGCTGTGGGGAGTTCCACCCACTCCCAACTTCCCAGCCTCCTTAGCACTGTCAGGGGAAAATCACCTGCTCAAGCTTCAGTAATGGCAGACACCCCTCCCCATACCAAGCTCGGTCATCCCAGGTTGACTTCAGACTGCTGCGCTAGCAGCAAGAATTGCAAGCCAGTGGTTCTTAGCTTGCTGGACTTCATGACAGTGGGACCCACTGAGCGAGACCACTTGGCTCCCTGGCTTCAGTTCCCTTTCCAGGGGAGTGAACGGTTCTGTCTTGCTGGCATTCCAGGTGCCACTGGAGTATAAAAATAAAATAAAACTCCTGCAGCTAGCTTAGTGTCTGCCCAAAGAGCTGCCCAGTTTTGTGCTTGAAACCCAAAGCCCTGGCGCTATAGGCACATGATGGAATCTCCTGGTCTGTGGATTGCAAACCCCATGCAAAAAGTGTAGTATCTGGGCTGGATAACACAGTCCCTCAGCTTCCCTTGGCTGCAGGAGGGAGGCCCCTGGCTCCTTGCGCTTCCCGGGTGAGGCTATGCCTCACTCTGCTTCTTTCTGCTAGCCCTCTGTGGGCTGCACCCACTGCCTAACCAGCCCCATGAGATGAAGAGGGTACCTCAGTTGGAAATGCAGAAATCACCCACCTTCTATGTTGGTCTGCTGGAAGCTGCAGACCGGAGCTCTTCCTATTTGGCCATCTTGCCAGATCCTCCAAAATGCAACACTCTTTATGTCTTTCTTTTTATATTCATCATCATAAGTGCAAGTCTGTTTAATTAGATTACCAGCTTTGTAAGAATGTCAATCAAGTCTTATATTTCTATTTTGCTGAATTACTAATGCTCTCTTAAACTCTCAATGCATGTCTAAGTCTTTTTTACTTTTCAAATCCATTGTAAAATATAGAAAATGTAAAAAATGATAAGAAATTAAGATGAGTAACACTATAAACTCTCTTCATTACATGTTGAAAACCTCTGAGTAATCATACAGGGTCATTGGTGCTGGTTTTCAAAGCCATGTTTATTGGAAAGTGAGACCACTGAGGGTTTCAACATGTTATTTGGGACTCAGAATTCACTTAGAAGAGATTAAACTGTCTGTAAGAATCTACGTGCCAAAGCTACAGTCAGCTACAATTCATCAAATACTTGAGTCAATGAGCTTCTGATGAATGATAATGAGAATACTGGATGAAGAACCATCCCATCTAAATCAAATATCAAACTCTACTCTCAGCTTCACACACATATCGAATGATATGTTTCTATTCAATTCCAAGATACAACTAAACATTCACATCTTAGTTCTGTCATCTTTAATGGATCATGATAAAGATAATGGATTTTCCAGTGCAGTTTTGTAATAGCATGGAGCACAAGCACAAGACCTGTCTTTATTAGACACAGAGGATTCGTTCACCCAGTTTTATCTGAAACAATGGAAGGATAGCAATGCCTTACTACAATGCCGTTTAACTTATTAGAGCTGACTCATGGCAGCTGTCCTCGCTCCAGGCCAATTAGGTAGGTCAGATACTCAGAATCTGAAGTGTTAGTAAGAAGAAAAGACAAAAGCAGAAACAACAGTTTGCATTAAAATCAAACTATTTTTGAAGTCCAAGTGGCTCCAGAGGAAACAGTTGAGGTAAGATAATGGGGGTAGAAGGTTTCCTAGAGGCCAGTGGTCACCTTAAAACAAAGCTTCAGTCTGACAACCCTTCAGGGGCTGTGGGGTCCACAATTCTGCCTAACTTTTTAGACCCACACAGCTGAATTCTAGGTGTGATTTTAGAATTTACACCCTGAGTGTTGTACATACAAAAGGAAAATGTTTGATGTGGCTATGAGTTGAAAACACAAGGAACACTTTTCTCCTCCTAGGCCCTGTGTTTCTCTGCCAACTCAGCACTGACACCACCTTGGAGTCAGACCAAGAGATCTGGTGTCTCAGAGGCTGGTGGGTCACACCTACCGCAATCCCCCCATCACCAAGTCTCAGGGAACCAGCACTCCCAGCTCATCCATGCACAGGTTCTGCTGGGTTAGAAAAAACAAGTCTATTTACCTCCCAGTCCAGAAACTTGCTCATCAGACTCCACTAAAACTGCAGTCTCCAAGGACAAAAACTTCAGAAGACACAAGTTAATTTCTGAAGAAAGGGAAAAGCTTCCTGAGGGCTGCTTTGACCTCCTTGTTTCTCAAAGTATAGATGAGGGGGTTGAGGGTAGGACTCAGCACAGTGTACAGCAGGCCAGCCAACTTGCTCTTCCCTGCGCTGTAGCCAGAGACCGGGCTTATGTAGGCGTAGAAGACAGCGGTGTAATACATGCACACCACGGTGAGGTGGGAAGAGCAGGTGGAGAAGGCTTTCTGCCTCCCCCAGGCAGTCTTCACCTTCAGGATGCTGGAGACGATGAAGCCATAGGACGCGATGGTCATCAGGAAGTTCACTATGCCGTAGAAAGCATCCGCCAGGACAATCATGACACCGTTGACGTAGGTGGAGCTGCAGGAGAGAAGCAGCAGGGGAGGGACCTCGCAGAAGAAATGGATAATGACATTGGGGCCACAGAAATCCAAGCGCAGCATCAGCCCCGTGTGGATGGCCGTGTTGACGGCGCAGAGCAGCCACACGGCTGTGGCCAGCCCGCTGCAGAACACCTTGCTCATCATGCTGCTGTAATGCAGCGGGTGGCAGATGGCTGCGTACCGGTCATAGGCCATGACCGTGAGGAGCAGCAGCTCTGAGGATGCAGCCCACGTGAGGAAATAGAGCTGGGCCATGCAGCCCCCGTAGGAGATGGAGCTCTCTTCCGACACCAGACTGGCCAGCGCCTTGGGCATGATGGAAGAGGTGCAGATAATGTCCATAGTAGCCAAGTTGAGTAAGAAAAAGTACATAGGAGCGTGGAGCCCAGGGTTGAACGTGATGGCCAAGGTGATGAGGACATTACCTGTGAGGGCCCCAGAGTAGAGGAAGAGGAAACAGCTGAATAAGAACACCCGGTATTCTGGGTGCTCCGAAAAGCCCTGCAGGATGAACTCGGTTACCAACGTCTGGTTACTCATCATCCTTGGGCTGGGACGGGTTTCTGGGACTATCAGGTGACTCTCCATCCACAGCTTCATGTGATTTCAGAGCTAGAGAGATAAACAAGAGGTGTCCTGAGGAAGGCTGCTCCCGTGTTTCTTCCACACCTCACATCACTGCATGAAAGATAGAGATGCATTAGGGCATATTGATTAAGATAAACACCCCAATATTACAGTAGAAAAAAGGCGTGAACACTCAGTTTATAAAAAATAAATACAGTTGGCCAGTTAAACTCATGAAGCATCATTCAACCTCAAACAAATGCAAATTAAATCCATGATCTAGTCTTCATCATCCATGATCTGGCAAAGTTAGAAAAGCATGATATTAACTAGCATTAGAATGGCTGCAAAGATGCAGGCCTTTTAAAATATGTATTCCATTTGAGCCGGAACTTCCTCTTCCAGAAATGTATCCTAAGGAATAATAAAAAGCATCCTGAAGGTGTCAGAGCAGCACTATTTATAATAGTGGAAATTTAAAACAATCTATACCCTTAAACGTGAGTATATTATGGTAAATTGATATAAATGCTGTCTAATTATCAAAGTAATGCTTTGGAAGTGTTTTACTGATGCTTTTAAAAGGAGAATGACACTTTGGGAGGCCGAGGCAGGCAGATCACTTGAAGCCAGGAATTCAAGACCAGCCTGTCCAAAATGGTGAAACCCCATTCTCTACTAAAAATACAAAAATTAACCTGACACGGTGGTGGTGGATGTCTGTAATCCCAGCTACTTGGAAGGCTGAGGCAGGAGAATCGCTTGAACCTGGGAGGCAAGGTTTCGGTGAGCTGAGACCACGATGCTGCACTCTAGCCTGGGCGACAGAGTGAGACTGTCTCAAAAAAAATTGTTTTAATTTTAAAAAAAGGAAAGAATGAAAAAAAATTTAAAATAATGTGTACAATAGGATCTCATTTTTAAAAAAAAAATTAAAAAAGCAGATTTGTTTCCACTGATATTGAGGATAGTGAAAAATTTAAAATAAAAATAAAATGTAAAAGCATGTTTGTATATGCACCTGTAGGAAAAACACTGGTGAGTGCTAGACCAGAGCTTGAACAGTGATTGTTTTCACTTTTTAAATTTTTGCTGGTCTGTATTTTCTACTTTTTCTATAAAATGACCTCTCTAAAAGGCAGATGTATCACACAGAATCCTCCTTACAACAGTTCTTCCATGGCTTCCCATTGCCAAAAGAATAAATGCTCCCAGCAACTTTTCCTGGATCCACCTCCTCTCCAGCCTTTCTTCCCACTCATCTTAAAGCCAGAACTCCAGCCATGCCCTGCACTCACAGACTGGCTGATGCACCAAGCCATTCCAGGATTTCTTGGTTTTGTTCTTCCCACTCCCTGAGCCAGGAATGCCCTTTTTCTCATGAACCAGGGACATAATCAGCCCCCTCTTTCTGAGCATCCCTTCCCTGGGGAGAAAGTACCACTCTTTCCTTTGTGTTTCCTCTGATACTGACTTCTATCCTAGTACACAATACACGTCACTCCTTGATCAGGTTACTGGACTGTGCCCTAAAAGATTAACACATATGCCCGTTTATCTCTGGACATCCCTTCTTGGCACCCAGCCCCCTGCCTAGCAGGCAGTGTGTAGACACTCAAATATGTGTGTTTAAATAATGCTAAAGAATAGGCTAGTATGAATAACAGCAGAATGACTTATATTCTTAAGTTACTGCACATTCTGTACAGCTCAAGATAAAATCAGCATAGTGCACATTTGGTTTTTCCCTTTCAACTCTTTATTCATTAAAAGTTAAGGAAGAGGCTGGGCGTGGTGACTCACGCCTGTAATCCCAGCACTTTGGGAGGCCGTGGAGGGTGGATCAGAAGGTCAGGAGATCGAGACCTTCCTGGCTAACACGGTGAAACCCCGTCTCTACTAAAAATACAAAAATTAGCCGGGCGTGGTGGCGGGCGCCTGTAGTCCTAGCTACTCTGGAGGCTGAGGCAGGAGAATGGCGTGAACCCGGGAGGCGGAGCTTGCAGTGAGCCGAGATCGCGCCACTGCACTCCAGCCTGGGTGACAGAGCGAGACTCCGTCTCAAAAAAAAAAAAAAAAGTTAACGAAGATATTCATTTTAAAAATGAACATTTGGAAGATGTTTGTTTTAAAAATGAACATTTGGAAGATGTCCATTTTAAATATGTTCATTTTAATTATGTTTTTGTCAAGATTCAAGAAATGTATTTACCACTAAAATATTAAAAGGTTTACACAAAATGACCAAACATCATCTCCAGCTCAGGTCATATCACCTTTTAATAAGGTAAAAACTGTTTTTTGAATAGGCAAGCATAAAATCCCTATGACTCAGAGCAATAAGGCTATATTAGCGTGGGGTATGATCAGAATCAATGGAAATGATGGTGTTCCATCTGTGTATCTTCCCAGCAACAAGGTGTCAGAACAGCTCAATAACTTGAGTGGAAGTAATAAATACAATATGCTTTAGCTGATTTCATTATTGTTTGGGACAAAAAGAGTGAATAATTACTTTCGCTGAGTTTGAGTTGTGGATCTGAAGAAATAACTGTAACTTTATTTGCTCTTATGATGGCCCAGTGAGTGACTCCTCTTTAACTCCAGGGACAGAATTGGATTTTCTCCATCAATGTCCCAGTGTGAGGTTTCTGCACTTCCGACTCATGTCCTCCTCCCTAGAATTCTAGCCACCAGATTTCTCCAGCCATCATGAAATCATGGTGCACTCCACAGTGCATATTACAAACGCACCAGAGTCAGCACAGCTGCAGCTGTACCTGGGAGATGGAAAACGCATCCATCACTGAACACCTACCAAGCAGCAGTGTGCAGAGTCTGTCACGCATCCTTCCTGGAGCAAGAAAACCTATTACGAAGGAAACCTTAAACACAATCTCTCTCTTAGCTCCACAATGAGATTAGAAAAACAATAGCTCTGCAATACAAATGGATGTTTTGAACAGGTGCTGAGCACAAGGAAATTTCCACAAATGTATTCACATTCAAGGAGCAAATTAGCCCTCAGGTAATTACCCACTTATTGTGATTGGGTGGGGACAGGAGGACAGTCTTCTCAATCAACTGGTCAATAATGAGATCAAAGAATCGGGGCTCCAATCCTCTTTCCATGAGAATGACCACAAGATTTCTTTACAGCCTCAGCCAGTCATTTCTTCTGAAAAATAACAAAGACCTTGCTCCCTTGAGTTTCATAGGGCATTTGCTTCAATTCTCAGCCAGCATTACAAGAGTATTACTAAGGGTATGAGGCAAAATAACACAATTTCAGGTAATAAATGGCAAGTTTAAACACATACTGCATTCAGACAACACGATGACATCTCACCAGCAGGCCAACAGGATATTCGAACAGCGGTTATTTTCCACATTTATCAAACCCTTGGGCACTCAAGCTTCTGAAGGGGGAAAAAAGGCATCTTGGATTACATTTATCACTTTAAAGAAATAACAATAATAGTCCTCAAAATCTCTGAAATTAAAAAGGTAATTTCATTGAGTATTTTCTAAAGACAAATTATATTTTACATAAAATACAATTTACTTGTAGTGAGATTATATCTTTGTTCCAATTTATTGTTCATAGTTTCATAAACAGAAAATTTAAAAGATTTAATTAATAATGGAGAACTTGACTCATTTCATTATTTTTATCTCTAAAGCTGTTCAATGATTTTCACAGACACCATATTAATCTAATGTCCTTTTATTGTATATGAAGGTAGGCATTTCTATTGTAGACATGCTTCAAGAACAGAAAACTAAAAATCAGAACATGCCAGAATCGCATATGTTCAGGGTCAAATCTGAAAGACATTTTGAAGATAACTTTGTCCAACCTATTGATTTGGAAAGTCATAAATGTATCTAAATAACTTACCCTGGTCACACAGAGTATTAGTGACACAGCTAGTATCTAGGCTCAAGGCTGTGGGACTACAGTCCAGAATTCATTGCTGTGTAATTTGTTGGTTGCCTCCATAAATCCAGCCCCATCAAATGTCAAAGAAAAGCCATGAAAAAGAAAAATCAACCAATAATTTATACAAACGTATTTAAGGCTGGGGTGTGGAATGTAAACCCTAAACTCTCAGCCACATTTGGCATCCCACTTACCCTGTTGTTTTGTTACTGATCAAATGGTAATAACACATATTCAAATGTTACTGACTCTGGATCAACTCAACAAAAACCATTAAGTCTTTTATATAAGCAAATTAAGCAGACAGAGTTATGAGTAGAACTTTTCCCATTTTTTAAATGTCACTCAATCACCATCCTCAGAACAATCATAATTACCTTAAAAAAAATGATTTCACCTTTGTAGAGTGAACAGACTTTATGTATAGCTGTCCTCTCTCTGCCAAGCACAACTGAGGGTAGAAACATGGTGACATTGAGGCAGTGTGCAACCTGTGATAAGATCAGTCTGAACAGGACTGTTCAGGACTGAACAAGGTTTCCTTCCCATATTTAAGATGGCCTTGCCAAGAATTTGTGACTTATCTTTAGCAACATTTGTCACTGCCTGTGGGAGACACTAGGGAGAGCTGTTCACAACTATTACTCTAAGTGGACCCTGAAGGAGCAATTAAATTAAGTGCTTCTTTACTGGGGACTTGCCTGTCATTGGGGTTCACAGAAAGGCCAATTCAGATTTCTAATCCAAATGTGTAGAAAAGGGTGTGGGCCCAAGTGGGGGAGGAGGGACAGCAGGACACATTCTCTGTCCCAGCTCACAGAATCTGGGTCAGGGCAGACCCAGGCTCAGGTGCTCAGAACGTGTCCACACCTGGGGACTGGAGAAAGACTGTCAGGCAGGCAAGTAGCATTTCTGGACTGCTATCCATGGAAGGCGAGGCATGGAGCAAATGTTTCCATGCTTCTCTGTATAAACCACTCTTTCTAACAGAGCTGGCCTCTCCCTGTCCCTCATAAACAGCTTGGATCTTATTTATCCCTGCTTGATCTCATTTCATCCAAATCCCACCCAGATCTAACTCTATCTCCCCTACCAAACCTTCCCTGACTCCCTGGAAGGAAAGGACCACTCTGTCTGCTGAGTCTCTGTCCCATTCAGGGGTTCTCCACCAGGCTCTGGAGGCAATAACATGGGCTTCAGAGTCTTTCCAGACCTGGGGTAAAATCTCTGAAAGTTACTGGTCATGTGACTTTGGGTGACTGCGCTTAACCTCTCCAGGACTCATTTATAATAATGAAAAGCCTTATCGCCTTATCACAGTACCTAATACAGGAAAGGGGATTGGCAATATTTTATTTCCCTTCTCCCAATTCAGGATGTACGTAGATGTATGTTTTTTCTTCCATATTAGTTAGCAAGCAGAGAGCTGACTAAATATCGATGGGTTTACTATTAAAACGCACTTCAAACAGTTCTAATTTTACTAAGCAGCACTAAACTAAACAGTTCATTAATGGCTTTGAGACTTTACTCTGTTTCTTAAATAGCTGCAGAAACTTGTATAAGTCCGTAGTCTCTCTGAATCCCAATTTTTCAATATATAGAATGGGAATAATTATACCTACCTTCAGAATTTTTGCGGGGACTAAATAAGATGACGTACATGAATCCATTTTAGAAACCATGTTAGTTGTCATTATGAATGGGTCATCTATAGAAATAATTATTCCAAAAAATTCTGCCTTGGCAGTATTAAGCCCAAGCAGATTACCTTTATTTCAACAAAATAAAAGATCCATGAACAAGGAATTCCCTTCCTGTGATGTTAATAATATGCTACCATTCAGGAATAAATGTGTGTTAGGTTAAAAGCTAAACTGTTAACATGAAGAGACCTAAATATATAGTGGCTTCATTTTTTCTCTTTTGCTCAACAATCTGAAGATATACATAAGTTGTGGGGTAGCTTCCAGACTGATGGGGCAGTCTTGCTCCACTAAGTCATTAAAGGATTTAGGTTCCTCTCAAATCAATGATTCTTGATCTCCTACGTGATGATTCTCTTTACCATAAAAGTTGCCATAACCTCTACATTTTAGTTGTAAAAAGGGACAATATAGAAAGCTCAAATAATACAATTTATTTTAAGCAAGTGAGGCAGATATTGTGCACATAACTTCTGCTCATATTTTACAGGCAAAAGTTTAGTTACATTGCTTCACCTAGCTGCCAGGGAAGCTGGGAAATGTGGTCAAGCTGGAAAGATACATGTACAGGAAAAAGGGAGAATGGATTTTTGGAAAAAAACTAATAATTGCCACAAATATGCAAGAGAACTAGAGATAAGGAACTTAGGAATAAAAGACTGGAAGTAAGAATGAATTGTATATGTTACTCCCGAGAACTGAGATTCGAGGAAGAAAAAAAGGATGATTATATACTTACACAAGAAAGAGGGCGGAAGTGAAAAGAAGAGGGTGAAAGAGGTAAACAGGCAATGAACAGTATTAAAAGTTAAAAGAGAAAATCAAGGACATGAATTAAAGAGTTATAATATCCTTACAAGGTATCCAGAAAGAGTCAAAAGTGGTGGAACCCTGAAAAATTATGCAGAACCCCAAAAGTTCCCATTTGATGGAGAAAAATGCTTTGTAGAGTTGTGGAATGACTGACTGAAAGAGAGTAGGATCTGTGCTGCGAGATGACTTGCTGGCCAAGGAAATGCTTGGAAACTTGGAAAAACTTAGGGATCTGGAGAATGTCATGAGGAGTCCTGCCTGGGCAATACCACTGCTCAATTTTTCCAGGCCTATCCCCTAACCTCAGCAAGGACCAGCTATAAAACAATCCTTTTAAAACTTTTTAGTTATTTCTATCACCCAGCCATAGCCTTGGGTGCATTTCATATTTCTCAAGACATTCGCCTTCAACTTTCCCAACATATTATCTTGGGCTTGCATCTTACATGATTAAAAAGAGAAATACCATTGTATCAGAGCTCCTCAACTTAATTACTTCCCATCTCAATCTTTCTACATCTTTAACTTCAGTCTTGGTTGAGCTCCACCCTCTGTGCTTGTTCTTGAGAAACAAGCAAAAGAGCTAAGAAAGGCTTAGAGCAAACTGGTAAACATTGTTATTTTCTTTTAGGTATCCATATTGCGACAGGGTCTTGATATAATATCCATACTAGGTATAATTTGCATACCAGATATTCAAAGAAGTAGGAGAATATGGCCATAGTGAGAAAAATAAAATCAACTCAGAAATGACAAAAATAAGAGAACTAGTAGAGACATTAAAATAGTAGTGATACAAAGAGAGGAACAATAAACACTGGGGCCTACTTGAAGTTGGAGGGTAGGAGAAGGGAGAGGAACAGAAAAACAACTATTGGGTACTAGGCTTAGTACCTGAGTGATGAAATAATAAACAAACTCCTGTGACACGAGTTTACCTACATAACAAACCTGCACATGTACCTCTGAACCTAAGGTAAAAGTTGTAATAAAATAAAATAGTTGTCATAACTATATTTCATATGCTCAAGAAGCTAGAGAAAAGACTTAGCATATCAAATAGAGACAAAGAAGATATAAAAAGATGAACAATTTCTAGAGATGAAAACTACAATGTCTGAAATTAATAATACATTGGATGAGATTAACAGTGGATTAGACATTGCAAAAAAATTAGCAAATTAGGGAAAAGTATAATAAACCTGCCCAAATGAAATAGAAGTGGAAAAATAAACATAAGAACTGTAAGTGAGCTGTAAGACAACCTCAAATAGCCTAATATACATATAATTAGACCCCATAAGGGCATGAGAAATGGGAGAAGAACAGAAAAAAATTTGAATGAATAATGGCTACAATTTTTCTAAATGTAATGAAAAATATAAACCTACAGACTTAATAAGCTCAATGAACCCCAAGCACAATAAATATGAAGAAACTCACACCAAGCCACATGATCAAAATCAATAATAAAAATAAAATCTTAAAAACAGGCAGAGTAAAAAGGCACATTAAGTACAAAGACACAAAGATAAGAATTACAGCAGAGTTTCTATACAATCAGTACAAGCAAGAAGACAGTAGAGAAACACTAAACAGTACTGAAAGAAAAAAACTGTCAATGTAGAATTTTACACTCACTAAAAATACCTTCTGAAAATGAAGAAAAAACATTTCACAAATATAAAAGTTAAAGGAATTCATCATCAGAAGATATGAACAAAAAAAAAATGTTAAAGAAAACCCAGAGACTCACAGTGAGACACACTATAATCAAACTCTCAAAAGTCAAAGACAAAGAGACAATCTTGAAAGCAGCAAAAGAAAGTAACTTGTCATGTAAAAGGAAGCCTTTATAAAATTATCAGTGGATTTATCAACAGAAACCTTGCAGGCCAGAAGGCAGGGGGATAATATATTCAAAGAGCTGAAAGAAAAGAAAATTTCAACCAAAAATATTATATCCAGCAAAACCATCCTTCAAACATAAAGGAAAAATCAGCCTTTCCAGGATGAACAAAAACTGGGGAGTTCATTACCACTGGACCTGCTGTAGTATCTTGCAAGTTGAAACAAAAGGATGCTAAATAGTAACATGAAGTCTTATGAAAATATAAAGCTCTCCAGTAAAGATAAATATATGGACATATATAGAGACTGTACTATGCAGTTTTGGTACATAAATGCACTTTTAATTCTTGTATAGAATTTACAAGACAAAAGCTTAAAAATAACTATAAAACTGTGTTAATGAATACATTACATATGAAGATGTAACTTGTGACATAAGTAACCTAAGGTGAGGGTAGGAGCTTTGAAGAAATAGTTTTTGTACACAGTCGAAGTTATTCTCTTAACAGTTTAAAATAGCTTGTTAACACTTTAAGATGTTTTTTATAATTCTTATGGTAACCATAAAAAAATCTATAGAATACACACAAAAGGAAACAGGAAGGGAATCAAAATGTCACCACAAAAAAAAATCGACAAAACCCAAAAGAGGTCAGTAAGAGAAGGAATAAAAAACAAAATTTACAAAACATACAGGAAACAACAAAATGGCAAGTGTAGGTCCTTCCCTATCAGTAATTACTTTAAATGTAAATGGATTAAACTCCTGAATCAAAAGATATAGACTGGAAAATGGATTTGTAAAAAGGATCCAACTTTATCCTGTCATTTAGGTCTAAGAAACAAATATGCTTAAAATGAAAAAAAGGAAAAGTAAATGCCATGCAAATGGTAAATAAAAGCAAGCAGAAGTGACTATACTACTATCCAACAAAATAGACTTAAAGTCAAAAATAGTCACAAGACAAAAAAATGGATATTATATAACAAAAAGTCAATTCAGCAGAAAGATATAACAATTACAAATATATATACCTCTAATACCAGAGCTCCTAAATATCTGAAGCAAACATTGACAGATCAGAGAGGAAACATAAACAGCATAATAATGGTAGGCGACTTCAATTCCTCACTTACAATAATGGCTAGAACAACAAGACAGAAAATCGATAAGGAAATACAGTACTTGAACAACACTATAAATAGTGCTAACAAACATGTGCAGAACATTCCACCCAATAAAATCAGAATAGTATTTTTCTCAAGTTTACATGGAATATTCCCAAAGATAAATCACATGTTATACCACAAAAAAACTTGTAACAAATTTTAAAAGATTGAAATTATACAAAATATCTATTTTGATGAAAATGACATAAAACTAGACATCAGTAGCAGAAGGAAAACAAAAAATTCACAAATATGTGAAAATTAAACAACACAGTTTTCAACAAGCAATGGGTCAAAAAAGAAATCACAAGGGAAGTTAGAAAATATCTTGAGATAAAGGAAAATAAAAATACAATGTACCAAAATGTGTAAGATGCAGCAGAAGCAGTGCTAACAGAGAATTTTATAGCTATAAATATGTGCATTATAAAAGGAAGAAAGTGGCTAGGCATGGTGGGTCATGCCTGCAATCCCAGCACTTTGACAGGCTGAGGGAGGAGAACTTCTGGAGGCCAGGAATTTGAGACCAGCCTGGGCAACAAAGCAAGACCCCATCTCCACAACTTAAGAAAAAAAAAAAAAGAAGTAGAAGAAAGTTTGCAAATCAACAACCTAACTTTATACCTCAGGAAACTAGGAGAGAAAAAAAACTACACCCAAAGCTAGCAGAAGGAGGAAAATCCTAAAGATTAGATTAAATCAGAGATAAATGAAATATAGAATATAAAAACAATAGAAAAAAATCAACAAAACTAAGAGGTGGTTTTTGAAAACACCAACAAAATTAACAAATGCTTAGCTAGATTAACTAAGGAAAAAAGATTCAACTAATAAATCAGAAATAAAAAAGAGAACATTAGAACCCATGCCATAGAAATCAAAAGGATTATAAGAAAATACCATCAACAGTTAATTATATGTCAACAAATTGGATAATTTAGAAGTGCATAAATTTCTAGAAATATACAACCTAATAAGAGTGAATCATGAAGAAGTAGAAAAAACGAACAGACTTATAACTACGAAGGAGATTAAACTGGTTCAAAAACCTCCAAACAAACAACAGCCCAGAACCGGATGACTACCAAACATTTAAGGAAGAATTAGAACCAATGTTTCTCAAAGTCATTTACAAAAATGAATATAAAAAACACTTCAAAGCTCATTATATGAGGCCAGTATTACCCTGATTTCAAAGTCAAACAAAGACATTACATGAAAAGAAAACTACAGACCAATATTTGTGATGATCAGGTTGGCTTTATTCCTGGAATGCAAGAATGATAGAACATGTGGCAGGGTGTGCTGGCTCATGCCTGTAATCCCAGCACTTTGGGAGGCTGAGACAGGAGAATCCCTTGAACCCAGGAGGCAAATGTTGCAGTGAGCTGAGGTCATGCCACTGCACTCCAGCCAGAATGACAGAATGAGATTTCATCTCAAAAAAAAAGAATAATACAACATGCAAAAATCAATGTAATACACTATAGTAATAGAATAAAGGACAAAACAGCATGATCATTTATATTGATGTAGAAAAAATGTTTAACAAAATTTAACACCTTTTATCACGAAAACACTCAGCAAACTAGGAATAGAAGGAAAATAACATAATAAAGGCCATATATGAAAAATCCACAGGTAAACTTACACTCAATGGTAAAAGATTCAAACTTTTCTTCTGGATTAGGAACAAGACAAGTATACTCTGTCTCTTCGCTTCTATTCAATATAGTATTTGAATTTCCAAGCAGACCAATTAGGAAAAAAAAATTAAGCAAGAAAAGACATCCAAAGAATAAAAGAAAAAAGTAAAATTATCTCTGCTCACAGATGACTTGATCCTATATGCATAAAATCCTAGACTCCTGCATAAAATCTAGAAAACTGTTAGATGCATATATGCATAAAATCCAGAAAACTGTTGGAACTATTAAACAAATTCTGGAAAGTTGCAGGATCCAAAATCGACACACAAAAATCAGTTGCCTTTCTATAAATTAACTATAAACAATCCAAAGGTAATTAAGAAAATAATTTAATTACAATACCATCAAAAATAGTAAAATACTTAGGAATAAACTTAGCCAGGGAAATAAAAGGCTTGTACACTGAAAACTACAAAACAGTACTGAAAGAAGTCACAAATAAATGTAAAGACATTGGTATTCATGGATTGGAAGATTTAATGTTAAGATCTCCAAAATATCAGATGTATTCCCCAAATCTGTACAACATTATGTATTAATTTGAAAAGTCAATAGAACCCAAAGCAGTCTACAAATTATATGTAATCCCTATCAAAATCTAAGCTGCATTTTTTGAAAAAAGAGAAAAATTTATCTAAATATTCATATATACTCTGACTAGACAATCTTGAAAACTAACTGAGTTGAAGGTCTCATGCTCCGTGATCTCAAAACATGTTACAAGACTACAGTAATTAAAACAGCATGACACTGGCTTAAAGAGAGACATATAGACCAATGGAATAGAATAAAGAACCCATTAAAAGAAAACTCCACATATATGGTCAAATAATATTTACAGCATTCCAGATCCGCTCAATGAGGGAAGAACATTCTCTTCAACAAACAGTGTTGGGAAACTTGGATATCCACACATGAAAGAGTGAAGTTGAAACTTTGTCTTATGCCATATACAAGAATTAACTCAAAATGGATTTAAAACTTAAATGGAAGATCTAAAACTATAAAACTCTTAGAATAAGGGGATATGGCAATTATTTTTTAATATGACACCAAAAGTACAGACAACAAAAGAAAAAATAGACAATTGGGACTACATCAAACTTTTTAAAACTTTTATGCATTAAAGGACATAACAATGTTAAAAAAAACTTGTGGATGGAAGAAAATATTAGTAAATTATATATCTGATAAAGAGTTAATATCCAGAATATATAAATAATTTCTACAACACAATATTTAAAAATAATATGATTTTAAAATGGCAAAAGGATTTGAATAGACATTTCTTTTAAAATTATATATGAATGGGCAAAAAACATAAGAAAAAATGCTCAGCATCCAAACTGGAAAGGAAATCATTAGAGAAATGTAAATCAAAACCACAATGTAATATCTCCTCACAAAAATTGAGTGGTTTACTATTAAGAAAAAGAAATATTAGATAGGATGCAGTTGATAGCAAACAGCTTAAAAGCAACGTGACCCCAGATACTAACTCAAAGCCACACAAAAAACAAAAAGCTCTGGCAAAGACATTTATTTATATTTTTATTTATGTATTTATTGAGGGTTTTGCTGTTTTGTTGTTGTTGTTGTTTACTGTTTTATTTTTGCTTTTTCAACTTTTATTTTAGATTCAGAGGGCACTTGTGCAAGTTTGTAACCTGGGTATATTGTGTGATGTTGAGGTTTGGGGTATGAATGGTCCCATTACCCAGATACTGAGAATAGTACTCAACAGTTTTTCAACACTTTCTCCCTTCCCTCCTTCACCACCCCAATAGTCCCCAGTGTCTATTGTTGCTATCTTTATGTCCATCAGTACCCAGTGTTTACCTCCCCCTTATGAGTGAGAATATGTGGTATTTGATTTTCTGTTTCTGTATTTGTTTGCCTAGGATAAAGTCCTCTAGCCAAATCCATGTTGCTGCAAATGACATGATTTTCTTCATTTTCTTTTATTTTTTATTTTTATTTATTTTTTTTTATTATTATACTTTAAGTTTTAGGGTACATGTGCACAACGTGCAGGTCAGTTACATATGTATACATGTGCCATGTTGGTGTGCTGCACCCATTAACTCGTCATTTAGCATTAGGTATATCTCCTAATGCTATCCCTCCCCCAGCCCCCCACCCCACAACAGTGCCCAGTGTGTGATGTTCCCCTTCCTGTGTCCATGTGTTCTCATTGTTCAATTCCCACCTATGAGTGAGAACATGAGGTGTTTGGTTTTTTGTCCTTGCAATAGTTTGCTGAGAATGATAGTTTCCAGCTTCATCCATGTCCCTACAAAGGACATGAACTCATCATTTTTTATGGCTGCATAGTATTCCATGGTGTATATGTGCCACATTTTCTTAATCCAGTCTATCATTGTTGGAAATTTGGGTTGGTTCCAAGTCTTTGCTCTTGGGAATAGTGCCACAATAAACCTACGTGTGCATGTGTCTTTATAGCAGCATGATTTATAGTCCTTTGGGTATATACCCAGTAATGGGATTGCTGGGTCAAATGGTATTTCTAGTTCTAGATCCTTGAGGAATTGCCACACTGACTTCCACAATGGTTGAACTAGTTTACAGTCCCACCAACAGTGTAAAAGTGTTCCTATTTCTCCACATCCTCTCCAGCACCTGTTGTTTCCTGACTTTTTAATGATCGCCATTCTAACTGGTGTGAGATGGCATCTCACTGTGGTTTTGATTTGCATTTCTCTGATGGCCAGTGATGATGAGCATTTTTTCATGTGTTTTTTGGCTGCATAAATGTCTTCTTTTGAGAAGTGTCTGTTCATATCCTTTGCCTACTTTTTGATGGGGTTGTTTGTTTTTTGCTTGTAAATTTGTTTGAGTTCATTGTAGATTCTGGATATTAGCCCTTTGTCAGATGAGTAGGTGCAAAAATTTTCTCCCATTCTGTGGGTTGCCTGTTCACTCTGATGGTAGTTTCTTTTGCTGTGCAGAAGCTCTTTAGTTTAATTAGATCCCATTTGTCTATTTTGGCTTTTGTTCCCATTGCTTTTGGTGTTTCAGACATGAAGTCCTTGCCCATGCCTATGTCCTGAATGGTATTGCCTAGGTTTTCTTCTAAGGATTTTATGGTTTTAGGTCTGACATGTAAGTCTTTAATCCAACTTGAATTAATTTTTGTATAAGGTGTAAGGAAGGGATCCAGTTTCAGCTTTCTACATATGGCTAGCCAGTTTTCCCAGCACCATTTATTAAATAGGGAATCCTTTCCCCATTTCTTGTTTTTGCCAGGTTTGTCAAAGATCAGATAGTTGTAGATAAGTGGCATTAATTCTGAGGGCTCTGTTCTGTTCCATCGGTCTATATCTCTGTTTTGGTACCAGTACCATGCTGTTTTGGTTACTGTAGCCTTGTAGTATAGTTTGAAGTCAGGTAGCGTGATGCCTCCAGCTGTGTTCTTTTGGCTTAGGATTGACTTGGCAATGCGGGCTCTTTTTTGGTTCCACGTGAACTTTAAAGTAGTTTTTTCCAATTCTGTGAAGAATGTCATTGGTAGCTTGATGGGGATGGCACTGAAGATTTTCTTCATTTTTATGACTGCATAGCATTCCATGGAGTATATGTACCACATTTTCTTTATCCAATTCACTGTTGGTGGGCACCTAGGTCAATTCCATGACTTTGCTGTTGTGAATAGTACTGCAATGAACATGTGAGTGCATGTGTCTTTTTGGAGGAATAATTTGTTCTCTTTTGGATATATACCCAGTAATGGGGTTGCTGGGCCAAATGGTAGTTCTGTTTTAAGTTCTTTGAGAAATCTCCAAACTGCTTTCCACAGAGGCTGAACTAATTGACATTCCCACTGCCATGCATGAGCATTCCCTTTTCTCCTCAGCTCCACCAACATCTGTTGCTTTCTGACTTTTTGATAATAGCCATTCTGATGTGTGAGATGGTAGCCCATTGGGGTTTCTTTTTTTTTTTTTAAGACAGAGTCTCACTCTGTCACCTAGGCTGTGGCACAATGTTGGCTCGCTGCAACCTCTGCCTCCTGGGTTCAAGTGATTCTCCTACCTCAGCCTACTGAGAAGCTAGGGTTACAGGCACCTGCCACCACACCCAGCTAATTTTGGTATTTTTGGTAGAGACAGGGTTTAGCCATATTGGCAAGGCTGGTCTCTAACTCCTGACCTCAGGTGACCCACCTGCCTCGGCTTCCCAAAGTGCTGGGATTGCATGCGTTAGCTACCATGGGTGGTTTTTGACTTGCATTTCTCTGATGATTAGTAATGATGATCCTTTTTTCATACATTTGTTGGCCACTTGTATGTCTTCTTTTGAGAAGTGTCTGTTCATATCTTTTGCCCATTTTTCAATGGGGTTGTTTTTTCCTTGTCCAGTTGTTTAAGTTATTTATAGATTCTGGATATTAGTCCTTTGTTGGGTGCATAATTTGCAAATATTTTATCTCATTCTGTAGGTTATCTATTTAATCTGTTGATAGTGTCTTTTCTTGTACAGAAGTTGTTCAGTTTAATTAGGTCTCACTTGTCAATTTCTGTTTTTGTTGTAATTGCTTTTGAGGACTTAATCATAAATTCTTTCCCAAGGCCCATGTCCAGAATGGTGTTTCTGAGATTTTCTTCTAGGATTCTTTTACTTCAAGGTCTTATATTTAAATCTTTAATCCATCTGGAGTTAATTTTTGTATGTGGCAAAAGTTAGGTGTCTTGTTTTATTTTTCTGCATATGGCTAGTCAGCTATCCCAGGACCATTCATTCACTAGGGAGTCCTTTCCCCATTGTTTACTTTTGGCAACTTTGTCAAAGATTAGATGGCTGTAAGTGTGCAGATTTATTTCTCAGCTCTCTATTCTGTTCAACTGGTGTAGGTATCTGTTTTCGTACTAGCACCATGCTGTTTTGGTTACTGTAGTCTTATTAGTATAGTTTGAAGCCAGGTAATGTGATGCCTCTGGCTTTGTTCTTTTTGCTTAGGATTGCTTTTTGGGCTCTCTGTTGTTGTTGTTCCATATGAATTTTAGGACACTTTTTTCCAATTCTATAAAAAAATGACATTGGTAGTTTGGTAATAATAGCATTGAATCTGTAGATAGATTGCTTTGGGCAGTATGGCCATTTTAATGATATTGATTCTTCCAATCCCTGAGCATGGAATGTTTTTCCATTTATTTGTGTCCTCTCTGATTTCTTTTAGCAGCGTTTTATAGTTCTCCTTGTAGAGATCTTTCACCTCCTTGGTTAGCTGTATTCCTAGGTATTTTAATTTTTTGTGGCTATTGTAAGTGGGATTGCAGTCTTGATTTGGTTCTTAGCCTGAATGTTATTGGTTTATAGAAATACTACTAATTTTTGCACATTCATTTTGTATCCTGAAACGTCGCTGAAGTCATTTGTTTATTCCAGGAGGCTTTGTTGGAGTCTTTAGGGTTTTCTATGTATAGAATCATATCATCCACAAAGAGAGATACTTTTCTCTCTTCTTTTCCTATCTGGACGCCTTTTATTTATTTCTCTTGCCTGATTGCTTTGGATAGCACTTCCAGTACTATGTTGAAGAGGAATGGGGAGAGAGGGCACCCTTGTCTTATTCCTGTTCTGAAAAGGAATGCTTCCAGTTTTTGCGTGTTCAGTATGATGTAATTATTTTTCTATAATAGACAGTAGAAATGCATTTTTCTTTTTTCTTAACTCATTTTAAAAACAATTATATAAAATAACATGTATACAATATACTATTGGCCCTATAATATATACAATTCTATAATACATATATGCAATATATACAATTTTAATATGTGGGTGTTATGTATGCTAATAATAGCACCAATAATAATTTAAACAATGTATATCTTTGTAACATTAATTGATATAATATAAATAAAATAACCACAAAAGAGCAAGAGAATTAAGTTCTACATGAGTAACATTTCTACATATTACTGGAATTAAGCTAGTGTGAATCTGAAACTCATACTGATAAGATATATACAGAAAATCCTAGAGAAACCACTAAAAATAAAAATACAGTGATAAAATTATTAATAAAACTTAAATACTATATTAGAAAATATTAATTCAATGAAATAGAAAGAAGTAAAGACAAAACAGGAACAACAAAGACATGATACATATAAAAAACAAAAAATCCGGGCGTGCGGTGGCTCATGCCTGTAATCCCAACACTTTGGGAGGCCGAGGTGGGCAGATCACGAGGTCAGGAGATCGAGACCATCTTGGCTAACACGGTGAAACCCAGTCTCCACTAAAAATACAAAAAATTAGCCACGAGTGGTGGTGGGCACCTGTAGTCCCAGCTACTTGGGAGGCTGAGGCAAGAGAATGGCCTGAACCCGGGAGTTGGAGCTTGCAGTGAGCCGAGATCACGCCACTGCACTCCGGCCTGGGTGACAGAGCAAGATTCTGTCTCAAAACAAAAACAAAAAAGAACTAAAATGACAGACATAAATCCCACTAAATAATAATATGCAGTGTGAATGGAATAAACAATGCAATCAAAAGGCAAAGGTGTTATATTGGATAAGAAAACATGAAGTATATATTGTCTGGAGAAAACACAATTTTGATTCGAAGACACAGAATGAAAGTAAAAGAACAGGAAAAATATATTATGCAAACAGCAACCACAAAAACACTGGAGTCAGTACACTGATATCAGACAAATAGACTTTAAAACAAAAATTGTTACTAGAGATAGAGTGGCCTTTTGTAATTACAAAGGAATCCATCCATTAGGAAGATATAACTGTTATCAACATATATGCACCTATATATATGAAGCACCAAAATAAATGAAACAAAAACAGACCTGAGAAAAGAAAGAAATAGACAAGTCAACCGAGTCAACAGAAATAGTCAAGGACTTCAATACTACACGTTCAAAAATGGATAGAACAACTGGACGGATCAACAAGGAAAAAGAGGACTTGAGCAATACTACAAACCAAATAGACCTCAAGGACTATGGAACATTCTACTTAACAACAACAACAACAAAGTATACATTCATGTCAAGTGAGCATGGAACATTCTAGAAGATAGACCACATATTAGGCCATAAAACACACCTCAATAAATTTGAAGGCTAGAAATAATGCAAAGTATGTTATTAACCACAATGGAATAAAATTAGAAATCAACAACAGGGGAAATTTGGGAAATTCACAAATATTTGGAAATTTAAAATGAAATTTCCACTCTAAAACAATTCATGAGTCAAAGAAGAAATCAAGACAGAAATTAGATAATATTTTTAGACGAATAATAATGAAGACAACATACCAAAACAATTGTGATGCAGCTAAAGAAGTAATTAGAGTAATATCAACAGCTGTAAACACTTGTATTAAGAAAGTTCTTAAATCAATAACTTAAAATTCTACCTTAAGACACTTACAAAAAATATGAAACTAAATTTAAGTAAGCAGAAGGAAGGAAATAATGATAACAGCACAAATTAATGAAATAATTTGATCGTTTGAAAAAAATCAATAAAATGGAAAAAACTTCAGTTTCATCAGGGAAAGAGGAGAGAAAACTCAAACTATAGAATCAGAAATAAAAGAAGAGACATTACTACTGACATTAAAGAAATAAAAAGGATTATAAAGGAATACCAAAAATAATTGTACACTGACAAATAAGATAATTTAAGTGAAATGAAAAAATTTCAAGAAAGACACAACTACCAAGACTGACTCAAGAAGAAACAGACAATCTGAATAGACCTAAAACAAATTAAGAGAATGAATCAGTAATCAAAAACTACCCAAAAAGAAAAGCAAATGGCTTCACTGGTGAATTCTACTAAACATTTGATAATACCAATTTTTCACACTCTTCCAACAAAAAGATGAGGAGGGTACACTTCTTGAACATTTTATGAAGCCACTATTTCCCTGACACAAAAACCAAATAAAGACATCACAGGAAAAGAAAACCATAGATCAATACCTCTTATCTTATGGGCACAAAAGTTCCCAACAAAATACTAGCAAACCAAATCCAGCAATACATAGAAAGAATTATACACCATGATTACATGGGATTTATCCCAAGGACACAAGGTTGGTTTCACATCCAAAAATCAGCTACCATAATACACCATTTCAACAGAAAAAAAATGACCAAACTCTCAACAGACACAGAAAAAAGTATTTGATAAAATTAAATGCCCTTTCATAATTTTAAAAAATCAGCAAACTAAAATAAAAGGGAACTTTCTTAGCATGATAAAGGACATATAGGAAAATCTCACAACTAAAATCATACTCAGGGGTAGAAAAACTGTAAGCTTTACTCCTAAAATCAGGAACAACACAAGGATGCCCATTTTCAACACTGACACTGGACATTGTACTAGAAGTTCTAGCCAGAGAAAAGAACATAGCCAAGAAAAAGACATAAGAGGCATACATATTTAAAAAGAAGCAGCTAAATTACTTACATTTGCAGAAGGCATAATTCTGTTAATAGAAAATCCCAAAGGATGCACCAAAAAACTACTAGATTTAGTAAATTCAGTAAGGTTGCAGGGTACAATATCAGCACATAAAAATCAGTTGTCTTTCTAAACGCTAGCAATGATGGGTATGGTAATCATTATTTGGCTGTAGTAATCACTTCATTGTGTATATTTATGTCAAAAGAAGTATATCAAACATCATGTGGATACCTTAACATACACAATTTTAAAAATTGTAAACCCTAAGTTATAGTAAATTGCAGCTATTTAGAGATGACTCAAAATGAAGAAGCTGTGGTTTAAAAAAAAAAATACTGGCTGGGTGTCGTGGCTCACACCTGTAATCACAGCACTTTGGGAGGCCAAGGTGGGCAGATCATGAGGTCAAGAGATCGAGACCATGCTGGCCAACAAGGTGAAACTCCATCTCTACTAAAAATACAAAAATTAGCTGGGCGTGGTGGTGCACACCTGTAGTCCTAGCTACTCGGGAGGCTGAGGCAGGAGAATCACTTGAACCTGGGAGGTGGAGGTTGCAGTGAGCTGAGATCATGGCACTGCACTCCAGCCTGGCAACAGAACAAGACTCCATCTCAAAAGAAAAAACAATACTGAGAGTAAGCATTCCATTTAAATATAGAACCATCACTAGGCAGCTGTGGAATTTATGGTTACAGGACAGAATAAATACAGTAATATAAGACAAATGTCTAGAACTGAAATTACTGTGGCAAGGGATTTTAATAGATATTGGCTAACTGTCAACCAAGGAAGTATGTTCCACACCTATACCCATCTGTTTTGGTATTTCGTCTCTGCTAAGTGAAAAATTATATGTTTTGTTTTATATTTTACTTCTTTAATTAATGGGAAAGGCTGAACAGCTTCTCACATGTATTAAATTTGTATGATTATTCTTTTTCTTAATCATTTGCCTGGGTTCTTGCTATGTTAAGAAATTATTTCTTCATCTACCACAAGTTGTAAATAGCTTTTCGTTAGTGCGTGTGTGTCTGTGTGTTCAGAAATTTTGAATATTTTATGTGATAACATTAACAAGGCTTTTCTATTGAGGGTTTCAGCTTTTCTGTCTTGCTAAGAAACACCTTCTTTACTCTAGAATGTTAAAAATACTTAGTGTTTTTACATAATACATTTAAGGTCTAATATTTTATACGTGAAAGTATGAATCAGCAGCTCCTCAAAAATTTAACAGAGAATTACCATACTTATTCAGCAATTTCACTTCTGGGTATTACCCAAAGAGTTGAATACAGGAACTCAACATGTTGATGGCAGCAATATTCATGATAGCTAAAATATGGAAGCAACCCAAGTTTCTATTGATGGATAAATGGATAAATAAAAGGTAATATATCTATACAATGCAATATTATTCAGCTTTAAAAAGGAAGGAAATTCTGACACATGCCACAACATGAATGAAACTTAAAGACATTAGGCTTAGTGAAATAAGTCAGTCACATATTTTTCTTCCCTCCCACTTCCTCTAAACCATTGAACAAGTATAGACAGTACTATACTGCTCACAAAGGTGGCTTAACAATTAAATTTCTAAAAGACAGTATTTCCTATGAATTTTAGCAAAAAGATATTTACAAAGTGGTATTTTATTACCTCTACATTTAACGTACATCAGGCACTTCTAAACATCTAGATAAACTAGGTGTTTCAAGTAAGGAGTTAATTTGTCCACTATATACACAGCAGTCTCGAATAAACTGCATACATGTAACCATAGTTATAATTTGAAAGAGTCTTCCAAATAAGAACATCCTAGCTTAGAATCCCTCCCATCTCCATCAACCCAGTGCGCAAGAATGCTCAAAGATAGGAAGACAATCTTTCCTAGGAATTTTAAAACAAAATATACAAAATATATTAGTTTACTAACTCTACTTTTGTCATACACTGGCAACCTCTTTAACATCTAAAAAGACTAGATGTTGTAAATTAGGACTCGTTTGTCCTTTATATACACTACATAAACAGATAAGTAAAACAAAATGCACAGACATAAGAGATAATGGTTAATCTTGCCTCACTGTAAACACAGCGGCATAGAGCTCTCTGCACTTTCCCCTCCTTCCTCCTCCCCTGAACCAGGACACAAACACGATGAGTATTACTCAACAGGTAGTTTGGCCATTCCCCTCCAAAAACAACATTTCATATGAATTTTAGCAAAAAGATATTTACAAAATATTATTTTACTACCGCTAATTTTGACATATATTAGGCATTCGGAACACATAGAAAGAATACACAAAAAAGTTTAGCATTGTCAACTATATATACAATAGTGAGGAATAAAATGCACACAAAAGAATGGATAGAATATGAAAATGTCTAAATATCACAAGTCTGGTATAGAACCTTCTTTTTCTTCTCAGGCTTTCCAGATCCATGTCCCCTAACCCACTGAACAGATATAGACATATCCCTTACAGAGGTGATCTAACGACTCTATTTTAAAAAGTCATCTCCAAAAAACATCTAATTTGTATGATTTCTTTTTAAACACATGAGAATTTACAAGATGTGTGATTTTCTAATTCTATCATATGTCAGCAACCTCTTTCCATCTAGAAAGACTGAATGTGGCAAATGTTCTCTTTTATTTTTTTAATCTCTTTTAACTTATTTATTTTTATTTTTCTTATTATACTTTAAATTCTGGGGTACATGTGCAGAATGTGCAGGTTTGTTACATAGATATACATGTGCCATGGTGGTTTGTTGCACCCATCAACCTGTCATCTACATTAGGTATTTCCCCTAATGCTATCCCTCCCCAGCCCCCCATAGCCCAACAGGCCCCAGTGTGTGATACCCCCCCAACCCGTGTCCATGTGTTCTCATTGTTCAACTCCCACTTATGAGTGAGAACATGTGGTGTTTGGTTTTCTGTTCTTGTGTTAGTTTGCTGAGAATGATGGTTTCCACCTTCATCCATGTCTCTGCAAAGGACATGAGCTCATCATTTTTCATGGCTGCATAGTATTCTGTGGTGTATATGTGCCAGATTTTCTTTATCCAGTCTATCATTGATGGGCATTTGGGTTGGTTCCAAGTCTTTGCTATTGTGGTATTTCTAGTTCTAGATTCTTGAGGAATCACCACACTGTCTTCCACAATGGTTGAACTAATTTCCACTCCCACCAACAGTGTAAAAGTGGTCCTATTTCTCCACATGCTCTCTAGTATCTGTTGTTTCTTGACTTTTTAATGATGGCCATTCTAACTGGCATGAAATGGTATCTCATTGTGTTTTTGATTTGCACTTCTCTAATGACCAGTGATGATGAGCTTTTTTTCCTATGCTTGTTGACTGCATAAATGTCTTCTTTTGAGAAGAGTCTTTTCTTATCCTTCACCCACTTTTTGATGGAATTGTTTGTTTTTTCTTGTAAATTTGTTTAAGTTCTTTGTAGATTTTGCATATTAGCCCTTTGTTAGATGGATAGATTGCAAAAATGTTCTCCCATTCTGTTGGTTGCCTGTTCACTCTGATGGTAGTTACTTTCGCTGTGCAGAAGCTCCTTAGTTTAATTAGATCCCATTTGTCAATTTTGGCTTTTGTTGCCATTGCTTTTGGTGTTTTAGTCATGAAGTCTTTGCCCATGCTTATGTCCTGAATGGTATTACCTACATTTTCTTTTAGGGTTTTTATGGTTTTAGGTCTTACATTTAAGTCTTTAGCCCATCTTGAGTTAATTTTTGTATACAGTGGAAGGAAGGGATCTAGTTTCAGCTTTCTGCATATGGCTAACCAGTTTTCCCAATGCCATTTATTAAGTAGAGAATCCTTTCCCCATTGCTTGTTTTTGTCAGGTTTGTCAAAGATCAGATAGTTGTAGATGTGTGTTGTTATTTCTGAGGCCTCTGTTCTGTTCCATTGGTCTATATATCTGTTTTGGTACCAGTACCATGCTGTTTTGGTTACTGCAGCCATGTAGTATAGTTTAAAGTCAGGTAGTGTGATGCCTCCAGCTTTGTTATTTTTGCTTAAGATTGGCTTGGCTATGCAGGCTCTTTTTTGGTTCTATATGAAATTTAAAGTAGTTTTTTCCAATTCTGTGAAGAAAGTCAGTGGTAGCTTGATGGGGATAGCATTCAATCTATAAATTACTTTGGATATTATGGCCATTTTCACGATATTGATTCTTCCTATCCATGAGCATGGAATGTTTTTCCATTTGTTTGTGTCCTCTCTGATGTCATTGAGCAGTGATTTGTAGTTCTCCTTGAAGAGGTCCTTCACATCCCTTGTAAGTTGCATTCCTAAGTATTTTATTCTCTTTGCAGCAACTGTGAATGGGAGTTCACTTGTGATTTGACTCTCTGTTTGTCTGTTATTGGTGTATAGGAATGCTTGTGATTTTTGCACATTGATTTTGTATCCTGAGACTTTGCTGAAGTTGCTTATCAGCTTAAGGAGATTTTGGGCTGAGATGATGGGGTTTTCTAAATATACAGTCATGTCATCTGCAAACAGAGACAATTTGACTTCCTCTTTTCCTAATTGAATATCCTTCATTTCTTTCTGTTGCCTGATTGCCCTGGCCAGAACTCCCAATACTATGTTGAATAGGAGTGGTGAGAGAGGGCATCCTTGTCTTATGCCAGTTTTCAAAGGGAATGCTTCCAGTTTTTGCCCATTCAGTAAGATATTGGCTGCTGTGGGTTTCTCATAAATAGCTCTGATTGTTTTGAGACATGTTCCATGAATATCTAGTTTATTGAGAGTTTTTAGCGTGAAGGGCTGTTGAATTTTGTCGAAGGTCTTTTCTGCATCTATTGAGATAATCACATGGTTTTTGTCATTGGTTCTGTTTATGTGATGCATTACGTTCATTAATTTGCATATGTTGAACCAGCCTTGCATCCCAGGGATGAAGCCAACTTGATCATGGTGGATAAGCTTTTTGATGTGCTGCTGGATTCGGTTTGCCAGAATTTTACTGAGGATTTTTGCATCAATATTCATTAGGGATTTCGGCCTGAAATTTTCTTTTTTTGTTGTGTCTCTGCCAGGCTTTGGTATCAGGATGATGCTGGCCTCGTAAAATGAGTTAGGGAGATTCTCTCTTTTTCTATTGTTTGGAATAGTTTCAGAAGGAATGGTACCAGCTCCTTTTGTACCTCTGGTAGAATTCAGCTGTGAATCCGTCTGGTCCTGGACTTTTTTTGGTTGGTAGGCTATTAATTACCGCCTCAATTTCAGAGTTTGTTATTGGCTTATTCAGGGACTTGACTTCTTCCTGGTTTAGTCTTGGGAGGGTGTATGTGTCCAGGAATTTATCCATTTCTTCTAGATTTTCTGGTTTATTTGCATAGAGATGTTTATAATATTCTCTGATGGTAGGTTGTATTTCTGTGGGATCAGTGGTGATATCTCCTTTATCATTTTTTATTATGTCTATTTGACTCTTCTCTCTTTTCCTCTTTATTAGTCTGGCTAGTGGTCTATCTATTTTGTTGATCTTTAAAAAAAAACCAGCTCCTGGATTAATTGATTTTTTTTTTTTAATGAGAGATAAATTGCTTAATTTTAGGTTCAGCAGTTGAACAAGCTTTTTGTGGTTTGGTGGCAGTTTTCTGCCTTGGCATTACAAGGTTGCCTCTTGCTAACAATCATAGCTTTTGATAGACTTAGATAAATGTGTTCAAACAGCTTTTCTCTGTTTGAAGATGCCTGGCTCTTTTTTTTTTTTTTTTTTTTAAGACATTTCCAAAGCCTACAGTTAGTGTCTCCATCTGGGCAAGAGAAAACATGTGAAAGTCTCATTTATGCTGGAAGATAGGGTAGGGTTGAGAGTGATGGTTACAAGAATTTTAACTTTACATCTACAAGAATGTGGTACAGATTAAGTCCTTGATAATCATGTTGTATATTTAAAAACATCTATAGATGATTTTATGTAGAATGGGAATTTTAACATTTTATTTGTGTTTATTTCTTTTTTTATTTTATTTTATTTTATTTTTATTTTTATTTATTTATTTTTTTATTGATCATTCTTGGGTGTTTCTCGCAGAGGGGGATTTGGCAGGGTCATAGGACAATAATGGAGGGAGGGTCAGCAGATAAACAAGTGAACAAAGGTCTCTGGTTTTCCCAGGCAGAGAACCCTGCTGCCTTCCGCAGTGTTTGTGTCCCTGGGTACTTGAGATTAGGGAGTGGTGATGACTCTTAAGGAGCATGCTGCCTTCAAGCATCTGTTTAACAAAGCACATCTTGCACCACCCTTAATCCATTTAACCATGAGTGGACACAGCACATGTTTCAGAGAGCACAGGGTTGGGGGTAAGGTCACAGATCCACAGGATCCCACGGCAGAAGAATTTTTCTTAGTACAGAACAAAATGAAAAGTCTCCCGTCTACTTCTTTCTACACAGACACGGCAACCATCCGATTTCTCAATCTTTTCCCCACCTTTCCCCCCTTTCTATTCCACAAAACCGCCATTGTCATCATGGCCCCTTCTCAATGAGCTGTTGGGTACACCTCCCAGACGGGGTGGTGGCTGGGCAGAGGGGCTCCTCACTTCCCAGTAGGGGCGGCCGAGCAGAGGCACCCCTCACCTCCCGGATGGGGCGGCTGGCCGGGCGGGGGGCTGACCTCCTACCTCCCTCCCTGACGGGGCGGCTGGCCGGGCAGAGAAAACCAGTCAGGCGTGGCGGCGCGCACCTGCAATCGCAGGCACTCGGCAGGCTGAGGCAGGAGAATCAGGCAGGGAGGTTGCAGTGAGCCGAGATGGCAGCAGTACAGTCCAGCTTCGGCTCGGCATCAGAGGGAGACCATGGAAAGAGAGGGAGAGGGAGACGGAGAGGGAGACGGAGAGGGAGACGGAGAGGGAGAGGGAGAGGGAGAGGGAGAGCGATTAATTGATTTTTTAAGGGTTTTTCATGTCTCTATCTCTTTCAGTTCTGCCCTGATCTTAGTTATCTCTTGTTTTCTGCTAGCTTTTGAATTTGTTTGCTCTTGCTTCTCTAGTTCTTTTAATTGTGATGTTAGGGTGTCGATTTTAGATCTTTCCTGTGTTCTTTTGTAGGCAATTACTGCTATAAATTTTCCTCTACACACTGCTTTAAATATGTCCCAGAGTTTCTGGTACATTATTCTTATTGTTTTCAAACAACATCTTTATCCTTCTTCATTTCATTATTTATCCAGCAGTCAGTCAGGAGCAGGTTGTTCAGTTTCCATGTAAGTGTGAGGTTTTGAGTGAGTTTCTTAATTCTGAATTCTAATTTAATTGCGCTGTGGTGTGAGAGACTGTTTGTTATGATTTCCATTCTTCTGCATTTGCTGAGGAGTGTTTTACTTCCAATTATGTGGTCAATTTTAGAATAAGTGCGATGTGGTGCTGAGAAGAATGTATATTCTGTTGATTTGGGGTGGAGAGTTCTATAGATGTCTATTAGGTCTGCTTAGTCTGGAGCTGAGTTCAATTCCTAGATATCCTTGTTAATTTTCTGTCTCATTGACCTGTCTGATATTGACAGTGGGGTATTAAAATCTCCCACTATTATTGTGTGGGAGTCTAAGTCTCCTTGTAGGTGTTTAAGAACTTGCCTTATGAATCTGGGTGCTCCTGTATTGGGTGCATGTATATTTAGGATAGTTAGCTCTTCTTAGCCACTATGTAATGGCTTTCTTTTTCTCTTTTGATCTTTGTTGGTTTAAAGTCTGTTTTATCAGAGACTATGATTGCAACCCCTGTTTGTTTGTTTGTTTGTTTGTTTTTTGCTTTCCATTTGCTTGGTAAATATTCCTCCATCCCTTTATTTTGGGCCTATGTGTGTTTTTGCATGTGAGATGGGTCTCCTGAATACTGCACACTGATGGGTCTTGACTCTTTATCCATGTTGCCAGTCTGTGTCTTTTAATTGGGGCATTTAGCCCATTTACATTTAAGGTTAATATGTTATGTGTAAATTTGATCCTATCATTATGATGCTAGCTGGTTATTTTGCCCATTACTTGATGCAGTTTCTTCATAGCATTGATGGTCTTTACCATTTGGCATGTTTTTGCAGTGGCTGGCACCATTTTTTCCTTTCCATGCTTATTGCTCCCTTCAGGAGCTCTTGTAACGCAGGCGTGGTGACGACAAAATGTCTCACATTTGCTTGTCTGTAAAGAATTTTATTTCTCCTTCACTTATGAAGCTTAGTTTGGCTGGATATGAAATTCAGCATTGAAAATTCTTTTCTTTAAGAATGTTGAATATTGGCCCCTAGTCTCTTCTGGCTTATAGGGTTTCTGCAAGTTGATCTTCAATCTCTGATATCCTTTCTTCCACTTGATCGATTCAGCTATTGATATGTGTGTATGCTTCACTAAGTTCTTGTGCTGTGTTTTTCAGCTCCATCAGGTCATTTATGTTCTTCTCTAAACTCGTTATTCTAGTTAGCAATTCATCTAATCTTTTTTCAAGTTTCTTTGCTTCCTTGCATTGGGTTAGAACATTCTCCTTTAGCTCAGAGGAGTATGTTATTATCCACCTTTGAAGCCTACTTCTGACAATTCATCAAATTCATTCTCCATCCAGTTTTGTTCCCTTGATGGTGAGAAGTTGTGATTTTTTGGAGAAGAAGAGGCATTCTGGTTTTTGGAATTTTCAGCCTTTTTGTGCTGGTTTCTCCCCATCTTCATGGATTTACCTACCTTTTGTGTTTGATGTTGGTGACCTTTGGATGGGGTTTCTGAGTGGATGTCCTTTTTGTTGATGTTGATGCTATTCCTTTCTGTTTGTTAGTTTTTCTTCTAACAGTCAGGCCTCTCTGCTGCAGGTCTGCTGGAGTGTGCTGGACATCTACTTCAGACCTTGTTTGCCTGGGTATCACCAGTGGAGGCTGCAGAACAGCAAAGATTGCTGCCTGTTCCTTCCTCTGAAAGCTTTGTCCCAGAGGGGCACCTGCCAGATGCCAGCTGGAGCTCTCTTGTGTGAGGTGTCTGTTGGCTTCTTCTGGAAGGTATCTCCCGGTCAGGAGGCCAGGGGGTCAGGGACCCACTTGAGGTGGCAGTCTGCTCAAACACTGTGCTGGGAGATCCACTGCTCTCTTCAGAGCTGGCAGGCAGGGATGTTAAAATCTGCTGAAGCTGCACCCACAGCTGCCCCTTCCCCCAGGTGCTCTGTCCCAGAGAGATGGGAGTTTTATCTATAAGTCCCTGACTGGGGCTTCTGCCTTTTTTTCAGAGATGCCCTGCCCAGACAGGAGGAATCTAGAGAGGCAGTCTTGCTACAGCAGCCTGGCAGCGCTGTGGTGTGTTCCACCCAGTTGGAACTTCCTTGCAGTTTTGTTTACACAGTGAGAGGAACACTGCCTACTCAAGCCTCAGTAATGGCAGACGCCCCTCCCCATACCAAGCTCCAGCATCCCAGGTCAACTTCAGACTACTGTGCTGGCAGCAAGAATTTCAAGCCAGTGGATCTTAGCTTGCTGGGCTCCATGGGGGTGGGATCCACTGAGCTAGACCACCTGGTTCCCTGGCTTCGGCCCCCTTTCCAGGGGAGTGAATGGTTCTGTCTTGCTGACATTCCAGGCATCGCTGGGGTATGAAAAAAGACTCCTGCAGCTACCTTGGTGTCTACCCAAATGGCCACCCAGTTTTGTGCTTGAAACCCAAGACCCTGGTGGCATAAGCACTGGAGGGAATCTCCTGGTCTGTGGGTTGCAAAGACCATGGGAAAAGCATAGTATCTGGGCTGGAATGCACCACTCCTCATGGCACAGCTCCTTACAGCTTCCCTTGGCTAACAGGGGAGTTTTCTGACCCCTTGCACTTCCCAGGTGAGGCAACACCCCACCCTGCCTCAGTTCACCCTCCATGGGCTGCACCCACTGTCTAACCAGTCCAAATGAGATGAGCCGGGTACCTCAGTTGGAAATGCAGAAATCACCCACCTTCTGCATTGATCTCACTGTGAGCTGCACACCTGAGCTGTTTCTATTCAGCCATCTTGTCAGCCTCCCCACAGATGTTATCTATTAAAAGGTTGGGGGTGAGTTGAGAATAGCTTTTTCATAATATACACACAGCCTTCTAGAAGCAGATAGTAAATCTTCCCAAAGTGTGGCGGGCATTTCCCATAGGCCAAATGTGAGGTCCTTCCAGGTCTGGTAGAAGGAAGACCAACAGCCCAATGCCTGCTAACTGTTCCACACTGTCCTCCTCTGTGCCTCCACTCACCTTCCAGGCCTGTTAAGGCCATTGTCTGTTGTCCTCAGGACTAGGTAAGTCTCGCCCAGCTGGGACAGAGTGGTCACCAGGACCCGGATCTGGCAGCGCCATGGCCTAAAGAGGTGGCTGAGCCCGTGTCCTGCATCCCAAGAGCACCTTCCCAATCCTCACACCCGGATAGTCACCAAGCTGCCCCTGCCACTCCCACCACCACCCAAAGGCACTGCATCCAGGCTCAGTGGGGACTTCGTCTATACCCGGCAGGGTGCGGCCTGGGAAAGGCCACCACCACCCTCAGTCACTGAGGTGTAGGGGGAAGGGAGGCTTGCTGCATCTTCAAGGCCCAGGCACCCACCCCAAGGGTCCTGGTGGCAGCCACCACAAGGGTCCTGGTGTCACGGGGCAGAGGCTACAGCCTATCCTGGCTCAGCTCCCCCACTGGCCAGGGCAAAGGCTCAGAAGTCCCAGGGAGCTGGTCCCGCACCATCTCACCACACTCTCTGCTGGATTGGAACTCTTTATTTTGTTTTACTTTATTTTATTTTATTTTTTTGAGACAGAGTCTTGCTCTGTTGCCCCGGCTGGAGTGCTCTGTTGCCCAGGCTGGAGTGCAGTGGTGTGACCTCGGCTTACTGCAACCTTCGCCTCCCGGGTTTAAGTGATTCTCCCACCTCAGCCTCCTGAGTAGCTGGGATTACAGGCACGCACCACCATGCCCGGCTAATTTTTGTATGTTCAGTAGAGACAGGGTTTCACCATGTTGGCCAAGCTGGTCTTAAGCTCCTGACCTCAGGTGATCCACCCGCTTTGGCCTCCCAAAGTGCTGGGATTGCAGGCATGAGCCACTGTGCCCAGCATGGACCAGAGGTCTTAATTGTATTTTTGTACCCATATACCAACCTCTCTTCATCCACCTCTCCCAGCTGTCCTTCTCAGACTGTGGAAAGCATCCTTCTACTCACTGTTTCCACAGATATTTCATGGACAGCAAATAATCACATGAAAAGATGTTCAAAATTATTAGGTTTTAGGGAAATGCAAATTGAAACAACAATAAGCTATCACTACTCATCTATCAGAATGGCTAAAATTAAAAATCATGACACCACCAAATGCTGGTAAGGATGTGTAGAAACCGGATCACTGATACATTACTGATAGAAACATAAAATACTTCATCCACTCTGGGAAATTTTGGGAGTTTCTCAAAGAAAAACACACAACTATCATATGACCCAGCAATTGCACTCCCAGGCATTTATCCCAGAAAAATAAAAACTTCACACAAAAAACTGTCAAACAAATGTTTATAGCATCTTTGTTTATAATATTAATAGCTAAGAACTAGATTCAGCCAAGATGTTTTTCAACAGGTGAATGGGTAAACAAACTGTTGTAAATACATAGCATGGAATACTACTTAGCAATGTAAAGGAATGGATGATTGATGCATGCAACAACTTGGATGGATTGCCAGGAAATTATGCTGAGCAAAAAACATCAATCCCAAAAGGTTACATAAATGTGATTCTACTTTTATAACATTTTGTTAAATAACAAAATTTTAGAAGTAGAGGACAGATGACTATCCACTGTGTGAATACTTGGTGTTCCTGAAAAGGGAACCAAGAAGTGGAATCAGACAAATTTAAAGAGAGTATTAAAGAAAACTTCCAAAGACCAAAGAACACCCAAGTCTTTAGCCTAAAACATTCATCATGTCCAAAGCTGGTTGTACGTATCACTTCAGTAACTGTAGATACTAGGAGATAATGAAGCAAAACCACAAAGTTTTAAAGCAATAGAGATTTGACCCAGAAATGTACTACATAGCCTAGTTATGGATCAAATATAAAGGCAACATAAAAAAAGTCTCCATTATCCAAAAATTAAAAATGGCATTCAATTACCCATCCCCAAATGCAGACTTGTATATATTGGCTAAATTTAACAAATAAACTTTTAAATGTCATGAGTGAGGAAATCATGATGTAAAATCTGACTATGGACAAGAATCTATTTAGAAATTGACCTATATTTAAATAATAACAATTCAAAATGCAATTGTAACAATTCTTGAATATTATTTAAAACATTATAATAAGCTGGCTCAGATCCAATAATATGTCCATAGAAACCAAGCCATGGGTAGTGGATTGTGTGAGGAAACAGTGTGATAACTATGCTAACATCCACATCTTTTATATGGTGGTATTAGTAGATAATGCTTCTGTGATGGTTAATACTGAGTGTCAACTTGATTGGATTGAAGGATGCAAAGTATTGATCCTAGGTGTGTCTGTGAAGGTGTTGCCAAAGGAGATTAACATTTGAGTCAGTGGGCTGGGAAAGGCAGACCCACGCTTAACCTGGGTGGGCACCATCTAATCAGCTGCCAGCGCAGCTAGAATATGAAAAGTTGGCAGAAAAACATGAAAAGACTAAACTGGCCTAGCTTCCCAGCCTACATCTTTCTCTGGTACTGGATGCTCCCTGCCCTTGAACATCAGACTCGAAGTTCTTCAGTTTAGGACTTGGACTGGCTCTCCTTGTTCCTCAGCTTGCAGATATCCTATTGTGGGACCTTGTGATCATGTGAGTTAATACTTAATAAACTTTCCTTCTTATATATCTCTATCCTATTAGTTCTGCCCCTCTAGAGAACCCTAACACAGATTTTTGTACCAGGAGTGGTTCTAGAGGAACAGAACATTAAGGATGCAGTTCTTTCATTGGTTTTAGGGTTTCTGGAGTGGCTGTTTAATATGATTAGACTCAAAAATGCTAAGGACTCTACTTCTGATAGTATGGAGAACACTGATTCAGTGTTCCTTTCTATGAACTGTTTAGAGAGTTAAGCAAAATAAATGCATTTGACATTCCTGATTCACCGCTCATGAGAGGCAAGGAGTTTAGTGACTCTATAAATAATACCTTTGACCATATGTGGAAACATAATGAAGTTGGTTGGTTTCTCCTAAGTTCAATGGACAAAGTGATGAAAGAAAATGAACTTAGGGATTCTAACTCCTGGCTTCAGAAGCAGATACTGAGCCTCAAATCTGCTAAGATTGCCCTGAGTGAAAGTATTATCTCCTGCAGAGAAAGAGCTGAAATTGTGGGAAAATGGATATGAGCTCTTATTGTGCAAGTGGCTGACTTCCAATGAAGGGTGCATGCACAGCCTCACCAGGTATGTACTATTAAAGTGAGGGCATCGATTGGAAAAGAATGGGACCCTGCAACTTGGAAAGGGGACATGTGGGAGGACCCTGATGAAGCTGGGGACACTGAGTTTGTAAAGTCTGAGGAAACCTTTTTTGCCAGAAAAAAAACAGCTTCCCCATCCCCAGTAGTGGTGACATCCTCTCCCTGACCCATGCTGCCATCAGCCTTTCCATATTTGTCTGGGGAGATAAACACTGTGCTGCCTAAGGCAACAGTGATGGCCCCCCCTGAGCAGTTGCCAGGCAAAATAATGTTGATTCTCCTCAGGAGCCACCCCCAACACCCCTGTCTGCTTCTAGACCTATAACCAGACTAAAGTCCTTATGGGCCCCAAGAGGTGAGGTTGAGAGTGAAACCCATGAGGAGGTTCACTATACTTGAAAAGAACTACTTGAGTTTTCTAATTTATATAAACAGAAATCTGGAGAACAGGCATGAGAATGGATATTAAGGGTGTGGGATAATGGTGGAAGGAACATAGAGTTGGATCAGGCTGAATTTGTTGATTTGGGCCCACTAAGTAGAGACTCTGCATTTAATATTGCAGCTCAGGGAGTTAAAAAAAGGTTCTAATAATTTATTTGCTTAGTTAGCTGAAATATGGATTGAAAGATGGCCACTGTGAGGGAGCTGGAAATGTCTGATCACTCTTGGTTTAATGTAGAGGAAGGGATCCAAAGGCTTAGAGAGATTGAGATGGTGGAGTGGATTAGTGACTTTAGACCTACTCATCCCAGATGGAAGGGCCCAGAAGATATACCCTTGACCAATACCTTGCAAAATAGATCTGTGAGGGTAGCACCTGCATCTTTGAAGAGCCCCGTAATTCTCTGCATATCAGATCCAATGGTGAGAACCACAGTCACTCAACTAATAAATGTAAATACAATGGGAATAATTGGATCCCAAGGTGGCAGAGGCCAAGTGGTGGCACTCAACCATCAAAGGCAAGGTGGGCATAACTACCATAACAGACAGTAGTGGCAAAGCAGCAATCAGAATAGTCTGACTCATGTAGAGTTCTGGCATTCGCTAATTAATCACAGTGTTCCCAGAAGTGAAATTGTTAGGATGCCTACTGCTTTCCTACTTAATTTATATAAGCAGAAAACTTCCAGGTCAAATGGACAAAACACTACTTTGAATTATAAAAATAGAGAATCATGGCCCCTCAATCAATTTTTGACTTGAGCCAGTTTACAGACACAGAACCCCTTGAATAAAGGGGAAGTTGGGTCCCATTAAGGAAGGAGCCCACTACACTACCAACAATTTATGCTGTTAATCTTTCTCCCATTTTTTCCCAAGGAGACCTCCAGCCTTTTATCAAGGTAACTGTGCATTGGGGAAAGGGAAATTATCAGTCATTTGGGGGATTACAGGACACTAGCTCTGAGCTGATGTTAATTCTAAGGGACTCAAAACGTCATTGTGGTCCTCCAGTTAAAGCAGGAGCTTATGGAGGTGAGGTAATTAATGGAGTTTTAGCTCAGGTCTGACTTACAGTGGGTCCAATGGGTCCCCAGGCTCATCCTGTGTTCATTTCCCCAGTGCCAGAATGCATAATTGGCATAGACATACTTAGCAGCTGGAAGAACACCCACATTGGCTCCCTGACTGGTAGGGTGAGGCCTATTATGGTGGGAAAGGCCAAATGGAAGGCATTAGAGCTGCCTCTACCTAGAAAAATGGTAAATCAAAAACAATATCACATCCCTGGAGGGATTGCAGAGATTAGTGCCATGATCAAGGACTTGAAAGGCGCAAGGGTGGTGATTTTCATCACACCCCCATTCAACTCTCCCATTTGGCATGTGCATAAGACAGATGGATCTTGGAGAATGACAGTGGATTATCATAAGCTTAACTAAGTGGTGACTCCAATTGCAGCTGCTGTACCAGATACGGTTTCATTGCTTGAGCAAATTAACACATTTCCTGGTACCTGGTATGCAGCCATTGACTTGGCAAATGCCTTTTTCTCCATTCCTATTCATAAGGCCCACTAGAAGCAATTTGCCTTCAGCTGGCAAGACCAGCAATATATCTTTACTCTCCTACCTCAAGAGTATATAAACTCTGGCTTTGCATCATAATCTTATTTGGAGAGATCTTGACACTTTTTGCTTCTGCAAGATATCACACTGGTCCATTACATTGATGACATTATGCTGATCGGATCCAGTGAGCAAGAAGTAGCAAACACACTGGACTTATTTGTGAGATGTTTGTGTGCCAGAGGATGAGAAATAAATTTGACTAAAATTCAGGGACCTTCTACCTCAGTAACATTTCTAGGGGTCCAGTGGTGTGGGGCCTGTCAAGATACTCCTTGTAAGATGAAGGATAAGTTGCTGCATTTGGCCCCTCCTACAACTAAGAAAAAGGCACAATATGTAGTGGGCCTACTTGGATTTTGGAGGTAACACTTTCCTCATTTGGGTGTGTTACTCAGGCCCATTTATCGAGTGACTCAAAAGGCTGCCAGTTTTGAGTGGGGTCCAGAACAGGATAAGGCTCTGCCTCAGGTCCAGGCTGCTGTCCAACCTGCTCTGCTGTTTGGGCCATATGACTCAGCAGATCCAATGGTGCTTGAGGCATCAGTGGCAGATAGGGATGCTGTTTGGAGCCTTTGGCAGGCCCCCACAGGTGAATCACAGCAGATGCCTCTAAAATTTTGAAGCAAGGCCCTGCCATTTTCTGCATATAACTACTGTGCTTTTGAAAGACAGCTCTTGACCTGTTACTGAGCTTTGGTGGAAACTGAACATTTGATTATGGGTCATCAAGTCACCATGTGAACTGAACTGTCTATCATGAACTGGGTGCTTTCTGACCCATGTAGCCATAAAATGGGTCATGCACAGCAGCATTCCATCATCAAATGGAAGTGATATATATGTGATTGGGCTCGAGCAGGTCCTAAAGGCACAAGTAAGTTACACAAGGAAGTAGCTCAAATGCCCATGGTCTCCACAACTGCCACCCCACCTTCTCTTCCCCAGCCTGCACCGATGGCCTCATGGGGAGTTCCCTATGATCAGTTGACAGAGGAAGAGAAGACTAGGGCCTGGTTCACAGATGGTTCTGCACAATATGCAGGCACCACCCAAAAGTGGACAGCTGCAGCACTACAGCCCCTTTCTAGGACATCACTGAAGGGCAGTGGTGAAGGGAAATCTTCCCAGTGGGCAGAACTTCAAGCAGTGCACCTGGTTGTGCACTTTTCATGGAAGGATAAATGGCCAGATGTGCGATTATATATTGATTCATGGGCTGTAGCCAATGGTTTGGCTGGATGGTCAGGGACTTGGAAGAAGCATGATTGGAAAATTGGTGACAAAGAAATTTGGGGAAGAGGTATGTGGATGGACCTCTCTGAGTGGCCAAAACCTGTGAAGATATTTGGATCCCATGTGAGTGCTCACCAATGGGTGACCTCAGCAGAGGAGGATTTTAATAATCAAGTGGATAAGATGACCTGTTCTGTGGACATCACTCAGCCTCTTTCCCCAGCCACCCCTGTTATCACCCAATGGGCCCATAAACAAAGTGGCCATGGTGGCAGGGATGGAGGTTATACATGGGCTCAGCAACATGGACTTCCACTCACCAAAACTGGCCTGGCTATGGCTACAGCTGAGTGCCCAATTTGACAGCAGCAGAGACTAACACTGAGCCCTCAATATGGCACCATTCCTCGGGGTGATCAGTCTGTTACCTGGTGGAAGGTTGGTTATACTGGACCTCTTCCATCATGAAAAGGGCAGAGGTTTGTCCTCACTGAAACAGACACTTACTCTGGATATGGGTTTGCCTAAACTGAACACAATGCTCTGCCAAGACTACCATTCATGGACTCACAGAATGCCTTATCCACCATCATGGTATTCCACACAGCATTGCCTCTGACCAAGGCAATCACTTTATGACTAAAGAATTGTGGCAGTGGATATACGTGGAGCCAAGATGGCTGAATAGGAACAGTTCCAGTCTACAGCTCCCAGCATGAGCGATGCAAAAGACAGGTGATTTCCACATTTCCAACTGAGGTACCGCGTTCATCTAACTGGGGAGTGCCAGACAGTGGTTGCAGGACAGTGGGTGTAGCACACCATGCGTGACCCAAAGCAGGGTGAGGGATCACCTCACCTGGGAAGGGCAAGAGGTCAGGGAATTCCCTTTCCTAGTCAAAGAAAGCATTCACAGATGGCACCTGGAAAATTGGGTCACTCCTGCCCTAATATTGTGCTTTTCCAATGGGCTTAACAAACAGCACACCAGGAGATTATATCCCACACATAGCTTGGAGGGTTCTACACCCACGGAGCCTCACTCTTTGCTAGCACAGCAGTCTGAGACCAAACTGTAAGGCGGCAGTGAGGCTGGGGGAGGGGTGCCCGCCATTGCCCAGGCTTGAGTAGGTAAACAAAGCAGCCGGGAAGCTTGAACTGGCTGGAGCCCACCACAGCTCAAGGAGGCCTGCATGCCTCTGTACACTCCACCTCCAGGGGCAGGGCACAGACAAACAAAAGACAGCAATAACCACTGCAGACTTAAATGTCCCTGTCTGACAGCTTTGAAGAAAGAAGTGGTTCTCCCAGCACACAGCTTGACATCTGAGAATGGGCAGACTGCCTCCTCAAGTGGGTCCCTGACCCCCGAATAGCCTAACTGGGAGGCACCCCCTAGTAGGGGCGGACTGACACCTCACACGGCTGGGTACTCCTCTCAGACAAAACTTCCAGAGGAATGATCAGGCAGCAGCATTTGCGGTTCACCAATATCGGCCGTTCTGCAGCCACCGATGCTGATACCCAGGCAAACAGGTCTGGAGTGGACCTCCAGTAAACTCCAACAGACCTGCAGCTGAGGGTCCTGAATTTTGGAAGGAAAACTAACAAACAGAAAGGACATCCACACCAAAACCCCATCTGTACGTCACCATCACCAAAGACCAAAGGTAGATAAAACCAAAAAGATGGGGAACAAACAGAACAGAAAAATTGGAAACTCTAAAAATCAGAGTGCCTCTCCTCCTCCAAAGGAATGCAGCTCCTCACCAGCAACAGAACAAACCTGGATGGAGAATGACTTTGACGAGTTGAGAGAAGAAGGCTTCAGATGTTCAAACTACTCTGAGCTAAAGGAGGAAGTCTGAACCCATGGCAAAGAAGTTAAAAACCTTGAAAAAAAATTAGATGCATGGCTAACTAGAATAACCAATGCAGAGACGTCCTTAAATGACCTGATGGAGCTGAAAACCACGGCACGAGAACTACATGATGAATGCACAAGCCTCAGAAACCAATGTGATCAATGGGAAGAAAAGGTATCAGCGATGGAAGATGAAATGAATGAAATGAAGCGTGAAGAGAAGTTTAGAGAAAAAACCATAAAAGAAATGAACAAAGCCTCCAAGAAATATGGGACTATGTGAAAAGACAAATCTACATCTAATTGGTGTATGTGAAAGTAACGGGGAGAATAGAACCAAGTTGGAAAACACTCTACAGGATATTATCCAGGAGAACTTCCTCAATCTAGCAAAGCAGGCCAACATTCAAATTCAGGAAATACAGAGAACGCCAGAAAGATACTCCTCGAGAAGAGCACCTCCAAGACACATAATTGTCAGATTCACCAAAGTTGAAATCAAGGAAAAAATGTTAAGGGCAGCCAGAGAGAAAGGTCGGGTTACCCGCAAAGGGAAGCCCATCAGACTAACAGCTCATCTCTCAGCAGAAACTCTACAAGCAAGAAGAGAGTGGGGGCCAATAGTCAACATTCTTAAAGAAAAGAATTTTCAACCCAGAATTTCGTATCCAGCCAAACTAAGCTTCCTAAGTGAAGGAGAAATAAAATCCTTTACAGACAAGCAAATGCTAAGAGATTTTGTCACCACCAGGTCTTCCCTACAAGAGCTCCTGAAGGAAACACTAAACATGGAAAGGAACAACCGGTACCAGCCACTGCAAAAGCATGCCAAATTGTAAAGACCATCAAGACTAGGAAGAAACTGCATCAACTAATGAGCAAAATAACCAGCTAACATCATAATGACAGGATCAAATTCATACATAACAATATTAACCCTAAATGTAAATGGGCTAAATGCTCCAATTAAAAGACACAGATTGGCAAATTGGATGAATAGTCAAGACCCATCAGTATGCTGTATTAAGGAAACCCATGCCACATGCAGAGACACACATAGGCTCAAAATAAAGGAATGGAGGAAGATCTACCAAGCAAATGGAAAACAAAAAAAGACAGGGGTTGCAATCCTAGTCTCTGATAAAACAGACTTTAAACCAACAAAGATCAAAAGAGACAAAGAAGGCCATTACACAATGATAAAGGGATCAATTCAACAAGAAGAGCTAACTATCCTAAACATACATGCACCCAATACAGGAGCACCCAGATTAATAAAGCAAGTCCTGAGTGACCTACAAAGAGACTCAGACTCCCACACAATAATTATGGGAGAGTTTAACACCCCACTGTTGACATTAGACAGATGAACAAGACACAAAGTTAACAAGGATATCCAGGAATTGAACTCAGCTCTGCACCAAGTGGCCCTAATAGACATCTACAGAACTCTCCACTCCAAATCAAAAGAATATACACTCTTTTCTGCACCACACCACACCTATTCCAAAATCGACCACATACTTGGAAGTAAAGCACTCCTCAGCAAATGTAAAACAATAGAAATTATAACAAACTGTCTCTCAGACTATAGTGCAATCAAACTACAACTCAGGACTAAGAAACTCACTCAAAACCACTCAACTACATGGAAACTGAACAACCTGCTCCTGAATGACTACTGGGTACATAAGGAAATGAAGGCAGAAATAAAGATGTTCTTTGAAACCAATGAGAAGAAAGACACAACATACCAGAATCTCTGGGACACATTCAAAACAGTATGTAGAGGGAAATTTATAGCACTAAATGCCCACAAGAGAAAGCAGGAAAGATCTAAAATTGACACCCTAACATCATAATTAAAAGAACTAGAGAAGCAAGAGCAAGCACATTCAAAAACTAGCAGAAAGCAAGAAATAACTAAGATCAGAGCAGAACTGAAGGAAATAGAGACACAAAAAACCCTTCAAAAAATCAATGAATCCAGGAGCTGGTTTTTGAAAAGAACAACAAAATTGATAGACCGCTAGCAAGACTAATAAAAAAGAAAAGAGAGAAGAATCAAATAGACGCAATAAAAAATGACAAAGGGGATATCACCACCAATCCCACAGAAATACAAACTACCATCAGAGAATACTATAAACACCCCTACACAAATAAACTAGAAAATCTAGAAGAAATGGATAAATTCCTCCATACATACACCCTCCCAAGACTAAACCAGGATGAAGTTGAATCTCTGAATAGACCAATAACAGGCTCTGAAATTGAGGCAACAATTAATAGCTTACCAACCAAAAAAAGTCCAAGACCAGATGGATTCACAGCCGAATTCTACCAGAGGTACGAGGAGGAGCTGGTACCATTCCTTCTGAAACTAACATGATTTTATATCTAGAAAACCCCATAGTCTCAGCCCAAAATCTCCTTAAGCTGATAAGCAACTTCAGCAAAGTCTCAGGATAAAAAATCAATGTACAAAAATCACAAGCATTCTTATACAGCAATAACAGACAGAGAGCTAAATCATGAGTGAACTCCCCATTCACAATTGCTTCAAAGAGAATAAAATACCTAGGAATCCAACTGACAAGGGACGTGAAGGACCTCTTCAAGGAGAACTACAAACCACTGCTCAATGAAATAAAAGAAGATACAAAGAAATCGAAGAACATTCCATGCTCATGGGTAGGAAGAATCAATATCATGAAAACGGCCATACTGCCCAAGGTAATTTATAGATTCAATGCCATCCCCATCAAGCTACCAATGACTTTCTTCACAGAATTGGAAAAAACTACTTTAAAGTTCACATGGAACCAAAAAAGAGCCCACATTGCCAAGTCAATCCTAAGCCAAAAGAACAAAGCTGGAGGCATCACGCTACCTGACTTCAAACTATACTACAAGGCTACAGTAACCAAAACAGCATGGTACTGGTACCAAAACAGAGATATAGATCAATGGAACAGAACAGAGCCCTCAGAAATAACGCCGCATATCTACAGCTATCTGATCTTTGACAAACCTGAGAAAAGCAAGCAATGAGGAAAGGATTCCCTATTTAATAAATGGTGCTGGGAAAACTGGCTAGCCATATGTAGAAAGCTGAAACTGGATCCCTTCCTTACACCTCATACAAAAATTAATTCAAGATGGATTAAAGACTTATATGTTAGACCTAAAACCATAAAAACCCTAGAAGAAAACCTAGGCAATACCATTCAGGACATAGGCATGGGCAAGGACTTCATGTCTAAAACACCAAAAGCAATGGCAACGAAAGCCAAAATTGACAAATGGGATCTGATTAAACTAAAGAGCTTCTGCACAGCAAAAGAAACCAACATCAGAATGAACAGGCAACATACAGAATGGGAGAAAAATTTTGCAATCTACTCATCTGACAAAGGGCTAATATCCAGAATCTACAATGAACTCAAACAAATTTACAAGAAAAAAACAAACAACCCCATCAAAAAGCGGGCAAAGGATATGAACAGACACTTCTCAAAAGAAGACATTTATGCAGCCAAAAGACACATGAAAAAATGCTCATCATCACTGGCCATCAGAGAAATGCAAATCAAAACCACGATGAGATACCACCTCACACCAGTTAGAATGGCAATCATTAAAAAGTCAGGAAACAACAGGTGCTGGAGAGGATGTGGAGAAATAGGAACACTTTTACACTGTTGGTGGGACTGTAAACTAGTTCAACCATTGTGGAAGTCAGTGTGGCGATTCCTCAGGGATCTTGAACTAGAAATACCATTTGACCCAGCCATCCCATTTCTGGGTATATACCCAAAGGATTATAAATCATGCTGCTATAAAGATACATGCACACGTATGTTTACTGCGGCACTATTCACAATAGCAAAGACTTGGAACCAACCCAAGTGTCCAACAATAATAGATTGGATTAAGAAAATGTGGCACTTATACACCATGGAATACCAAGCAGCCATAAAAAATGATGAGTTCATGTCCTTTGTAGGGACATGGATGAAGCTGGAAACCATCATTCTCAGCAAACTATTGCAAGGACAAAAAACCAAACACCACATGTTCTCACTCATAGGTGGGAATTGAACAATGAGAACACATGGACACAGGAAGGGGAACATCACACACTGGGCACTGTTGTGGGGTGGGGGGAGGTGGGAGGGATAGCATTAGGAGATATACCTAATGCTAAATGATGAGTTAATGGGTGCAGCACACCAACATGGCACATGTATACATATGTAACAAACCTGCACGTTGTGCACATGTACCCTAAAACTTAAAGTATAATAATAAAAAAAAAAGAAGTGTGGCAGTGGGCTCATGCTCATGGAATTCGTTGGTCTTACCATGTTCCCCATCATCCTGAAGCAGCTGGATTGATAGAACGGTTGAATGGCCTTTTGAAGTTACAATTACAATGCCAACTAGGTGACAATACTTGGCAGGGCTGGAGCAAAGTTCTCCAGAAGACGTGTATGTGCTGAATCAGTGTCCAATATATGGTACTGTTTCTCCCATAGCCAGGATTCATGGGTCCAGGAATCAAGGGGTGGAAGTGAAAGTGGCACCACTCACCATCACCCCTAGTGATCCACTAGCAAAATTTTTGCTTCCTGTTTCCACAACATTACTTTCTGCTGGCCTAGAGGTCTTAGTTTCAAAGGGAGGAACACTGCCACCAGGAGACACAACAATGATTTCCTTAAACTGGAAGATAAGATTGCCACTTGGACACTTTGGGCTCCTCCTACCTTTAAGTCAACAGGCTAAGAAGGGAGTTACAGTGTTTCCTGGGGTGATTGACCTGGGCTATTAAGATGAGATCAGTCTACTACTCCACAACGGAGGTCAGGAAGAGCATGCATGGAATACAGGAAATCTATTAGGGTGTCTCTTAGTATTACCATGCACTGTGATTAAAGTCAATGAGAAACTAACACAGCCCAATCCAGGCAGGACTACAAATGACCCAGATCTCTCAGGAATGAAGGTTTGGTTCACTCCACCAGGAAAAAAAACCATGACCTGCTGAAGTGCTTGCTGAAGGCAAAGGGAATATAGAATGGGTAGTAGAAGAAGGTAGTCATCAATATCAGCTATGACTACATGACCAGCTGCAGAAATGAGGACTGTAATTGTAATGAGTATTTCCTCCTTTTGTTAAAAACATGTTTGTGCATGTATACATTTGTACTAAGAATATATCTTCATTTTATTTCCTTTTTCCTTTATCATGTGATATAAGATTTATTGACTTCATATTAACATTTAAGTAGTGTTAACTTTATGTAATAGTATCTGGGGTGGGTATTGGTGCATTTCCAATTGTACAAAGGATAGTTGTAGTATGTTAGGCCTAATTACGACCTTATGATTGTCGTTATTTGTAGATTATGTATGATCTCAGGTGATGTGTATGAGTTCAAATTGACAAGGAGTGGACTTGTGATGGTTAATACTGAGTGTGAACTTGATTGGATTGAAGGATGCAAAGTATTGATCCTGGATGTGTCTGTGAGGGTGTTGTCAAAGGAGATTAACATTTGAGTCAGTGGACTAGGAAAGGCAGACCCACCCTTAATATGGATGGGCACCATCTAATCAGCTGACAGCATGGTTAGAATATAAAGCAGGCAGGAAAACATGAAAAGATGACATTGGCCTAGGTTCTCAGCCTACATCTTTCTCCAGTTCTGGATGCTTCCTTGCCTCAAACATTAGACTCCAAGTTCTTCAGTTTGGGACTCAGACTGGCTCTCTTTGCTCCTCAGCTTGCAGACAGCCTATTGTGGGACCTTGTGATCATGTGAGTTAATACTTGATAAACTCCCCTTCATATATGTATCTATAGTATTAGTTCTGTCCCTCTAGAGAACGCTGACTAATATAGCTTCTGACATTGATATAATGAAAATTACAGGAAGTGATGTTTAGATTGAGACCTAAAAGATGAGTCAGAGATAACAGGATAGAGTCGTGACGTTGTGGGCATAGAGAATGCTCTGAATTAGGAGACAGAATGACAACTTGGGGGACTGAAAAATGTGTGGCTAGAACATAGAACATTAAAGAGAGTGACATGAAATGATGCTGGATAAAGACAGAAAGATCACTGAGTGTCTGTGAAGATAGTTTAAGGATTTGGAACATTGTACTGAAAGAACGACAGATACTTTGAATTATTTTAAGCAGACAGCACTGGTGGTGGTAACTATGAGGTGATATAATGACAATCTCATTCCTAGAAGACTAATCTGGATGCATTTGAAAGAATGGATGGGAAGGGGCCAGGAATGGAAGCAGAGTGGTCATGTTAAAAATGGTGGAGCCGTAGCAGTAGGGATATAGAGACATGGGTGATTTTAAGCAATATTAGGAAGTGGAATGAACTGGCACTGATGACTGACTGATTACAGTAGGTGAGGTGGGACAGAAATTACTCATATAACTCTGGCTTGAGCAGCTGCATAATTGTTGGTGACTTTTATGGAGATGGGGGAATGGAGAAGGACATGGCTTGTAGACAAAGATCATGAATCTTATTTGAACATGTTGAATATGAGGTGCCTGAGAGACATCCAAGTAAAAATGACAAAGATATTATGTAAACACACACACACACACACCACAGAGAAAACACACTAATGAATATAAATCCAAAACCTCAATAAAAATTAGCAACTAAAGTGAGTTTTATTATAGGATTGCACATATTCTTTAAAATAAGGAAATCTATTAATAAAATGTATATTAATCATCTAAAGGAAAAGTACATAATTTCAGTAAATTTACAAAGGTTATTTAGTAATATTTAATGTACAGTCCTGATTTAAACACTTACTAAAATGAAAGTATATACATATTTGTTTAATATAAGTAATATATGGCAATGACATACATTACAAAATTATGTAACTTATATTTGATGATATCCGGTTTCTGCCATCACTTTTTCCCTTTTCCACAAGCACATCAAAGCTACAGAAAAGGATGCTCCTTTAACTTATATTCCAAAGCAAAAAGAATGTAGAGCAGAACTAAGCCCAATCATTTGCCAACATGTAAAATGAGTGAGAAATAATCCTTTGTTATTACACATTGAGATCTGATGCTTGTTACTGCTGCATAACAAATGAAAGCTGACCAATACCGAAATTGCTACCTAGAAATGGAATGCTGATTTAACAAAAACAAGAGCAACGACAATAAGCCATTAAAACATAATGGATAGGTTAAAGGGTTAAGCAGTGATGAAGTAGTTACTGGAGACTGGAATGATGACAACACCTGTTACACAGTGGTGAAGCCATAAAAATGTCACCTGTGACAATATGGAAGGCAAATAATGTACTCATGACTTGTGCTTTCAAGTGAATAATTGGAAAAACAGACTATTAAAAATGTATTTTGATAGTGACCGGATGTATTTTACTAAGTACCGCATGAAGGAAATGAGCTTAGGAAGTAATAACCAGAAGGAATAAAGGGAATCCAGAAATTCCAGGACTTGCAGCATTGAAAGTTGCAACAACTTCTCATCTGGTATGAGCAAAATATGAAATTTGGAAGAGCTCTGAGCAACAGAATCTTGTTAAAACCCAATCTCATGTGAAGTGTCATGTTAAGGGTGGCTGTATTAAGGAGTCACCAAACACATCCTTTAGTTGGACAAAATGGCTCAGAAAAAGAAGCCATGGGGAGACAACCTGATTAACTCAAGATACTCATAATTAATTATAAGTTTAGATGGAAGGTGTGTCTCAAAAATTATGCATGTGGCTATAGGTATGAGTCTGGCATATCAAATACAAACTAAATTTTTGACAGACTCATACTTCATATCTTTTTTCCAGTTTTTGGCCAATAAAAATAAAGCTCCTGTGAACATTTGTGTACATCCTTTGCATGGACAAATGTTTTCATTTCTCTTGAGTAAATACTTAGGAGCAGAATGGGTCTAGTTAAGAAACAGGAAAGTTGTCTTATGAAGTGGTTGTCTAATTTTACCTTCACATCAGAAGCATATGAGAGTTCCAGTTGCTTCACATCCTTGTCAACAATTGGTATGTCAGTCTTTTTTATTTCAGCCATTCCAAAAAGTCTGCAGTGGTACCTCATTGCAGTTTTAACATGCATTTCCCCAATGACTTATGACCTTGAACATCTTTTCATGTGTTTATTTGTCCTCTGCATACCACTTCTGGTCAAGTGTTCAAGTTTTGTTTTTTTTTTTTAATTGATCATTCTTGGGTGTTTCTCACAGAGGGGGATTTGGCAGGGTCATAGGACAATAGTGGAGGGAAGGTCAGCAGATAAACAAGTGAACAAAGGTCTCTGGTTTTCCTATGCAGAGGACCCTGCGGTCTTCCGCAGTGTTTGTGTCCCTGGGTACTTGAGATTAGGGAGTGGTGTTGAGTCTTAACGAGCATGCTGCCTTCAAGCATCTGTTTAACAAAGCACATCTTGCACCGCCCTTAATCCATTTAACCCTGGGTGGACACAGCACATGTTTCAGAGAGCACAGGGTTGGGGGTAAGGTCATAGATCAACAGGATCCCAAGGCAGAAGAATTTTTCTTAGTACAGAACAAAGTGAAAAGTCTCCCATGTCTACTTCTTTCTACACAGACACAGCAACCATCCGATTTCTCAATCTTTTCCCCACCTTTCCCCCTTTTCTATTCCACAAAACCGCCATTGTCATCATGGCCCGTTCTCAATGAGCTGTTGGGTACACCTCCCAGACGGGGTGGTGACCGGGCAGAGGGGCTCCTCACTTCCCAGTAGGGGTGAATGGGCAAAGGTGCCCCTCACCTACCGGACGGGGCGGCTGGCCGGGTGGGGGGCTGACCCCCCCACCTCCCTCCCGGACAGGGCGGCTGGCCGGGTGGGGGACTGACCCCCCCACCTCCCTCCCAGATGGGGCGGCTGGCCTGGCGGGGCTGACCCCCACCTCCCTCCCGGACGGGGTGGCTGCCGGGCAGAGACGTTCCTCACTTCCCAGATGGGGTGGCTGCCGGGCGGAGGGTCTCCTCACTTCTCAGATGGTGCGGCTGCCGGGCGGAGGGGCTCCTCACTTCTCAGATGGGGCGGTTGCCGGGCAGAGGGTCTCCTCACTTCTCAGATGGGGTGGCCGGGCAGAGACGCTCCTCACCTCCCAGGCAGGGTCGCGGCCAGGCAGAGGTGCTCCTCACATCCCAGTTTGGGCGGCGGGTCAGAGGCGCTCCCCACATCTCAGACGATGGGCGGCCGGGCAGAGACACTCCTCACTTCCTAGATGGGATGGCAGATGGGAAGAGGCGCTCCTCACTTCCTAGGTGGGATGGCCGCCGGGCAGAGATGCTCCTCACTTTCCAGACTGGGCAGCCAGGCAGAGGGGCTCCTCACATCCCAGACGATGGGCGGCCAGGCAGAGATGCTCCTCACTTCCCAGACGGGGTGGCGGCTGGGCAGAGGCTGCAATCTCGGCACTTTGGGGGGCCAAGGCAGGCGGCTGGGAGGTGGAGGTTGTAGCGAGCCCAGATCACACCACTGCACTCCAGCCTGGGCACCATTGAGCACTGAGTTAATGAGACTCCGTCTGCAATCCCGGCACCTCGGGAGGCCGAGGCTGGCGGATCACTTGCAGTTAGGAGCTGGAGACCAGCCCAGCCAACACAGCGAAACCTCGTCTCCACCAAAAAAATACGAAAACCAGTCAGGCTTGGCGGTGCACGCCTGCAATCGTAGGCACTCGGCAGGCTGAGGCAGGAGAATCAGGCAGGGAGGTTGCAGTGAGCCGAGATGGCAGCAGCACAGTCCAGCTTTGGCTCGGCATCAGAGGGAGACCGTGGAAAGAGAGGGAGAGGGATACCGTGGAAAGAGAGGGAGAGGGAGACCATGGGGAGAGGGAGAGGGAGAGGGAGAGCAAGTGTTCAAGTTTTGTCCTATTTAAAAATCAGGTTGCTTGTTTATTAATTTGTTAATTAATTATATATTCTGTATACAAGTCTTTTTTATTTTTTTTGAGACAGGGTCTCACTTTGTCACCCAGGCTGGAGTGCAGTGGCATGATCTCAGCTCACTGCAGCCTCAACCTCCCAGGGTTCAAGCCATCATCCCATCTCAGCCCCCCAGGTAGATGGGGTTACAGGCATGCACCATCTTTTGTATTTTTTGTAGAGACAAGTTTTCGCCATGTTGCCCAGGCTGGCCTCAAACTCCTGAGCTCAAGCTCAAGCCACCCACCTCGGCTTCCCACAGTGCTGGGATTACAGGCAGGAGCCATCGCACCTCGCCAACGTCTGTTTTTGATATGATTTGCAAATATATTCTTCCAGTCTGGGGCTTGTGTTTTCACTGTCTTAACAATTTCTCAATGTCTGTGAAAAACAGACATTTTCCATTTTGATAAAATCCAATATTTATTCTTTTTCTTTTATGGATTGTACTTTTAATTTCATATATAAAAAGTCTTTTTCTAACCTTTGGGTTCACCAAAGTTTTCTTCTATTTTTGTTTTCACAAGAAGAGACTGTGTAGCTCTGTTTATTACAGATCTGGCATGGCTCATCAGTGAGAAAAAGAATGTATTACTCATATTGCGTTGAGGCAGTTGGCATCAATCTGTATGGAAATGAACCCCTTCAGTTCCCTACTTCATACCATATATAAAAATAAATTCCAATTTTAAATTTTAAACAATGAAAAATTATAACTTTTTATAACATAATGTAGGAGAATATCTTTATGTCCCTGGGGTAGAGGAAGTCATCTTAAGACCAAAAGAAGTCAAAACCAGAGAGGAAAAGACTGATAAATCTGACTACATTAAAATTGAGAAAATATCCTTATCAAAAAATGAAGTGTCAGAGAGTAAAAATATAAAGCCTCAAACAATAAGAAGCTCTTAAAACACATATTGCCAACAAAATATTCATATCCAGAATGTATCTGATAATCCTGAAAATTAGTTTTTTTAAAAAGACAGTAGAAAGACAGGCATAAGAGTTGAAAGAGGAAATCTAAACCATTAAATGTATGAAGTTTCTCAATTACGTCACTAATTATCAAAACATAAATTAATGCCAAACTGTGATGCCATTTTACACCCACCAGATTTGGGTAGAGGACATTAAATCTGACAATCTGATAATCTGATATTGTTGAAAATGTGGAGAAATCAGACTTTTTTTTTTTTTTTTGAGACAGAGTCTTGCTCTTTCACCCAGGCTGGAGTGCAGTGGCGCGATCTCGGCTCACCGCAGCCTCTGCCTCCTGGGTTCACACCATTCTCCTGCCTCAGCCCCCCGAGTAGCTGGGACTACAGGCACCCACCACCACATCTGGCTAATTTTTTGTATTTTTTTTAGTAGAGACGAGGTTTCACCATGTTAGCCAGGATGGTCTCGATCTCCTAACCTCGTGATCTGCCCTCCTCGACCTCCCAAAGTGCTGGGATTACAGGCGTGAGCCACCACACCCAGCCAAGAAATCAGACTCTTATACGCTGCTGTTGTGAGCATAAATCTATTAGCATTGTCTAATAATGTTAATGATATGCATGCTCTTTGGCCCTGCAATTCACTTCCAGATGTACACCTTCAGAATCTCTTGTACACATCTGCTAAGAGACTTAAACAAGAATATTCACAGCAGTATTGATCAACATAGCAAATAATAAAAATAATCAACCAGGGAAGGGATACTATGCTAGTATATATTCATTTGATAGAATATTATGAGACTAAAAATATTATCACCAACTTAGAAAAAGACTGTTTTTCTATAGCCGTGGTAATAAATAGCCACCAAAACCAGTTTTACACCTGTTCAATTGATCAGCGTTTCAGTGAACACCTTAAGTAAGTCTATAATTCAGTGTCAGCCCTGCCCTCGTGGATGCCAGCCAATCAAGGATGGACTTACCAGTAATTACACCTCTGAGTGCCAACCAATCAATAGCAGTCTCACCTATCTGCAGATGACATCACCTGCAACTGCCTCTGAAAGTCCACCAATCACTGAGCTCTATGCTTCCCACAAACCCCACAGAAGTTCCATCAGCCATCTGTTCTGCTCTGGCGACAGTGTCTAACCAGCATAGCTCTATCTTACAAAAAGAAGGAATAAATTCAGCTTTGTTATGTTATAACAGTTATTGAACGGTGGTCTCATCATCACTGGCCAATTGTAGAGCTGATTATACAGAAAAAGAAGTATAGTTTACAAGCCTGAACACGCACAGACATCAGGATTTATGTTAAGGAAGGAAAGTTACAGGAAAAAAACATAGTATGAGTCCATTTAAGAAAAAGTAAAAATCGCGTAAAACTGAATAAAACATTAATCAGGAACCCATATGAGATAACACTACAACGAAAATCAAGGGAATGATTGATACAAAGTTCAATATCATGGTTACTTTAGGAAAGGGAAGGTAATGGACCAGGAGGGGATCAGAGGCCTTCAAAGATATTGTTAATGTTGTATTCTTAAGCTGGCTATTGAATACAGTCATTCATTCTTTTGTTATGTTCATGCTGTACACATAGTTTATAAAAATTATATCTATGCAATATTTAATGACATTAAACAAGCATTTCTGAAGAGTTTGCAGTGTGCAGGCTCTGTAACATGTACTCTGCATGCACCTTCTCCTTATAACAAGCCTACGACATAGAAATTATACCCATTTTACAGATGAAGAAAACAAGGCTTGCAGTGGTTAAACAACTTTCCCAAGGACACAGGTTAGAGTGCCTAGGATTTGAACCCGAATGATCTGATGGCAGAGCCCAAAGTCTCACTTAAGTAATCTCTATACACAAGTCAGCAAAAAGCCATGGGTCTTGACAAAGTCTAAGAGCTAGTTTTGTGAGTGCATATGGCTTTAAGGGTCTAACTAATTAAGAGCAATGGGTGAAAGCTTCAGAGGGACATATTCGGGGTCACTATAAGAAAAGGCTTCCAAATACTCAGATCAAATCAGAAAGGGGATGGGCCACCTGTGGATGGTAAACTTCCTATCCCAAGCGGTGTTCAATCATGTTCTAGGCAGAACCTTACTGGAGATTTTATAGGAGAATAATCTCTCCTATAAACATACCAGACAGTGAGATTGAGCTATCCTCACAGTTCCTTCTGTCCTAGGACCTCAAATTTGCACTCACTGTGGTCCTAGGAAGAGTTCTGGACTAGCACTGAGTCTCTAAGCATCTATGTTTTATTTTAGAGCACTGTAAAAACTGGTGATAATTTGCTTTATTTTATTTTCCTTTATTCACCTGTGTCCAGAGTTGCTTTAGCAATTTCCAAATGTGACCAACAAGCTTTTTAAAAAAAATTTTGTATCATTATGAACACATGAGGTTTAATCTATTCCATATGTTTTTACTCATTTTAGTTATTATTCTTTTGATGCCCAAATTGACCCTGTAGGAGCCTCTTACAGTTACAGTTGGCCTATGAGTCTTTGATACTATCCCAATAGCCAGACAGCTTCCTCTCTTTCTGATTCCACATGAAGTTCCAGACTCATCTTGAAGATTTCCTGCCCTAAATCTGAAGACAACCATTTCTCCAAGGAGCCCTGGGTCCTTTTAATGAGAAATGGTGTCCTTCAGCATTAAGATCTGGATTCAGTGTGATGATTTAATATATGCATACATTGTATACTGATTACCACAATCAAATTAATGAGCACATCCATTACCAACCATAGTTATCACTTGTGTCTGTGTATGTGTGTGTATATGCATATGTGTGTGTGCTAAGGAGACTTGAAATCCTCTCTATCAAATTTCAAGTAAACACTACAGTAATCAGTACACACTGTATATGTATACCAAATCATCACATTGTACACATTAAATCTATATAATTTTGTTTGTCAATTAAGTATTTTAAAAAGAAAATGAAATTTAAAAGGAAGTCTGGAGGCAGATAGCTCAGGCCTGGAGGACACCTTGAGCATCCGTGAACTGAGTCACAAGGCTGATACAGAGACTTAGCTGTCCCGTTGTCAGCTAACTACCCCATAAGTAAAATATTTGAGTTTATTAGACAAGATTAAATGAGAGGGAACAAAATGCAAAATAATCAAAGGACAAAGAGGCTTGCCTGATTACAAAAATCAAGATTTAAGCAAGAAGCAAATGCATCAAGTCAACTGTTATTACTCACCTGCTATGTGCAAATCCAGTTCTAAGTGCTGAGTGATTGGTAATAAAGTCAGCTTCTTCTCAAAAGGCAGGAAGCCTCAGAAACATTTCTGACACCTCAGGCAGCAAGCTGGGGTATCGAGGAGACCTCCAGCCACATGATAAATGTGGCCTCATTCTACAGTCACTCTCCATATTCTGCCCCTTTTGCTACATTTGGGAGCCTACTGTTGAGATGAAAATCAGGAGGACCAGTCTCCAGATTGTGCTCCTCCCTCCACTCCACCACTCTTACTAGGAGTAGCTTTTAACTTTGCCACCAGCTCAGAATCTCAGGGCTATGGCCACACCAGTCTACTGAGACCAAAGATGTAATTTGCTGTCCCCAAGACTGGGTGAATAGGAGCAAGATTCAACCTCGCTACCCACTTTCTGACCTCAGGCCTCCCTCTTCCTCCACCCTAAGAAGAACCTTTAGTTCCAGACATGAAAAACTGGCATTCTAGCATTTATCCAGGGCTGTAGGCTGGTGTGAAATTCCACCAACCTACAGTCCTGATAAGTGAGCCTCATGGAATAGACTCACTGTGGAATAGACTCATTATGTAAATATTGGTCACTTTAACTTTCTGAGCTTCTCTTTCCCAAATGTCAATTGAGAATAACAATGAACACTGGGGGAATGAAGCCAAGATGGCTGAATAGGAACAGCTCCAGTCTACAGCTCCCAGAGTGAGAGACACAGAAAATGGGTGATTTCTGCATTTCCAACTGAAGTACTGGGTTCATCTCACTGGGGAGTGTCAGAGAGTGGGTGCAGGACACTGGGTGCAGCACACTGAGCATGAGCCAAAGCAGGGTGAGGCATCACCTCACCAGGGAAGCACAAAGGGTCAGGAAATTCCCTTTTCTAGTCAAAGAAAGTGTTGACAGACGGCACCTGGAAAATCGGGTCACTCCCACCCTAATACTGCACTTTTCCAATGGTCTTAGCAAACAGCACACCAGGAGATTATATCCCACACAAGGCTTGGAGGGGCCTATGCCCACGGATCCTCACTCATTGCTAGCATAGCAGTCTCAGATCAAACTGCAAGGTGGCAGCAAGCTGGGGGAGTGGTGCCCACCATTGCCGAGGCTTCAGTAGGTAAACAAAGCAGCCGGGAAGCTCAAACTGGCTGGAGCCCACTGCAGCTCAAGGAGGCCTGCCTACATCTGTAGACTCCACCTCTGGGGACATGGCATAGCCAAACAAAAGGCAGCAGAAACCTCTGCAGACTTAAATGTCCCTGTCTGACAGCTTTGAAGAGAGTAGTGGTTCTCCCAGCATGCAGCCAGAGATCTGAGAACGGGCAGACTGCCTCCTCAAGTGGGTCCCTGACCCCTGACCCCTTAGCAGCCTAACTGGGAGGCAGTAGGGGCAGACTGACACCTCACACGGCTGGGTACTCCTCTCAGACAAAACTTCCAGAGGAATGATCAGGCAGCAACATTTGCTGTTCACCAATATCCACTGTTCTGCAGCCTCTGCTGCTGATACCCAGGCAAACAGGGTCTGGAGTGGACCTCCAGTAAACTCCAACAGACCTGCAGCTGAGGGTCCTGAATTCTAGAAGGAAAACTAACAAACAGAAAGGACATCCACACCAAAACCCCATCTGTACGTCACCATCATCAAAGACCAAAGGTAGATAAAACCACAAAGATGAGGAACAAACAGAGCAGAAAAACTGGAAGCTCTAAAAATCAGAGTGCCTCTCCTCCTCCAAAGGAACACGGCTCCTCACCAGCAACAGAACAAACCTGGATGGAGAATGACTTTGACGAGTTGAGAGAAGAAGGCTTCAGATGATCAAACTACTCTGAGCTAAAGGAGGAAGTCCGAACCCATGGCAAAGCCGTTAAAAACCTTGAAAAAAAATTAGATGAATGGCTAACTAGAATAACCAATGCAGAGAAGTCCTTAAATGACCTGATGGAGTTGAAAACCATGGCATGAGAACTACGTGATGAATGCACAAGCCTCAGTAGCTGATTCAATCAACTGGAAGAAAGGGTATTGGGGATGGAAAATCAAATCAATGAAATGAAGCATGAAGAGAAGTTTAGAGAAAAAAGAAAAAAAAGAAATCAACAAAGCCTCCAAGAAACATGGGACTATGTGAAAAGAGCAAATCTACATCTAATTGGTGTACCTGAAAGAGACGGGGAGAATGGAACCAAGTTGGAAAACACTCTGCAGGATATTATCCAGGAGAACTTCCCCAATCTAGCAAGGCAGCCCAACATTCAAATTCAGGAACTACAGAGAATGCCACAAAGATACTCCTCGAGAGGAGCAACTCCAAGAGACATAATTGTCAGATTCACCAAAGTTGAAATCAAGGAAAAAATGTTGAGAGCAGCCAGAGAGAAAGGTCGGGTTACCCACAAAGGGAAGCCCATCAGACTAACAGCTCATGTCTTGGCAGAAACTCTACAAGCCAGAAGAGAGTGAGGGCCAATATTCAACATTCTTAAAGAAAAGAATTTTCAACCCAGAATTTCATATCCAACCAAACTAAGCTTCATAAATGAAGGAGACATAAAATCCTTTACAGACAAGCAAATGCTGAGAGATTTTGTCACCACCAGGCCTGCCCTAAAAGAGCTCCTGAAGGAAGCACTAAACATGGAAAGGGGCAACCCATACCAGCCACCACAAAAACATGCCACATTGTAAAGACCATCGATGCTAGGAAGAAACTGCATCAACTAACTAGCAAAATAACCAGCTAACATCATAATGACAGGATCAAATTCACACATAACAATATTAACCTTAAAAGTAAATGGGCTAAATGTTCCAGTTAAAAGACACAGACTGGAAAACTGGATAAAGAGTCAAGACCCATCAGTGTGCTGTATTCAGGAAACCCATCTCACATGCAGAGACACACATAGGTTCAAAATAAAGGGATGGAGGAAGATCTACCAAGCAAATGGAAAACAAAGGCAGGGGTTGCAATCCTAGTCTCTGATAAAACAGACTTTAAACCAACAAAGATCAAAAGAGACAAAGAAGGCCATTACACAATGGTAAAGGGATCAATTCAACAAGAAGAGCTAACTATACTAAACATACATGCACCCAGTACAGGGGCACCCAGATTCATAAAGCAAGTCCTTAGAGATCTACAAAGAGAATTAGACACCCACACAATAATAATGGGAGACTTTAACACCCCACTGTCAACATTAGACAGATCAACGAGACAGAAAGTTAACAAGGATACCCAGGAATTGAACTCAGCTCTGCACCAAGCAGACCTAATAGACATCTACAGAACTCTCCACCCCAAATCAACAGAATATACATTTTTTTAGCACCACACCACACCTATTCCAAAATTGACCACATAGTTGGAAGTAAAGCTCTCCTCAGCAAATGTAAAAGAACAGAAATTGTAACAAACTATCTCTCAGACCACAGTGCAATCAAACTAGAACTCAGGACTAAGAAACTCACTCAAAACCACTCAACTACATGGAAACTGAACAACCTGCTCCTGAATGACTACTGGGTACATAATGAAATGAAGGCAGAAACAAAGATATTCTTTGAAACCAATGAGAACAAACACACAACATACCAGAATCTCTGGGACATATTCAAAGCAATATGTAGAAGGAAATTTATAGCACTAAATGACCACATGAGAAAGCAGGAAAGATCTAAAATTGACACCCTAACATCACAATGAAAAGAAATAGAGAAGCAAGAGCAAACACATTCAAAAGCTAGCAGAAGGCAAGAAATAACTAAGATCAGAGCAGAACTGAAGGAAATAGAGACACAAAAAACCCTTCAGAAAATCAATGAATCCAGGAGCTGGTTTTTTGAAAAGATCAACAAAATTGATAGACCGCTAGCAAGACTAATAAAGAAGAAAAGACAGAAGAATCAAATAGATGCAATAAAAAATGATAAAGGGGATATCGCCACTGATCCCACAGAAATATAAACTACCATCAGAGAATATTATAAACACCTCTATGCAAATAAACTAGAAAATCTAGAAGAAATGGATAAATTCCTCCATACATACACCCTCCCAAGACTAAACCAGGAAGAAGATGAATCTCTGAATAGACCAATAACAGGCTCTGAAATTGAGGCAACAATTAATACCTTACCAACCAAAAACAGTCCAGGACCTGAAGGATTCACAGCCGAATTCTACCAGAGGTACAAGGAGGAGCTGGTACCATTCCTTCTGAAACTATTCCAATCAATAGAAAAAGAGGGAATCCTCCCTACCTCATTTTATGAGGCTAGCATCATCCTGATACCAAAGCCTGGCACAGACACAACAAAAAAAACAATTTTAGACCAATATCCCTGATGAACATCGATGCAAAAATCCTCAATAAAATACTGGCAAACCGAATCCAGCAGCACATCAAAAAGCTTATCCACCATGATCAAGTGGGCTTCATCCCTGGGATGCAAGGGCTGGTTCAACGTACACAAATCAATAAATGTAACCCAGTATACAAACAGAACCAATGACAAAAACCACGTGATTATTTCAATAGATGCAGAAAAGGCCTTTGACAAAATTCAGCAACCCTTCATGCTAAAAACTCTCAATAAATTAGGTATTGATGAGATGTATCTCAAAATAATAAGAGCTATCTATGACAAACCCACAGCCAATATCATACTGAATGGGCAAAAACTGGAAGCATTCCCTTTGAAAACTGGCACAAGACAGGGATGCCCTCTCTCACCACTCCTATTCAACATAGTGTTGGAAGTTCTGGCCAGGGCAATCAGGCAAGAGAAGGAAATAAAGGGCATTCGATTAGGAAAAGAGGAAGTCAAATTGTCCCTGTCTGCAGATGACATGATTGTATACCTAGAAAACCCCATCGTCTCAGCCCAAAATCTCCTTAAGCTGATAGGCAACTTCAGCAGAGTCTCAGTATACAAAATCAATGTGTAAAAATCACAAGCATTCTTATACACCAATAACAGACAAACAGAGAGCCAAATCATGAGTGAACTCCCATTCACAATTGCTTCAAAGAGAATAAAATACCTAGGAATCCAACTTACAAGGGATGTGAAGGACCTCTTCAAGGAGAAATATAAACCACTGCTCAACGAAATAAAAGAGGATACAAACAAATGGAAGAACATTCCATGCTCATGGGTAGGAAGAATCAATATCGTGAAAATAGCCATACTGCCCAAGGTAATTTATAGAGTCATTGCCATCCCCATCAAGCTACCAATGACCTTCTTCTCAGAATTGGAAAAAAACTACTTTAAAGTACATATGGCTCTCCCTCTCCCTCTCCCTCTCCCTCTCCCTCTCCCTCTCCTTCTCCCTCTCCCTTTCTTTGTTTCTTCAGTCTCCCTCTGTTGCCGAGGCTGGACTGTACTGCCATGGTCTCGGCTCGCTGCAGCCTCCCTGCCCTGGGCTCCCATGGTTCCCCTGCCTCGGCCTGCGGAGTGCCTGGGATTGTGGGTGCGCGCTGCCATGCCTTACTGGTTTTTGTATTTTTGGAGGAGACGGGGTTTCACCATGTTGACCGGGCTGGTCTCCGGCTCCTGACCTCGAGTGGTCTGCCCGCCTCGGCCTCCCAGGGTGCTGGGATTGCAGACGGAGTCTCACTCACTCAATGCTCAGTGTTGCCCAGGCTGGAGTGCAGTGGCGTGATCTCGGCTCACCACAACCTCCACCTTCCAGCCGCCTGCCTTGGCCTCCCAAAGTGCTAAGATTACAGCCTCTGCCCGGCCGCCACCCCGTCTGGGAAGTGAGGAGCATCTCTTCCTGGCCGCCCATTGTCCGGGATGTGAGGAGGGCTTCTGCCCGGCTGCCCCATCTGGGATATGAGGAGCGACTATGCCTGGCCACCCCATCTGGGAAGTGAGGAGCGCCTCTGCCCAGCCGCCCCATCTGGGAGGTGAGGAGCGCCTCTGCCCAGCCGCCACCCCATCTGGGAGGTGAGGAGCACCTCTGCCTGGCCGCCACCCCATCTGGGAGGTGAGGAGCACCTCTAACCGGCCACCTCCCCGTCTGGGATGTGAGGAGTGCCTCTGCCCAGCCGCCGGGTCTGGGAAGTGAGGAGTGCCTCTGCCTGGCCACCCCATCTGGGAAGCGAGGAGCGCCTCTGCCCAGCTGCCACCCCATCTGGGAAGTGAGGAGCGTCTCTGCCTGGCCGCCCATCGTCTGGGATGTGAGGAGCACCTATGCCTGGCCGCCCCATCTGGGAAGTGAGGAGCGCCTCTGCCCGGCTGCTCTGTCTGGGAGGTGAGGAGCGCCTCTGCCCGGCTGCCACCCCATCTGGGAGGTGAGGAGAGCCTCTGCCCAGCTGCCACCCAATCTGGGAGGTGACAAGTGCCTCTGCCTGGCCACCATCCCATCTGGGAGGTGAGGGGCCTATCTGCCCAGCCACCCTTCGTCTGGGAGGTGGGGAGCACCTCTGCCCGGCCGCCCTTCATCTGGGAGGTGGGAAGCACCTCTGCCCGGCCACCCCATCTGGGAAGTGGGCGCCTCTGCCTGGCCATCCCATCTGGGAGGTGAGGAGTGCCTCTGCCCGGCCACCCCGTCTGGGAAGTGAGGAGCATGTCTACCCAGCCGCCCCGTCTGGGAGGTGAGGAGTGCTTCTGCCTGGCCGCCCCATCTGGGAAGTGAGGAGCGCCTCTATCTGGCCGCCCCTTCTGGGAAGTGAGGAGTGCCTCTGCCCAGCTGCCCCGTCTGGGAGGTGAGGAGCACCTCTGCCCAGCCGCCACCCCATCTGGGAGGTGAGGAGCACCTCTGCCCGGCCGCCATCCCATCTGGGAGGTGAGGAGCGCCTCTAACCGGCCACCTCCCCATCTGGGATGTGAGGAGCACCTCTGCCCGGCTGCCAGGTCTGGGAAGCGAGGAGTGCCTCTGCCTGGCCACCCCATCTGGGAAGCGAGGAGTGCCTCTGCCCGGCTGCCACCCCGTCTGGGAAGTGAGGAGTGTCTCTGCCTGGCCGCCCATCATCTGGGATGTGAGGAGCACCTATGCCTGGCCGCCCCATCTGGGAAGTGAGGAGCGCCTCTGCCCGGCCGCTCCGTCTGGGAGGTGAGGAGTGCCTCTGCCCGGCCGCCCTGTCTGGGAGGTGAGGAGCACCTCTGCCCGGCTGCCACCCCATCTGGGAGGTGAGGAGAGCCACTGCCCAGCTGCCACCCAATCTGAGAGGTGACAAGCACCTCTGCCTGGCCACCACCCCATCTGGGAGGTGAGGAGCACCTCTGCCCGGCCGCCCCATCTGGGAGGTGAGGGGCCTATCTGCCCAGCCACCCTTCGTCTGGGAGGTGGGGAGCGCCTCTGCCCGGCCGCCCTTCATCTGGGAGGTGGGAAGCGCCTCTGCCCAGCCACCCCATCTGGGAAGTGGGCGCCTCTGCCTGGCCATCCCATCTGGGAGGTGAGGAGTGCCTCTGCCCGGCCACCCCGTCTGGGAAGTGAGGAGCGTGTCTACCCAGCCACCACGTCTGGGAGGTGAGGAGCGCTTCTGCCTGGCCGCCCCATCTGGGAAGTGAGGAGCGCCTCTATCTGGCCGCCCCTTCTGGGAAGTGAGGAGTGCCTCTGCCCGGCCACCACCCCGCCTCGGAGGCGAGGAGCACCTCTGCCCGGCCACCACCCCATCTGAGAGGCAAGGACCACCTCTGCCTGGCCGCCATCCTGTCTGGGAGGCGAGGAGCACCTCTGCCCAGCCGCCGCCCCACCTGGGAGGTGAGGAGCGCCTCTGGCCAGCCGCCCCACCTGGGAGGCGAGGAGCGCCTCTGCCTGGCTGCCCCATCTGGGAGGTGAGGAGCGCCTCTGCCCAGCCACCACCCCATCTGGGAAGTGAGGAGCGTCTCTGCCAGGCTGCCCCATCTGGGAAGTGTACCCAACAGCTCCGAAGAGACAGCGACCATTGAGAACGGGCCATGATGACGATGGCGGTTTTGTCAAAAAGAAAAGGGGGAAATGTGGGGAAAAGAAAGAGAGATCAGATTGTTACTGTGTCTGTGTAGAAAGAAGGTGACATAGGAGACACCATTTTGTTCTGTACTAAGAAAAATTCTTCTGCCTTGGGATGCTGTTAATGTACAACCTTACCCCCAACCCCGTGCTCGCTGAAACATGTGCTGTGTCAACTCAGGGTTAAATGGATTAAGGGTGGTGCAAGATGTGCTTTGTTAAACAGATGCTTGAAGGCAGCACGCTCATTAAGAGTCATCACCACTCCCTAATCTCAAGTACCCAGGGACACAAACACTGCTGAAGGCTGCAGGGACCTCTGCCTACGAAAACCAGAGACCTTTGTTCACCTGTTTATCTGCTGACCTTCTCTCCACTATTATACTATGACTCTGCCACATCCCCCTCTCTGAGAAACACCCAAGAATGATCAATAAATACTAAAAAAACAAATTAATTAATTAAATAAATTTCATATGGAACCAAAAAAGAGCCCGCATTGCCAAGTCAATCTTAAGCCAAAGGAACAAAGCTGGAGGCATCACACTACCTGACTTCAAACTATACTACAAGGCTACAGTAACCAAAACAGCACGGTACTGGTACCAAAACAGAGATATAGACCAATGGAACAGAACAGAGCCTTCAGTAATAATGCCACATATGTACAACTATCTGATCTTTGACAAACCTGACAAAAACAAGAAATGGGGAAAGGATTCCCTATTTCATAAATGGTGTTGGGAAAACTGGCTAGCTAATAAATGGTGTAGGGAAAACTGGCTAGCCATATGTAGAAAGCTGAAACTGGATCCCTTCCTTACATCTTATACAAAAATTAATTCAAGATGGATTAAAGACTTACATGTTAGACCTAAAACCATAAAAACCCTAGAAGAAAACCTAGGCAATACCATTCAGGACATAGGCATGGGCAAGGACTTCATGCCTAAAACACCAAAAGCAATGGCAATGAAAGCCAAAATTGACAAATGGGATCTAATTAAACTAAAGAGCTTCTGCACAGCAAAAGAAACTACCATCAGAGTGAACAGGCAACCTACAGAATGGGAGAAAATTTTTGCAATCTACTCATCTGACAAAGGGCTAATATCCAGAATCTACAATGAACTCAAACAAATTTACAAGAAAAAAACAAACAACCCCATCAAAATGTGGGCCAAGGAAAAGAACAGACACTTCTCAAAAGAAGGCATTTATGCAGCCAAAAGACACATGAAAAAATGCTCATCATCACTGGCCATCAGAGAAATGCAAATCAAAACCACAATGAGATACCATCTCACACCAGTTAGAATGGTGATCGTTAAAAAGTCAGGAAACAACAGGTGCTGGAGAGGATGTGGAGAAATAGGAATACTTTTACACTGTTGGTGGGACTGTAAACTAGTTCAACCATTGTGGAAGTCAGTGTGGCGATTCCTCAGGGATCTAGAACTAGAAATACCATTTGACCCAGCCATCCCATTACTGGGTATATACCCAAAGGATTATAAATCATGCTGCTATAAAGACACATGCACACATATGTTTATTGTGGCACTATTCACAAGAGCAAAGACTTGGAACCAACCCAAATGTCCAACAATGATAGACTGGATTAAGAAAATGTGGCACTTATACACCATGGAATACCAAGCAGCCATAAAAAATGATGAGTTCATGTCCTTTGTAGGGACATGGATGAAGCTAGAAACCATCATTCTCAGCAAACTATTGCAAGGACAAAAAACCAAACACTGCATGTTCTCACTCATAGGTGGGAATTGAACAATGAGAACACATGGACACAGGAAGGGGAACATCACACACTGGAGCCTGCTGTGAGGTGGGGGGTTGGGGGAGGGATAGCATTAGGAGATATACCTAATGCTAAATGACGAGTTAATGGGTGCAGCACACCAACATGGCACATGTATACATATGTAACTAACCTGCATGTTGTGCACATGTACCCTAAAACCTAAAGTATAATAATAAAAAATAAGCTTATAAAATGCTTTTAATGCTATATAACTTTATAACTCTGAAAGAATAATAGATTTGTATTATGCTGTCAGTGAGTAGGTCTATTAAGTGATAACATTAAACACAAATACCACCATTTATAAAGTATGATTTTGATATCATCGGTTGTGTATTTTCACCCCAAACTCTGTAGATAGTAACTTTGTTTTCTCACTTGACCATGCTCAATCTTTAGAGACCATGCTCTTCTCTCAAAATGACTGTAGGTTCATCCAAGTATGTTTGCTACCCAAAATCAATGAAACACAGTCACAACTATGTCTGTCTAGGAATAAAGCCAGCTAATTAGATTCTTATTCTAAGGAACAAGAAGAGGGCGGGTAAGAATTTGATTATGGCAGAATTCTGACCATAATCAATAACTGTTTTCTATTTTTTCTCCATGTTGTCGGGTGGTTCATACCTGACTTTCATCATTTCCAATGATTCCTGTTTGTTTTGTTTATAAATTTCAAAATCATCATGAAAAGTTTCACTGAATGAAAACCTGAAAATTGGGGAAATAAACATTTTTCTGCAAAAAAAAAACAATGAACACTGACTTCTTCTATTTCTCAAAGTCATCTCAAAGCCATATGAGGATTACCACAAACTTGCAGGTGAGAAAATGCTTTGCAATGTAAGAAGTGCCATGCAAATTAGTTGATGCTATTATAATTAGTCTCAGGGATCAAAAATGCTTGAACCCTAAATCTAACACTTCAAAGGAAAGCATTATTTTTCATTCATTTTACAAGTTACACCTCCCTTCTTCCCCACATCTTTGTTTAGAATCTGGACCCTGAAGTTAGAGGACCAAGATTCAAATCCCAGCCTCATCAGTACTAGCTATGTGATATTGGGAATGTTACTTGATCCCTGCTTATCTTACTTTCTGCATTTATTAAATGGGGATGAGAATAATATCTACCCAAATAAGGTGCCCAATGCAGTGCCCAACAGCATGAAGCCCAATAAAGGTTAGTTAACATCACATCCATAATTGACACCTTTAGGTATTAGATTTTCATCATCCCAGAACATTTTCCTTCTTTAAGCCTTTTTCTTTCTAAGTGGCACTTTCTTGGATACTGATTGCACTCCTCACAAACTTGAAACGTTCAAACACACAAGATGCCATTTAGGAGACATTGGAACTTGGGTTTCCTTCTCTGTAAAACTGAGTAATGACAGTCACCTCCCAGGGCTGTTGTAAGAATGAATGAGCTAGAGTATGTAAAATATCTTAGCACAGAGTGCTTAAGAAATTATTAGTTCCAGCCAAGCGTGGTGGCTCACGCCTGTAATCCCAGCACTTAGGGAGGCCAAGGCAGGCGGCTCATCTGGGGTCAGGAGTTCAAGACCACCCGGTCAACATGGTGAAACCCCGTCTCTACTAAAAATACAAAATTAGCCAGGCGTGGTGGCATGTGCATGTAATCCCAGCTACTCAGGAGGCTGAGACAGGAGAATCACTTGAACCCAGGAGGTGGAGGTTGCAGTGAGCCGAGATCATGCCATTGCACTCCAGCCTGGGCAACAAGAGTGAAACTCTGTCTCAAAAAAAAAAAAAAAAAAAAAAGAAGAAGAAGAAGAAAGAAGGAAAGAAAGAGAGAGAGAGAGAGAAAGAAAGAAAGAAAGAAAGAAAGAAAGAAAGAAAGAGAAAGAAAGAAAGAGAAAGAAAGAAAGAAAAGAAAGAAAGAAGGAAAGAGACAGAAAGAAAGAAGGGAAGAAAGAAAGAAAGAAAGAAAGGAAGAAGGGAAGAAAGAAAGAAAGAAAGAAAAAGAAAGAAAGAAAGAGAAAGAAAGAAAGAAAGAAAGAAAGAAAGAAAGAAAGAAAAGAAAGAAAGAAAGAAAGGAGAGACAGAAAGAAGGAAAGAAGGAAGGAATTATTTCCCTTTTTCCCACCCACGCCTCACCACAAACCTTGTTGTGGGGATAACATGTAAAAGTGAACAAAACTGAGAAGATCACATCGCATATCACTCAGCCTCTAGTGGGAGACACAGGCAATAAACAGGAAAAGTTAAAAACAGTACTAGGTAGTGGTGAGTGCAATTAGCCTCCCGCAGCATAAAGGGAGGAGAATAACCAGTGGCTCTTTCATGCAGAGAATCAGGGTAGACCTCTGGGGAGAGACCCGCACTCAGACTGGGATGGAATTATTTATTTTATGCGTGTTCAGTTAGGACTTGTAGAGGTGCTCTGTCGTGATTATCTAATCTTGGGAGGAACAATGTCAGACGGGTTTCAAGATGAGTATGAGAATTGGTCTTCCTTCTGAAAAAACAAGAATTGAGTTCACACTAATCACAAATACATCAAGCCTATTTGAGTCTTGTGTGTGTCATGGATTGAAGTGTATCTTTCCACTTAGTCAAGAAGTTCCAATGAGAAGAATGCTCCTTAACTTCCTAAGTGCAACAGAGTAGTTGAACTGAGCCATGGATGGTAAATCTACTTAAGAAAGCACATGCCATGGAAAGGTAGCATTGGCTGCCCTGCCTACTTCTGATGGCACAGCCTTGCAGGAAGGGAAAGAAGCCAAGAGGCAAAAGCCTGGTCTTGTTCTGAAAGGCACAAGGAGGTGGAAGATTAGGGGAAACTCACCCAAAAATGACTCAGCTCTGAACTCAGACTCAAGAAGCCACAATAAGCAACATGAATGGAACTGGAGGGAAATAAACCAGGCGTAGAAACACAAATGTTGCATATTCTTACTCATGTGGGAACTAAAAACATGCATTTCAAGGAGAATAGAATGATGGTTATCAGAGACTGGGAACAGTTGTGGGTGGGGGTGTTAAGAGAGGTTGCTTAATGGGTACAAACATATAGTTAGATAGAAGGTATAAGTTCTAATGTTTGACAGCAGAGTAGGAGAACTATAGTTAACAGTAATATATTGTATACTCCAAAATAGCTAGACAGGAAGATTTGAAATGTTCCCAACACATAGAAATGACAAAAGCTTGAGGTAATGGATACCCTAAATATCCTGACTTGATCATTACACAGTCTATGCGTGTAACGAAATACCATATGTACCCCATAAATATGTACAAATATTATGTATCAATAAAAATTTTTAAAAAGAAGCTGCAATCAACATTTCATCATTATCTTTTCAGCAGCATCCTTATAAAGTTACAGAGACATCTTAAGATGTATCCCTCTTCCTCTGAATCTTCCTGGGATAGAACAAATGAAAACTAAACAAGGAGTGGGCTGGGAGGAGCTGTCAACATCCATCCTAAGGAAAAGTCTGTTAGGGCTATGAGCTTCCTCTGTCCTAGAGTAGAGCTGGGAAAATAGAGTCTTGACAATTGATTTCTTATTCTTTCTTTCTCTAAATCCCCAATGAATATGTTTTTCTTTTTAGTGCTCAGTGGTAGACAGGGCTTAATTCTGTTTAGTTATGCAAACAGGCCAGAAGAAACTGAAATAGGCTATAAATGTTTGAAGCTGGCCAAAAGAAGATGTAGTCACACAAGATACCCTCTGGAGGAAAGTGACTGTCAGGAAAGTCACTTTCCTGACCAGCAAAAGGACCAGCACTATTTTGTCCTGCTGAAGAAGTACATTTGTCCTGCTGCTGTCATGGGGACAGTGGCTCCAGGGCTTCCTGTGGACATGCCACAAGTTCCACTCCATGAGTCAGGAGATCATGCGGTCAGCTGGGGGGAACTTAGGGTTGCTCTCTTGAGCTTAGCCTTATGCTGCGTATCTGCTTTGCCAACCACAAAAACGATAGTTTCATAGCAAGTTGCAGGCTCCCTGGAAACTTAACCTACCTACTAGGATACATTTACAGCTGCTTTTCTCCTGGCATCAGGCTGGAGATCAAGAAATACATAAAACATAGTCCCTGCCCTCAGTTAGCTCAGAATATGGTGGGGGAATGGAGACAGAAGCAAATACTGGTGGGACAAGTGACGATGGGCCAAAATATGGGCTTAAACAAAGGTTGTGGGAGCTCAGAAAAGGAGCAACTCACTCTGCCTGAAAGAGTCATGGAGGGCTCCACGGAAAAAGCAACATTTGTGCAGGAGGAGATTAGAACACAGAGGAGGAGGATAGCAGCACTCCAGATGAAGGGAAGGAAATGTGCCAAGATTTCATGGGAATGAGAAGATGTAAACTGCTCAGGAAAAACCATGGTTGAAGCTCTTCACAGTGGCTGAAGCATGGTGTGATTGTCAGTTTTGCTTGTCAACTTGGCCAGGCTGTAGTACTCAACTATTCAACCAAGCACTGATCTAGGTATTGCTGTGAAGGTATTTTGTAGTCGCAATTAACCTCTACAATCAGTTGACTCTATTTAAAGGACATTATTCTGTACTATCTGAGTGGACCTGATCCACTTCATCCCAAAGGTAAATGATTCTCCAACAGTGTTCTCATCTACATCTAGGGCTTGGAAGATGAAGGTGAAGGAGAATATGGAACAACAACAAGAAAAAAGTCAATCAATCAGAACTTCCAGCCCTGTGTTTGTTAGTTCACTTTATGTTCAACCAGTATGTCTCCACTTTTATCTGCTTCCTTGTAAGATTTCATCTGAAAAAGGGAATTCACTCTTCAGGTGTTGGAAATCAATTATGAGAGAAGCACTTACAGAATGACTATCTGAAGAGCTCTGCAGACATTCTCCAGAGTAAAACAACCATAACCGGTGAAAATTAAAAACAAACAAAATAAAAAAATGTTAGAGTATTGGAAATTGTTCTAAGGGCCGACAGCAAATGAAGAAATCCAAGAAAGCCTACCAATTTCAGTGAGAGGAGTGAGAGTCTATGGTGTTGAGTCTATGGTGTTTAAGTTATGTTCATTTCCTCCCTCTCCTGCAATCAGTTCAGTGAAACAGAAACCCTGCTCCAGAGATGTGCAGCCAAAAAGACAGGGTGCCCTTTCCCCTCAGCTCCCAATCTAGGGCAGACTACCAGCATTTCCCAAGCCCATCTCTGGCTCTATGTTGCAGAAGTTCTATTCCAAGAAAGTTTGACTGAGAATCTGAAGCTTCCTTCTTCCACTCAGCCTCTACTATTAAGGCGTAAGTTCTATCCCCAGTGCCACGGGCCAAGAATACTGATGCTGAATGTCCTTGCTCCGCTACACTCATAGGGCAGAGATTCCATGGGAGGAGTGAAGTTTCCATTCCAGAAAAGGCAGAAAAACAGAAATTATTGCCCAATCCAGTACCCCACCCATAAAGAAGGAAAGACATCTGAGAAAAGCATGACACTGTCCCCAAAACCACCTGCAGAGTAGTGGCAGTAGAGGCAGTAGGGAGACTAGAGGACCTGCCTAGAGGGAGAAGTAGGCCATAAGAAGAAAAGTCTCTAGTTCTCCCTAAAGGGACAAACTTTATTTGCAACAGAACATGCGGAAGTTCAAGCCTAAGGGCACTGTCAAAAACAATGAATATTTTGGTGGTAAGCAATTAATAGGTTAATGGCAGCTTAGTGAGAGCAACAAACTAAACCATAAACCAGCTAGACATATACAATAAAAATCCAAGAAAGAGAGAGCCAAGAAGGGCCTTCCTGAGGTTAAAACAAACATCAAAGTCTTGTCTGAAAAACTGCTCCTGCAAAGGAAGCAAAATATATTTGGATCAGACTGTGGAGCAATTTATGCCCCTAAAAAGCTGTCAAAACCAAAAGAGCAATTATCTAGCAATTGCTGGAGGTTAACAGTTGGGTATGATACCAAAAGAGGCAAACAACTGAACAGATCAGAGAAAGAGGCAGTCAAAGAGAGCACTGCTAAATGCACTGTAATTCCAATTTGAGAGAAAATGTGCCCAGTGCTGTGACTCCCTCAGGAACAACATCAGAGGCCACAAATTATGGTGGAAATAGGCTTCACTATATAGTCTAGCCAGGCAATTAAACAAATAAACAATTAAACAACAGTAACATAGTGAGGGGGGCAGAAATGAGTATTGCAACTAGCTAGAACATATTTTTGAACAAAAAAATTATGAGTCAAGCAGAGATATGGAAAAGACAGAGCCATACACCAGAAAAAAGGTAAGCAAGAGAAACTGCCTTTGTGAGTGCCAAGATGTCAGACATAGCAGAAAAAAAACCTCAAAGTAATTATTATAAATATGTTCAAAAACTAAAAGAAAATGTGCTTAAAAAATAAAAGATGGTATGATAATTTCTTGTCAATTCAAAAATACCAATAATAGATTAAAAATATTTTTTCAAAAGTTAATTAACCAAATGGAAATTCTGGGGTTTAAAAGTAAAATAACAACAATAAGAACATTTTGCTAGAGGAAATGAACAATAGATTTGTACTAGAAGGAAAAATAATCAAATAAACAGGGATTTCATCAACACCAAACCTGTCTTACAAGAAATACTAAAGGGAGTTCAATCTGAAAGAAAGAACATTAACAAGCAACAGGAAATCATCTGAAGGTACAAAACTCACTGTACCTTCAGATGATAATAAGTCCTCAAAAAACACAGAATATTATAACACTGTAATTATGGTGTGTAAGCTACTTATATCATAAGTAGAAAGAGGAAAAGATGAACTGATTAAAAAACAATTACAACAGCTTTTCAAGACAGTATAATAAGATATATAAATAACAGAAAGCTTAAAAGCATATAAATAAAGTTAAAATGTAGAGGTTTTTTTAGTTTTCTTTTTGCTTGATTGTGTATTTATTTATGCAATCAGTGTTGTTTTCATCAGCATAAAATAATGGGTTATAAGATAGTATTTGCAAGCCTCATAGTAACCTCAAATTTAAAAACATACAATGGATACACAAAAAGTGAAGAGCAAGAAATTAAAACATACCACCAAAAAAAATACTTTCACTAAAAAGGAGACAGGAAGTAAGAAAAGATGGGAGAGAAGATCACAAAACAACCAGAAAATAAATAACAAAATGGCAAGCAAGTCCTTATTTGTCAATAATAATATTGAATGTAAATGGACTATACTCTCCAGTAAAAAGATATAGAGTGGTTGAATGGATTAAAAAAAAAGGACCCAATGATCTGTTACCTACAAGAAATAAACTTCACTTATAACAATACACAGACTAAAAATAAAGTCATGGGAAATGATACTTCACGACAATGGAAACCAAAAAAGAACAGGAGTAGCTATACCTTTATCAGACTAAATAGATTTCAAGACAAAAATTGTTAAGAAAAACCAAATAAGGTCATTTTATAATGATAAAGAGATCAGTTAAGCAAGAGGATGTAACAATTGTAAATATATATGCACTCAACATTGGAGCACCTAGATAAATAAAACAAATATTATTAGAGCTAAAGAAAGATAGACCCCCTCCCCCAAAACAATAATAGCTGTAGAATTCAATGCTCCACTTTCAGCATTGGACAGATCTTCCAGACAGAAAATCAGCAAGGAAACATCAGATGTAATCTGAACTATAGACCAAATGGGCCTAATAAGTATTTACAGAATATTTCATCCAAAGGTTACAGAAGACACATTTTTCTCCTTAGCACATACATCATTCTCAAGAACAGGCCATATATTAGGTCATGAATCAAGTCTCAAAACATTCAAAAAAACTGAAATAATCTCAAGCATCTTCTCTGACCACAATGGAATAAAACTAGAAACCAATAACAAGGGGAATTTTGGAAACTATACAAAAACATGGAAATTAAACAATATGTTCCTAAATGATAAGTGGGTCAATGAAGAAATTATGAAATGAATTGAAAATTTTCTAAAAACAAATGACAATGGAAACATAATGCACCAGAACCTATGGGATACAACAAAAGCAGTACCAAGAGTGATATTTCCAGATAAGGGCCTACATCAAAAAGGAAGAAAAACTTCAAGTGAATAACCTGATGATGCATCTTAAAGAATTAAAAAGGCAAGAGTAAACCAAACCCAAAATTAGTAGAAGAAAAGAACTAATAAAGATCAGAGTAGAAATAAATAAAATTGGACTTCTGCTCCAAGATGGCCTAATAGAAACAGCTCCAGTCTGCAGCTCCCAGCATGACTGGCACAGAAGATGGGTGATTTCTGCATTTCCAACTGAGGTACCAGGTTCATCTCATTGGGACTGGTTGGACAATGGATGCAGCCCATGGAGGGTGAGGTGAAGCAGGGTGAGGAGTCACCTCACCCCGGAAGCACAAGTGATTGGGGGATTTCCCTTTCCTAGCCAAGGGAAGCCGTGACAGACTGTACCTGGAAAATCGGTTCACTCCCACCCAAATACTGTGCTTTTCCCATAGTCTTAGCAACCGGCAGACCAGGAGATTCTCTCCCAAGCCTAGCTCATCAGGTCCCATGCCCACGGAGCCTGGCTCACTGCTAGCACAGCAATCTGAGATCAACCTGCGAGGCTGCAGCTGGGTGGGGGGAGGGGTGTCAGCCATTGCTGAGGACTGAGTAGGTAAACAAAGTGGCCAGGAAGCTCAAACTGGGCAGAGCCCACCGCAGCTCAGCAAGGCCTACTGCCTCTATAGATTCCACCTCTGTGGGCAGGGCATAACTGAACAAAAGGCAGCAGACAACTTCTGCAGATTTAAACGTCCCTGCCTGACAGCTCTGAAGAGAGCAGTGGTTGCCCCAGCATGGCATCTGAGCTCTGAGAACAGACAGACTGCCTCCTCAAGTGGGTCCCTAAACTCCATGTAGCCTAACTGGGAGACACCTCCCCATAGGGGCCGACAGACACCTCATACAGGTGGGTGCCACTCTGGGACAAAGCTCTCAGAGGAAGGATCAGGAAGCAATATTTGCTCTTCTGCAATATTTGCTGTTCTGCAGCCTCTGCTGGTGATACCCAGGCAAACAGAGTCTGGAATGGACCTCCAGCAAACTCCAGCAGACCTGCAGCTGAGGGACCTGACTGCTAGAAGGAAAACTAACAAACAAAAAGGAATAGCATCAACATCAACAAAAAGGACATTCACACCAAAACCTCATCTGTAGTCACCAATATCAAAGACCAAAGGTAGATAAAACCACAAAGATGGGGAGAAACCAGAGCAGAAAAGCTGAAAATTCTAAAAACTGAGCACCGCTTCTCCTCCAGAGGATTGCAACTCCTCACCGGCAACGGAATGAAGCTGGGTGGAGAATGACTTTGACAAGTTGGCAGAAGTAGGCTTCAGAAGGTCGGTAATAACAAACTACTCCAAACTAAAGGAGCATGTTCTAACCCATTGCAAGGAAGCTAAAAAACCTTCAAAAAAGGTTAGACAAATGGCTAACTAGAATAAACAGTGTAGAGAAGAACTTAAATGACCTGATGGAGCTGAAAACCGTGGCATGAGGACATCATGATGCATGCACAAGCTTAAATAGCTGATTAAATCAAGTGGAAGAAAGAATATCAGTGACTGAAGATCAAATTAACAAAATAAAGCAAGAAGATAAGATTAGAGAAAAAAGAGTAAAAAGAAATGAAAAGCACCTCCAAGAAATATGGGACTATGTGAAAAAACCAAATCTACACTTGATTGGTGTACCTGAAAGTGATGGGGAGAAGGAAACCAAGTTGGAAAACACTCTTCAGAATACTATCCAGGAGAACTTCCCCAAACTAGCAAGGCAGGCCAACATTCAAATTCAAGAAATACAGAGAACACCACAAAGATACTCCTCAAGAAGAGCAACCCCAAGACACATAATTGTCAGCTTCACCAAGGTTGAAATGAAGGAAAAAAATGTTAAGGGCAGCCAGAGAGAAACGTTGGGTTACCAACAAAGGGAAGCCCATCAGACTAAAAGTAGCTCTCTCAGCAGACACCCTGTAAGCCAGAAGAGAGTAGGGGTCAATATTCAACATTCTTAAAGAAAAGAATTTTCAACCCAGAATTTCATATCCAGCCAAACTAAGCTTCATAAGTGAAGGAGAAATAAAATCCTTTACAGACAAGCAAATGCTGAGAGATTTTGTCACCATCAGGCCTGCCTTACAAGAGCTCCTGAAGGAAACACTGAACATGGAAAGGAACAACTGTTACCAGCCACTGCAAAAACACGCCACATTGTAAAGACCATCGATGACATGAAGAAACTGCAACAATTAACTGGCAAAATAAGCAGCTCACAACATAATGACAGGATCAAGTTCACACATAACAATATTAACCTTAAATGTAAATGGGCTAAATGCCTCAATTGAAGACACAGACTGGCAAATTGCATAGAGTCAAGACCCATCAGTGTGCGGTATTCAGGAGACCCATCTCACATGCAAAGACACACATAGGGATGGAGGAAGATCCACCAAGCAAATGGAAAGCCAAAAAAAAAAAAAAAAAAAAAAAAAAAAAGCAGGGTTTGCAATCCTAGTCTCTGATAAAACAGAGTTTAAACCAACAAAGATCCAAAGAGACAAAGAAAGCCATTACATAATGGTAAAGGGATCAATGCAACAAGAAGAACAAACTATCCTAAATATATATGCAACCAATATGGGAGCACCCAGATTCATAAAGCAAGTCTGTAGAGACGTACAAAGAGATGTAGACTTCCACACAATAATAATGGGAGACTTTAACACTCCACTGTCAATATTAGACAGATCAATGACACAGAAGGGTCACAAAGATATCCAGGACTTGAATTCAGCTATTCACCAAGTGGACCTAATAGACATCTACAGAACTCTACACCCCAAATCAACAGAATGTACATACTTCTCAGCACCACATCATACTTATTCTAAAATTGACCACATAATTGGAAGTAAAACACTCCTCAGCAAATGTAAAAGAACAGAAATCACAACAAACTGTGTCTCAGACTACAGTGCAAACAAATTAGAACTCTGGATTAATAAACTCACTCAAAATCACACAACTACATGGAAACTGAATAACCTGCTCCTGAATGACTACTGGGTACATAATGAAATGAAGGCAGAAATAAAGATGTTCTTTGCAACCAATAAGAACAAAGACACAACATACCAGATTCTCTGGGACACATTTAAAGCAGTGTGTACAGGGAAAATTATAGCACTAAATGCCCACAAGAGAAAGCAGGAAAGAACTAAAATCAACAACCTAACATCGCAATTAAAAGAACTAGAGAAGCAAGAGCAAACACATTCAAAAGCTAGCAGAAGGCAAGAAATAACTAAGATCAGAACAGAACTGAAGGAGATAGAGACACAAAAAGCACTTCAAAAAAATCAATGAATCCAGGAGCTGGTTTTTAAAAAGATCAACAAAATTAATAGACCGCTAGCAAGAATAATACAGAAAAGAGAGAAGAATCAAATTAGACACAATAAAAAAAGATAAAGGGGATATCACCACTGATCCCATAGAAATACAAACTACCATCAGAGAATACTATAAACACCTCTACATAAATAAACTAGAAAATCTAGAAGAAGGGGGAGGAGCCAAGATGGCCAAATAGGAACAGCTCCAGTCTACAGCTCCCAGCGTGAGTGACACAGAAGACGGGTGATTTCTGCATTTCCATCTGAGGTACCGGGTTCATCTCACTAGGGAGTGCCAGACAGTGGGCGCAGGTCAGTGGGTGCGCGCACTGTGTGCGAGCCAATGCAGGGTGAGGCGTTGCCTCACTCGGGATGTGCAAGGGGTCAGGGAGTTCCCTTTCCTAGTCAAAGAAAGGGGTGACAGATGGCACCTGGAAATTCGGGTCACTCCCACCTGAATACTGCACTTTTCCAACGGGCTTAAAAAACGGCGCACCTGGAGAGTATATCCCGCACCTGGCTTGGAGGGTCCTATGCCCACGGAGTCTTGCTGATTGCTAGCACAGCAGTCTGAGATCAAACTGCAAGGCAGCGGCGAGGCTGGGGGAGGGGCGCCTGCCATTGCCCAGGCTTGCTTAGGTAAACAAAGCAGCTGGGAACCTCAAACTGGGTGGATCCCACCACAGCTCAAGGAGGCCTGCCTGCCTCTGTAGGCTCCACCTCTGGGGGCAGGGCAGAAACAAACAAAAAGACAGCAGTAACTACTGCAGACTTAAATGTCCCTGTCTGACAGCTTTGAAGAGAGCAGTGGTTCTCCCAGCACGCAGCTGGAGATCTGAGAACGGGCAGACTGCCTCAAGTGGGTCCCTGACCCCTGACCCCCGAGCAGCCTAACTGGGAGGCATCCCCGAGCAGAGGCAGACTGACACCTCACACAGCCGGGTACTCCAACAGACCTGCAGCTGAGGGTCCTGTCTGTTAGAAGGAAAACTAACAAACAGAAGGACATCCACACCAAAAACCCATCTGTACATCACCATCATCAAAGACCAAAAGTAGATAAAACCACAAAGATGGGGAAAAAACAGAGCAGAAAAACTAGAAACTCTAAAAGGCAAAGCGCCTCTCCTCCTCCAAAGGAATGCAGTTCCTCACCAGGAATGGAACAAAGCTGGACGGAGAATGACTTTGACGAGCTGAGAGAAGAAGGCTTCAGATGATCAAATTACTCCGAACTACGGGAGGACATTCAAACCAAAGGCAAAGAAGTTGAAAACGTTCAAAAAATTTAGAAGAATGTATAACTAGAATAACCAATACAGAGAAGTGCTTAAAGGAGCTGATGGAGCTGAAAACCAAGGCTCGAGAACTACGTGAAGACTCAGGAGCCAATGCGATCAACTGGAAGAAAGGGTATCAGCGATGGAAGATGAAATGAATGAAATGAAGTGAGAAGGAAAGTTTAGAGAAAAAAGAATAAAAAGAAATGAACAAAGCCTCCAAGAAATATGGGACTATGTGAAAAGACCAAATCTACATCTGATTGGCGTACCTGAAAGTGACGGGGAGAATGGAACCAAGTTGGAAAACACTCTGCAGGATATTATCCAGGAGAACTTCCCCAATCTAGCAAGGCAGGCCAACATTCAGATTCAGGAAATACAGAGAACGCCACAAAGATACTCCTCGAGAAGAGCAACACCAAGACACATAATTGTCAGATTCACCAAAGTTGAAATGAAGGGAACAATGTTAAGGGCAGCCAGAGAGAAAGGTCGGGTTACCCTCAAAGGGAAGCCCATCAGACTAACAGCGGATCTCTCGGCAGAAACTCTACAAGCCAGAAGAGAGTGGTGGCCAATATTCAACATTCTTAAGGAAAAGAATTTTCAAACCAGAATTTCATATACAGCCAAACTAAGCTTCATAAGTGAAGGAGAAATAAAATCCTTTACAGACAAGCAAATGCTGAGAAATTTTGTCACCACCAGGCCTGCCCTAAAAGAGCTCCTGAAGGAAGTGCTAAACATGGAAAGGAACAACCGGTACCAGCCGCTGCAAAATCATGCCAAAATGTAAAGACCATCGAGACTAGGAAGAAACTGCATCAACTAACGAGCAAAACAACCTGCTAACATCATAATGACAGGATCAAATTCACACATAACAATATTAACTTTACATGTAAATGGACTAAATGCTGCAATTAAAAGACACAGACTGGCAAATTGCATAAAGATTCAAGACCCATCAGTGTGCTGTATTCAGGAAACCCATCTCACGGGCAGAGACACACATAGGCTCAAAATAAAGGGATGGAGGAAGACCTACCAAGCAAATGGAAAACAAAAAAAAGGCAGGGGTTGCAATCCTAGTCTCTGATAAAACAGACTTTAAACCAACACAGATCAAAAGAGACAAAGAAGGCCATTACTTAATGGTAAAGGGATCAATTCAACAAGAAGAGCTAACAATCCTAAATATATATGCACCCAATACAGGAGCACCCAGATTCATAAAGCAAGTCCTGAGTGACCTACAAAGAGACTTAGACTACCACACATTAATAATGGGAAACTTTAACACCCCACTGTCAATATTAGACAGATCAACAAGACAGAAAGTCAACAAGGATACCCAGGAATTGAACTCAGCTCTGCACCAAGCAGACCTAATAGACATCTACAGAACTCTCCACCCCAAATCAACAGAATATACATTTTTTTCAGCACCACACCATACCTATTTCAAAATTGACCACATACTTGGAAGTAAAGCTCTCCTCAGCAAATGTAAAAGAACAGAAATTATAACAAACTGTCTCTCTAACCACAGTGCAATCAAACTACAACTCAGGATGAAGAAACTCACTCAAAACTGCTCAACTACATGGAAACTGAACAACCTGCTCCTGAATGACTACTGGGTACACAACGAAATGGAGGCAGAAATAAAGATGTTCTTTGAAACCAATGAGAACAAAGACACAACATACCAGAAATTCTGGGATGCATTCAAAGCAGTGTGTAGAGGGAAATTTGTAGCACTAAATGCCCACAAGAGAAAGCAGGAAAGATCCAAAATTGACACCCTAACATCACAATTAAAAGAACTAGAAAAGCAAGAGCAAACACATTCAAAAGCTAGCAGAAGGCAAGAAATAACTAAAATCAGAGCAGAACTGAAGGAAACAGAGACAAAAAAAACCCTTCAAAAATTAATGAATCCAGGAGCTGGTTTTTTGAAAGGATCAACAAAATTGATAGACCGCTAGCAAGAATAATAAAGAAAAAAAGAGAGAAGAATCAAATAGATGCAATAAAAAATGATAAAGGGGATATCACCACCGATCCCACAGAAATAAAAACTATCATCAGAGAATACTACAAACACCTCTATGCAAATAAACTAGAAAATCTAGAAGAAATGGATAAATTCCTCGACACATACTCTCCCAAGGCTAAACCAGGAAGAAGTTGAATCTCTGAATAGACCAATAACAGGAGCTGAAATTGTGGCAATAATCAATAGCTTACCAACCAAAAAGAGTCCAGGACCAGATGGATTCACAGCCGAATTTTACCAGAGGTACAAGGAGGAACTGGTACCATTCCTTCTGAAACTATTCCAATCAATAGAAAAAGAGGGAATCCTCCCTAACTCATTTTATGAGGCCAGCATCATCCTGATACCAAAGCCGGGCAGAGACAAAACCAAAAAAGAGGATTTTAGACCAATATCCTTGAGGAACATTGATGCCAAAATCCTCAATAAAATACTGGCAAACCAAATCCAGCAGCACATCAAAAAGCTTATCCACCATGATCAAGTAGGCTTCATCCCTAGGATGCAAGGCTTGTTCAACATATGGAAATCAATAAATGTAATCCAGCATATAAACAGAACCAAAGACAAAAACCACATGATTATCTCAATAGATGCAGAAAAGGCCTTTGACAAAATTCAACAACACTTCATGTTAAAAACTCTCAATAAATTAGGTATTGCTGGGACGTATCTCAAAATAATAAGAGCTATCTATGTCAAACCCACAGCCAATATCATACTGAATGGGCAAAAACTGGAAGCATTCCCTTTGAAAATTGGCACAAGACAGGGATGCCCTCTCTCACCACTCCTATTCAACATAGTGCTGGAAGATCTGTCCAGGGCAATCAGGCAGGAGAAGGAAATAAAGGGTATTCAATTAGGAAAAGAGGAAGTCAAATTGTCCCTGTTTGCAGATGACATGATTTTATATCTAGAAAACCCCATTGTCTCAGCCCAAAACCTCCTTAAGCTGATAAGCAACTTCAGCAAAGTCTCAGGATACAAAATCAATGTACAAAAATCACAAGCATTCTTATACACCAACAACAGACAAACAGAGAACCAAATCATGAGTGAACTCCCATTCACAATTGCTTCAAAGAGAATAAAATACCTAGGAATCCAACTTACAAGGGATGTGAAGGACCTCTTCAAGGAGAACTACAAACCACTGCTCAACGAAATAAAAGAGGATACAAACAAATGGAAGAACATTCCATGCTCATGGGTAGGAAGAATCAATATTGTGAAAATGGCCATACTGCCCAAGGTAATTTACAGATTCAATGCCATCCCCATCAAGCTACCAATTACTTTCTTCAGATAATTGGAAAAAACTACTTTAAAGTTCATATGGAACCAAAAAAGAGCCCGCATCACCAAGTCAATCCTGAGCCAAAAGAACAAGGCTGGAGGCATCACACTACCTGACTTCAAGCTATACTACAAGGCTACAGTAACCAAAACAGCTTGGTACTGTTACCAAAACAGAGATATAGATCAATGGAACAGAACAGAGCCCTCAGAAATAATGCTGCATATCGACAACTGTCTGATCTTTGACAAACCTGAGAAAAACAAGAAATGGGGAAAGGATTCCCTATTTAATAAATGGTGCTGTGAAAACTGGCTAGCCATATGTAGAAAGATGAAACTGGATCCCTTCCTTACACCTTATACAAAAATTAATTCAAGATGGATTAAAGACTTAAATGTCAGACCTAAAACCATAAAAACCCTAGAAGAAAACCTAGGCATTACCATTCAGGACATAGGCATGGGCAAGGACTTCATGTCTAAAACACCAAAAGCAATGGCAACAAAAGCCAAAATTGACAAATGGGATCTAATTAAACTAAAGAGCTTCTGCACAGCAAAAGAAACTACCATCAGAGTGAATAGGCAACCTACAGAATGGGAGAAAATTTTTGCAATCTACTCATCTGACAAAGGGCTAATATTCAGAATCTACAAAGAACTTAAACAAATGTTCAAGAAAAAAACAACCCCATCAAAAAGTGGGCAAAATACATGAAAAGACACTTCTCAAAAGAAGACATTTATGCAGCCAACAGACACATGAAAAAATGCTCATCATCACTGGCCATCAGAGAAATGCAAATCAAAACCACAATGAGATACCATCTCACACCAGTTAGAATGACGATCATTAAAGTCAGGAAACAACAGATGCTGGAGAGGACATGGAGAAATAGGAATGCTTTTACACTGTTGGTGGGGGTGTAAATTAGTTCAATCATTGTTGAAGACAGTGTGGCAATTCCTCAAGGATCTAGAACTAGAAATACCATTTGACCCAGCAATCCCATTACTGGGTATATACCGAAAAGATTACAAATGGTGCAACTATAAAGACACATGCACACGAATGTTTATTGTGGCACTATTCACAATAGCAAAGACTTCTAACAAACCCAGATGTCCATCAATGATAGACTGGATTAAGAAAATGTGGCACATATACACCATGGAATACTATGCAGCCATAAAAAAGGATGAGTTCATGTCCTTTTCAGGGACATGGATGAAGCTGGAAACCATCATTCTCAGCAAACTATGACAAGGACAGAAAACCAAACACCGCATGTTCTCACTCATAGATGGGAACTGAACAATGAGAACACTTGGACACAGGGCAGGGAACATCACACACCAGGGCCTGTTGGGGGGTGGTGGACTGGGGGAGAGATAGCATTAGGAGAAATACCTAATGTAAATGATGAGTTGATGGATGCAGCAAACCAATAGGGCACATCTATACCTATGTAAGAAACCTGCACTTTGTGCACAGGTACCCTAGAACTTGAAGTATAATAAAAATGAAAAAAAGAAAATGTTACTAGCAAATTGTAGATGGGTATACCTAATATAACTCTGCATGTGCACTATGTGTCTGGATACACATGGAAAGTATTCAGGCATACACACCAAATTGTTAAAATAAATCCCCTTCCAACATTAGGAGTGGCTGGGGAGCAGATGGCTTTCACTTCCGCACATTCCATGGTGCCAGGGTAATACCACATCACAATAGTAAATAGCAAAAATAACAACCTTAAGTTTAGATTTTCTTATCTAAATTTTAATTCTGTGAAGAAGTTTCCATTTCCCTTTTTCACATCAGGATAGTAGAATGCAGTTTAGAAAGAGTGAGATCACTTGTTAGACTGTACAATTTTTAAGCATCAGCGAAGTATACCATTAAACTTCTCTATCAATCCATTCTCTAAACTTCCCAACCCAAAAAAAAAGAAACACATAAAATTGAAATGAAGAAAACAATACAAAAGATCAACAAAAATGAAAAGTTGGCTTTTTAAAGAGATAAACAAAATTGACAAATGTTTAGCCAGACTAAGAAAAAGAGAAGGCCCAAATAAATAAAATCAGAGATGAAAAAGCAGACATTATAACTGATACTGCGGAAATTCAAAGGATCATTAATGGCTACTATGAGCAACTGTATGCCAAACATTGGAAAATCTTGAAGAAATGGATAAATTCCTAGACACACGCAACCTAACAAGATTCAACCATGAAGAAATTCAAAATCTGAACAGACCAAAAACAAGTAACAAGATCAAAGCCATAATTAAAATTTTCCCAGCAAAGAAAAGCCTGAGACCCAATGGCTTCACTGCTGAATTCTATCAAACATTTAAAGAACTAATACCAATCCTACTCAAACTATTCCAAAAAGTAGAAGAGGAGGGAATATTTCCAAACTTATTCTATGAGGCCATTACTGCTCCTATATCAAAACCAAGGACACATCAAAAAAAGAAAACTATAGGCCAATATCTCACATGAATATTGATGAATCCTGAAAAAATGCTAGCAAACTGAATTCAACATCACATTAAAAATCATTCATTATGACCAAATGGGATTTATCCCAGGGATGCAAATATGGTTCAACATATACACATCAGTCAGTGTAACATATCATATCAACAGAATGAAGAAGAAAAACCATATGGTCATGTTAATTGATGCTGAAAAAGTATTTGAGAGAATTAAACATCTCTTCATGACAAAAACCCTCAAAAACACTGGAGACAGAAGGAACATACCTCAACACAATAAACAGACATATATGACAGACTCACAGCTAGAATCATACTAAATGGGGAGAAACTGAAAGTCATTCCTCTAAGATCTGGAACACGACAAGGATGCTCATTTTCACCAGTGTTAGTGGAACATAGTACTGAAAGTCCTAGCTAGAACAGACTAGAGACAGAAATAAGGGGCATCCAAACTGGGAAGAGAGAAGTCAAATTACCCTTGTTCGCAGATGGTATGATCTTCTGTTTGGAAAAACCTAGACTCCATAAAAAAATGATTAGAACTGATAAATTCAGTAAAGTTTCAGGATACAAAATTAACATACAAAAATCAGTAGCATTTCTATATGTCAATAGCAAACAATCTGAAAATGAAATCAAGGAAGTAATCCCATTTCCCATTTGCAATAGCTATAAATAAAATTAATATAATCTCATCTCTTCAATAAGTGGTGTTGGGAAAACTGCATATCCACATACAAAAGAATAAAATTAGACCCTTTTAATATACAAAACTGGACCCAAGTTAATATACAAAAATTAACTTGAAATGAATTAAAGACTTAAATGTAAGATCTGAAACCAAAAACTCCTAGAGAGAAACATAGGGGAAAAGCTCCTTGACGTTGGCCTTGGCAATAATTTTTTGGGATATTACACCAAAAGCACAGACTTTTGAAAAAATAAACAAGTAGGACTACATCAAACTAAAAAGCTTCTGCATGGCAAAAGAAAGTAAACAACATGAAAAGGCAACCTACAGAATGGAGGGAAATATTTGCAAACCATATACCTGATGAGAAGTTAATATCAAAATATAGAAAATATATAAGGAACTCACATATCTCAATACCAAAAAAATAATAACCTGTTTTATAATGGGCAAAGGACCTGAATAGACATTTTTTCAAAGAAGACACACAGATGGCCAACGAGTGCAGGAAAAGGCGTTCAACATCACTAATCATCAGGGAAATGCAAATCAAAACCACAATGAGATATCACTCCACACCTGTTTGGAAAGCTATTATGAAAAACACAAGAGACAATGAATATTGGCAAGGGCATGGAGAAAAAAGAACCCTTGTACACTGTTGGTAGAAATGTAAATTGCAACAGCCTTTATGGAAAATAGAATGGAGGTTCCTCAAAAAATAAAAATAGAACTACCATACAATCTAGCAATTCCACTTATGAGTGTACATCCAAAGGAATCAAATCACTATGTCAAAGAGATATCTGTACTTCCATGTTTATTGCAGCTTTACTCACAGTAGCCAAGATAAGGAAAAAATCTAAATGTCCATCAACGGATAAAGAAAATGGGGGGAGGGGTGTGCATGTATACATACACAATGGACTATTTTTCAGCCATAACAAAGAAGGAAACCCTGCCATTTGTGACGATATGAATGAACCCAGAGGACATTATGTTAAGTGAAATAAGCCAGACACAGAAATACAAATATTGTATGATCTCATTTATATGCGAATCTAAAAATTTCAAACTTGAAGACGAATAAGTAGAACAGTATTTATCAGGAGCTAGGGGATGTGGGGAAGAAGCAAAATATTGGGCAAAGAGTATAAACTTTCAGTTATGAGATGAAGGCCAGGTGCGATGGCTCATGTTGGTAATCCCAATACTTTGGAAGGCTGAGGCAGAGGGATTGCTTGAGACCAGCCTAGGCAAGAAAGTGAGACCTCATCTCTACAAAAAATAAAAATAAAAGAATCAGCTGGGAGTGGTGGCATACACCTGTAGTCCCAGCTAGTCAGGAGGCTGAGGGGGGAGGATCATTTGAAATTGGAAAGTCAAGGCTGCAGTCAGCCAAGATAGTGCCACTGCATTGCAGCCTGGGTGACAGAGCGAAACCCTGTCTCAAAAAAAAAAAAAAAAAAAAGATGAATAAGTTCTGGGGATCAAATGTACAGCATGGTGACTATAGTTTATAACTGCGTTATTACTTGAAATTGGATAAGAGCAGATTTTAAGCATCCCCAGCACCCCCCCAACATACACACACACAAATGGTAACTATAGGTGGTGATAGATATGTTAATTTGACTGTGACAATCAGCATTCAATATATACATATATCAAATCATCACATTTTACCCCTTGAAATAGAAACTTTGATTTGTCAATCAAATATTTTAAAACGAAAATAATCATAATATTAATATAGCATACAGGAAAAAATTTCGTATCTCGACTGATACAGAAAATTTCATGATAAAAACACTTTAAAACAAAAGAAATAAAAGGGAACTCCCTCAACCTGATAAATGGCATCTGTGGAAACCCCCAGCTAGCATCAAACTTAATACAGAAAGGCTGGGTGTTCACCTCTTGAACCAGGAACAAGACAAAGATGCCTGCTTTTGCCACTTCCATTTGACCTTGTACTGAGGTTCTGGCTAGGGCAATTATCCCTGAAAAAGAAATAAAAGGCTTCCAAATAAAAGAAGAAGTAAAACTATCTCTACTCGCTCATGACATGATCTTGCATATAGAAAATGTGCACATGTACACACACACAAACCATTAGAACTAATAAACAAGTTCAGCAAGTTTGCAGAATATAAAATGAATGTACAAAAATCAAGTGTTTTTCTATATACTAGCAATTAACAATCTCAAAATGAATTAAAATTCCATTTACAATAGTATCAAACATAAATTATTTAGAAATAAAAAGTGCACTGAAAACTACAAAATATTTTGAAATAAATCAGAAAAGATTTAAGTAAATGGATCACTTGAACCTGGGAAGCAGAGGTTGCAGTGTGCCGAGATTGTACCACTGCACTTTAGCCTGGGCAACAGAGGGAGACTCCAAAGAGTCGAAAAGAAAAGAAAAGATTTAAATAAGCTGAAACATATTCTATGGATCAGAAGACTTAATATTGTTAAAGTGACAATATTCCCCAAATTGATCTACAGCTTCAACTCAACCCCTATCAAAATCCTAGCTTGCTTTTTGGCTGAAATTGACAAGCTGATTCTATAATTTATATGGAATCTCAAAGGATCCAGAATAACCAAAACAATATTGAAAAATAAAGAACAGCGTTGGTGGATTAACATTTTCCAATTTCAAAACTTACTATAGCACTGCGGTAATCAAGCAGTGTGGCACTGTATAGCATGTACATTACAGATCAGTGGACTAGAATCAATGTCCAGAAATAAACCGTTATGTTTATAATGAATTACTTTTTAATAAGGTGTCAAGACAACGCAATGGGAAAAGAATAATGAATTCAACAAATGATGCATGGACAACCGGACATGCACATGCAACACAATGAATTTGAATTCTTCTATCGCTCCATGCATAAAAACTAACTCAAAATGGGTCACGGATGTAAATGAAAAGCTAAAACTATAATAATCCTAGAGGAAAACCTAGGAGTAAATCTTTAAGATGTTATTGTAGGCAGTGGTTTCTCAGATAGGACCCCAAAATCACAAGCGACAAAAGAAATTGGACTTAAAGTTAAATACTTTTGTGCTTCAAACATCATCAAGAAAGTGAAAACACAACCCGCAGAAGCAATAAAAATGTCTGTAAGTCATGTATCCGATTAGAGACTTCTATCCAGGATATATAAATAATGCAATTCAATGATAAAAAAGATAAATAGCCCAGTTTTCCAAAGAGTCAAGCATCTGAATATACATCTCTCCAAAAATATACAGATATCCAACAAGCATGTGAAAAGATGTTCAAAGCCATTTGCCAGGTGCACAAACCCAAGACAGTATGAGGAGATGCTACAGGGACTCTGCTGCTTCACAGACATGAAGCGTTGGTGAGAATGTAGGCAGCCGCCTTTGGGGACTTCACATCCCCGCCGCCCCACGCACGGTGAGCTAGTGTTTAAACTTAGCCGAGATCAATACACGCGACTGTGTGCCCGTCAGACCCTGCGCTGCCGGCGGGGCTGGGAGAGGCGGGCGCCAGGAGTGGGCGGGAACCTGGGGGTCAGGCCCCAGCCGCGGGAAGCCGCCCAGGAGCGCGCGAAACCTTCTCCACACCCTTCCAGGCATTTGCCCGCCGCGATTCAGAGAGCCGACCCGTGACCCCTGGCCTCCCCTAGACAGCCCCGCATGTCCAGATGTGCCGTCCCGCCTGCCTCCCGCGACCACTGGCCATCTCTGGGCCTGGGCGCGGTCTCGGCGCCCGCCTGCCCCCGCCAGGAGCCGCAGGTCCAGCCAGTGAAGAAGCCCGCGCTGAAGGAGCCTCTGTGCTCCAGAATCCATCCTCAGTATCAGCGCTGGGGTGGCCTCCTCCAGGAAGCCCTTCTGATTCTCTCATGGGTCGCTCTTCCTCTGCAGACTCCCGGAGCACCCCTGCTCCAAGTACCGCAAGTGGCACTGAGAACTTGGGGAGAGCAGAGGCTGTGCCTAGATTTGTAGGGAGTCCCCGCAGCTCCACCCCAGGGCCTACAGGAGCCTGGCCTTGGGCGAAGCCGAGGCAGGCAGGCAGGGCAAAGGGTGGAAGCAATTCAGGAGAGAACGAGTGAACGAATGGATGAGGGGTGGCAGCCGAGGTTGCCCCAGTCCCCTGGCTGCAGGAACAGACACCTCGCTGAGGAGAGACCCAGGAGCGAGGCCCCTGCCCCGCCCGAGGCGAGGTCCCGCCCAGTCGGCGCCGCGTGAAGAGTGGGAGAGAAGTACTGCGGGGGCGGGGGCGGGGGCGGGGGCGGGGGCGGGGGCAGCCGGGAGCCTGGAGCCAGACCGGGGCGGGGCCGGGACCGGGGCCAGGGACCAGTGGTGGGAGGAGGCTGCGGCGCTAGATGCGGACACCTGGACCGCCGCGCCGAGGCTCCCGGCGCTCGCTGCTCCCGCGGCCCGCGCCATGCCCTCCTACACGGTCACCGTGGCCACTGGCAGCCAGTGGTTCGCCGGCACTGACGACTACATCTACCTCAGCCTCGTGGGCTCGGCGGGCTGCAGCGAGAAGCACCTGCTGGACAAGCCCTTCTACAACGACTTCGAGCGTGGCGCGGTGAGCGCGGGCGGGGCACGGGTGGAGCGCGGGCTGAGGTGCGTCCGGGACCCGGTTTGGACGGCAGAGGCCTGGGCGGGGGCGCCGAGGGCCCGTCGGGGCGGCCCGGACAGGACTGGGGGTGTCCAGGACCCTGTCAGGGAGGGCAGAACTGCGGTGGGGCGTGCCCTGGGCTCCCAGTGGCCGGTGGGTACCCTGGTGGGCAAGCGTCCAGGACCCCTCGCGGCGGCCGCGACCCCTGTCGGAAACGGAGACTTCCCGCGTGCCGCCTGCAAGGCGTCTTCCCTGGGAGGAGAAGGCCCAAGGTTTCCCCTCCACTTCAAGATCTGGGCTCCGAGGCTCCGGAGCCCCCTTCACTGGGCCGCGTTTCTTGTGCCACCTCTTCCTTAGGCTCCTTCTGCAGGTCGCACAGGGAGGGAGAGGCAGATGAGTCATGCTCACAGAACTCTGAGGGCACCTCGGAGCAGCCAGCTGTGAGCCGTGGGGAAGGGTGCACGTCAGCGGGTCCAGAGGCCTGAGTTCTGTCCAGACATGACCACCAGCTCACTCTACCGTCTGTCTGGGCCTCAGTTTCCCCAGCTGAAAATGGAGGGTTGGCTTCAGTCTGGTCCATGAGTCATGGGTGAGCCCAGGCCCATCTGGTGGCTCAGACGGCACCTGGGCAGCTTACATTCTCAGGACAGTCCCCAGAGGAAATTAAAGGGAAGGAACAGAACCCAGGCCAGGAGAGGCTTTTCCTAAATGGAGGGGCTGCACTCCCTCCCAGCAGAATGTACACCAGGGAACACTTCCACGCTAGGTGTGAGGACGCGAGGGAGCCCTCAGCATTTGGAAGCTAGTTCCTAATGCTGATCTGGACCTGAATTCCAGCCCCACGACTCTTTTCCATGAGCATGGGCAGGTCGCAGTTCTCACTGAGCCTTTAATGAAGTGCCTAATCCAGTACCTGGCACAGAGGAAGCGCTCCGTAAATGACTGGTAATAGTCCCAGACATACTGCAGGTGCGCAGGGAATATCAGTTCCCTTCCACCCCACCCCAGCTCCTAACTGGACCAAAAAGATTTAGACTTTACCAAGCTGCCTTCTCACCATTTAGTTTATTATTTGATCAAACCTTGTGAAATTGCTCATAATGGACAAATACAACCGGCAAGTTCATGTTTCAACTGATTACTCTTGGATAAAATTTGTGTTTTAGGTGTGCAGAGCCTAAAGTAAGTAAAAACTACTCTTTTTCTGGATTCCAAGCTCTCCATGGGCTCGATTCCTATCCAGGAGCCCATACCCTCGCTGTAGCACGACATGGCCCTCAGCCAAGTTCACTAGCATCCTGGCTTGAGCTCCCTTCAAGAAGAGTTAGGTGTTGAGTACAAGAGCAACCTTCAGTTGCTTAGTTGCCCCAGTCGGGGAACTGACCCTGAGGACTGCGGTGCCCTGGAGTTAATGTGTCGTCCATTTAGGGTGATGGCACCCTCTGCCATTTCTGACGCACCTTCATTTACTTCCATTATTTCATGGATTCCCCACACCTGGGGGAGAAGGACAGGGTACAGGCTACTTCCCCTTTGTAAGTGCTTCCTCCTCCCCATTCTCCTCCACACATCATAAGGTTCTAGAAGCACAGGCCATTGGTGTGCTCACACTGCACAGCACGGGCACCCCGTGTGTGCTTTCCTCCTGCAGGGGACATGATAACGTGGCCATAGCGGGCTCTTCGGACAAAGAGTGAAGGCACTGTTTTGTCCACTATCTCCCTCTCTCGGTCTGTCTTCCCCTACCCTGAGAAGTCATTCAAATGACATTATAATTAAACACCTCAGCCGGAATCCCAGGGGCAAATTTCAGGAGAGATTTGCATGTCACATTTCCATTGGGTTGAGAGGGCTATAAGTCAGGGGTGGGGCGGGGGGTGGTTGGGGGTGGGGGCTACCGCAGGGTGGGGAACCAGCTAAGGCTGAAAGTTTCCTTGAAAAAATCAGCTTTTGAGAAAGTTCCTGTTGATGCAAAGTTACTCAACACTTTCTCTTGCCCAGCCCAGAACTACTTCCTCATTCTCCCAGCTTGGTATCTGTAAAGACAATCATCCTTTTTGGGTAAAGGTAAAAGAGAAACCCTAGAGGAAGTACTTGCTGAGAAGACAAGGTTATCCCATTTTACAGGGAAAAGTGTTAAAATCTGTATTGTTAACAGTAGTAACGATAACAATAACAATAAAGGTATTTCCACACAATTTAATCATTTCCAAGTTATTGGCAGGTCAACACCCCCCTCCTCCAGGGCATAGTTCAGTCAAATAATGGACAGGACTGATTTTTTCCTTGATAAAGTGAGTCACAGGTCCCTTGTTATTCTCATCAGAGTTCCGCATAGTGATTCAGTCAGGACTGGGAATCAAGTCCTTCGCAGGTGGGATTATCCTATAAACGGTTGTGTCTTCCTTGGCTCCTCACTGTCTGCTGGAGAAAGCCGGGATCCTACACAGAATGGCCCTGTTTCCAGAGGCTAACCCAAGTCTAGGCAAATTTAACAAGTTGATTTATTTCTTTAACTCTGTAAATTTAAAGTAATTCAGATCGGATACGATAACTGTAACAGATCTGAAGATTTCTGAGAAATCTTAGTTGGCCCATTTCATTCTGTGCTGGTACTTTTAAGAAAGCTAAGGGCAATAGCGTGGTGTTTAATATATGATACTTGAATATGTTCAACAAGTGTAGAAAAGTGTTATAATGATTCATGCTTCTTAAGTCAGTGAGTATTCTTACATTCATGAAAAATTAATTCTAGAATACCTCCTTCTTGTGAATGGGAATATATTAGTGGAGCATAAATATTTCTTTGGTATGACCCTCAATCCGTCTCTCATCTCCCAGTCTCCCCCTCTGAGCCATCTTTTCCCTACATTCTGCCCCCTCTTCTGCCTCCTCTTCCTTCCCCTGCTCCCAGTTCCCTAAATGCCCCCCGTTTCTGCTCTCTACCCTACAACTCTCCCTTCTTTTTTGCTCTGAATTTTCCTCTACACTCTGTCTTCCAGCCACCTCTCAGAGGCCCCTTCTCTGCTCCCTCAATCTCCGGCTCTCTGTCCCACATTTTCCCCCTTCTCTGCCCCTTGGTCTCCCTATCCACTACCCCAATCCCTCTCTCCGTCCCTTGTTTTCCTCAGCTCTTCCCCATAGCCTCCCCCTCTCTCATCCCGAGTCTCTGTTTTGTCTGGCCCCCAATCTTCCTCTCTGCTCTACAGCTTCCTCCTCCCACAGCCCCTCATTAGTCCCCCTCCAAGATGGGTAGTCTGGGGGTGGGGCACACATCCTTGCTTCCGCAGAGAGATCCGTCTCCCTGTCCCAGCAACAGCAGAGATCTGATGAAAGACAGATGAAAACTTTCCTAAAATGCTGATAGAAAGCTCACATGAAAACTGACCAACTGACTCTTTGCCGAAATATTCAAAAGCTTTAAAACTACATATCCAATAAAAAGTTAAAAGCAACAAGCAAAATCAGCAAAGTGGCCCCTTGTGAAATGAGGCCGGTGAGTTGCAGGTTTCCCTTGTTTCTCTCCAGCATCTGCACCACCACGCCACCCACTTCTGTCCCCAGAAACTGTGTCCAGCCTTCCTCCTCCCACGTGTGAATCCCCCGGGGACCCTGCCCTCCCAGTTCCCCACATCTGAAATGTGCTACCCATGCCCATCCTCCTACTCATCTGCCCTCTGAAATCTGATCAGCCCCTAAAAGCTGCCTGAAATACCCTCTTATGAAGCTTTTCCCTGTCCTTCCATGCCACTCCACATTGCCCCTTTACACTCCATCCAGGGTACAAACCAGGGCTCAAAGCTGGGCCTTCTAGCTTCCGGTTCAGGGCTTTTCTCAAGATGTGGCCTTGGGGAACTGTGGGAGGAACCTGGGCTTGGCCATCACACAGGTGTAGGTTCTGATCTTGAGGCCACCATTGCTCTCTGAGCCTCAGTTTCTATCTGTAAAGCAGGATAATCACTCGCTCGGCCATTCCCAGGCCCAGTGCTTCCTGAGGGCCTGTTGGGGGGTGTCCACTGTTGATAGTGCCCACCATAATTCAGTGTGTCACCTGAGAATTTAATGTGTCACAGCAAATAGACAAATATAGCATCAGCCCAGTGTACTTGGCCCAGAGAGGAGGGAGGAAGGTGGCCATTGTAGTTCCACAAACCTTCCGAAGATATTTTGCAGTTTGACACATGTGACCCTGGTATTTTCCTGGAAGGAGGCCTTTATCTGTCATTCTTCCATTAGTGGCCCCTGGGATGTTAGAACCACAGCCATCAAGCTTTGTCTTTTACTCCCTGAGTTGGGTCAAGGCTGGAGCCCTCTGCCCCTTGTTCACCTCTTATCATATTCAGGCTTGAAGCCAGCACCAGGAAAGTGGCTGGGCTGGCCATAGACCAGCCAGACTGCAGGCCTGGCCCCCTCCTGCTGTGGAAGTCCCTGTCAGATGGCAGATGGAGTCCTTGTAAATCTGCCTAGTGATTTCACCCCAAGTGAAACTCAGGGGCTCTCCACCAGGTGCCTGCAGGTGTAGGTAGGGCAGGGGGCCAGGAGTGTCCCAGTCCCCTGTGACTGCACCACAGGTGTGCTGGAGGGTCACCCCACTGTCCACTCCCTCAGAGAAGCTGCTCAGTCTCTTCGTGTGGGTCGTCACCCCCAGGTAGACATCGGGCCCTCCCTGTGGGACCTGCCCAGTCCTGGAATGCCTCCTCAGCCCATCTCCCTCCCCTCTTAGTCCAAGGTACTGGGAGCCTCCCTCCCATGAGAGTGTCCCTGTTAGCTCCTCCCACCCCACCCCAGCTTTCCTGTCATCTATCCCCTGGGGACACCTTCCTCCCTCTCCAGCCCCTCAGAGCCATAGGAAAGCTACTTCCCCTGCAGCAGCCACACTCAGACCAGGCCCGGGCCTCTGGTGGCCGCCCCTCAGTCCTCACCGCACACAGACTTGCTCTGCCTGCCCCACCAGCATTCAGAATGCCTCCCACTCTCCCTCTGTCCTCACAGCCCTGTCTCCAGCCTTTCAGGAGTTCCTTCTGGGCTTTGAGTGAAGGAGTTTGAGGTCACAGGTTCAGTTTCCTCCTCCCATGTGTGCTCCAGTTACTCGGATTGGCACATGTAGTCACGAAGTGGCCGTGACGCAGGGGCCCATGCTAGCTCACAGGCGGTGTGGGGCCTGGTGCCCTGCAACCCCCTGGATTCAGGAAGGGGCACTGGTGGTTCTGATGCACACAACCGGTGGCCTGTGCCTCTGGAGAAAGGAGGCCACCCAGGATGGTGTCATTTCATTTTCTCAATGGTCCTGCAAGTGAGGGGTATCTCCTTTGGGTAGATGAAGAAACAGCTTCAGAGAATGAAGCAATGTGCCCAGGCCATCCAGCTACTTGCCTGAAGCTGGGATGTGAATTCAGAGCTCCAGACCCCAGGGCCCACCGAGCCTTCTACCCCTCACTGCCCTCTCCCCACTCCTCGGTGGGATCAGGAATCTCTGTCTTGGCTCACAACCTGCAGCTAAGGCCTCTGTAAATCCCTGTGGCATGCAGGGCCTGGCGTGGGGCAGGCCCGACGCGTATCCAGTCCTGGGCCACTCAGCCCCCACTCTGCTCCTCCAGATGGGCCCGAGCCCCTGAGATGCTGAGACTCCTGTCCCATCAGAACCTGCCCACCCTGTCCATGATGGGCGAGGCCTTGTGTGTGGCCCTGCTCTCCTGAGGACAAGCTGTGGCAGGAAGGCTTTCTCAGAGGTGGCAGATGAGGCTGATACTCTCCCTGCAGGAGGGGCATTGTCGTGGGGCCGAGGCTGGTCCACATGTGGCTGGACCCAAGACATGTCATCCCACCACATGGGCCTGGCTCCTCTGTCATCAGAAACTGTTCCTAGGGCCTCTGGCCTAGACTACAGAGCACAGGGAGGAAGCTTCCGCTTTCTGACCACAAGCGTCTGGCCTCAGCGTCAGCCACCCCAAACTGCTCACGGTATTCAGAGCCAGGAGGTTTGTGGAAAACACTCAAGTTCCCATTCCTCTTAGGAAGCCCTCCAGGGGTCCTCCTGGCAGCTTGGAGGCAGGGCATGGAATGGGGATGCCTGCGCTCGCACAAAGGATGATACCCCTCGCCCCTTCCACTTTGCCATCATGCTGAGAACTCTAGGTTCTGCCGCCAGGGATAAAGTTCAAGGGTTGATGAATCTGGCTTAGAAAGTGCCTTGCAGGGGCCAGGCACAGTGGCTCATGCCTGTAATCCCAGCACTTTGGGAGACCGAGGCAGGTGGATCACTTGAGGTCAGGAGTTTGAGACCAGCCTGGCCAACATGGTGAAACCCTGTCTCTACTGAAAATACAAAACTTAACCAGATGTGGTGGCAGGTGCCTGTAGTCCCAGCTACTTGGGAGACTGAGGCAGGAGAATCACTTGAACCCTGGAAGTGGAGGTTGCAGTGAGCCGAGATCGAGCCACTGCACTCCAGCCTGAGCAACACAGTGAGACTCCACCTCAAAATAAAAAAGAACATGCCTTGGAGGGCATCGAGTCCGGGGCTTTCCAAACCTGCTGGTCATCAGAATGCGTGATGCAATGCCTGAGCCTCTCATCCCAACTTCCTGTCTGCCATCCATTGCTGCAGAGACAAAAGCCCTCCAGAAGCTATGGCTGTTGCCTCAGAGCCGCCTGTGTCCTGGAAGCAGGAGCCTGGCAGGGAGGGGGCCAAGCAGCCTTGTCCCAGAGGCCTGGGCAGCTGCGCTGTACACAGCCTGGGGTGGTGCCTTCTAGCTGCAAGGCTAGCCTCACCCTGCCACCAGTAATGCCACAGGTGCAGCAGAGCTGCTTGGTCTCACTGTTCTCTGGGCATCACCATGCAGCTGTGAACTGCAAATGTCCCAGGACGACTCGAATCCATGCAAGCTCCCTGTATCTAAGCCTCACCATTTTCACTCACTTATTATCCCCACTGAAAACTGGAAAGAGAGGAAGTGGCTATGATGGAAAGACCTGGGGTGTGACTCCAGCTCTGCTGGCAAGTGGCAGAGGTGGGAGTCACTGAGCCTCGCTGTCTTCATCTGTGGAAGGGGTGGTAACTCCCCTGCACTCCCAGAGTCATTGTGGGGATCCACTGTCAGCAAGCCCATCTCCAGTTGTAAAGGTCTCCCACAAGGCTATCCCATGTGGGGGCAGCTGCGGACCCTCACTGGGCACAGCCTCGCAGGTGCAGGCATGAGCCTGGGCATCTCCCCATCCTCCAGCCTGAGCTAAGTGCAGTCAGCAGGCGTTGCCCTCTGAGCAGCACAGCACCATCCTGGCTCACTGGATTCTCTCTCCTCAAGGGCAGGGCCCAGGATTTGTCCATTTCTTTCACCTGCCTGGGTCGTAGCACTGAGCCTTGTCAGGGGCAGGCCTTCAGTGAATGTCTTGGGTAAATGAATTCAGGAGTTCATTTAAGGTGTTCATGAAGAATCTTGGCTCCATGAACTGTAGTGGAGGCAAAACTCCACCTCTTCCCATTTCAGCTAGGTCTGAGAATCGGCATAAGACAGATTCATGGGCGAAAGCCTACAGATTTCTTTAATACAAGTTGTACGTGGCATGGGAGCCCTCTTAAAAAGATGAAGACCCCAAGAAGCAGTTAGAGTCAATCCCCCTTAGATACTGCATTGAATGAATCATCGTGAGATGTGATAAGGCCAAGGGGCTTGGGCTAGGGCAGGTAACTGGGCAGGGAAGTGACTCGGGAGGTAAGCGTTCATTGTACAAGATCTGTTTGTATGGATTTCCTTTGGCTTCAACTTCCCAACCTTGATGAAAAGAGTGTTACTTTCCTTTTGGTATAGTGAGGACATCTTTCATAGGGGACTTTCATCTCCTGCTTCTAAGAAACAGCACGAATGTCAGAGTATCTTGCACCTGCTGTTTTTTTAAGTGCTTTTCATTCAACGTAGTCCCTGTGCCACAGCAGCATACCTTGGGGTGACAAATTCTTAACACCTCCAGAACAAAGGCTCAGGAGACCACGCATGGCCTGATTGCCTGTTCTCCTTCCCAGGTGGATTCATACGACGTGACTGTGGACGAGGAACTGGGCGAGATCCAGCTGGTCAGAATCGAGAAGCGCAAGTACTGGCTGAATGACGACTGGTACCTGAAGTACATCACGCTGAAGACGCCCCACGGGGACTACATCGAGTTCCCCTGCTACCGCTGGATCACCGGCGATGTCGAGGTTGTCCTGAGGGATGGACGCGGTGAGCAGCTCAGGCCCCTTCTGCCCCGGGCTTCCCAAGAACCGAAAGTTCTTCCTGTCCTCAAAGCACTGTAGTCATAGGAGGAATGACACTGCTGTGCAGGGGCGGGAAGTGGGAGGGCTCTGCCCTGTGCCTCGACACACCTGCAGGAGGCATGACTTTCCTTGGGATTCTTACAAGCCCCTGAGGGTGGAGCGGGTGGCCCCAGGCCTCACTGTCGTCATGTCCTCACTCTGCGCTACAGTTCTACAGGGGAGGGTTGTGCCCCTCTTTTTGTCAGTGGGTAACTAGGGTCCATACAGGCAGATACCTATGGGACATGCCCCTGGATGGGCACTTCTCTAGTTGCCAGGGTGTGGCATCACTTTCTAGTTCATAGCCTGCCCTCCGTGAGATCACAGTAGGGCTCAGGCAAGCTCAGGGTGCCCCATGTGGGCCTAGGGAGGGAAGGGGTGGACAAGGAGCACCCCAAGTGCCAGCTCTGAGGAGCCATGGACAAGCCTGCAAATCACAGTTACCAGTTCTTCAACCCGAAGTCTCACCTTTCGCTGAAAGAAAGAAGAACCTCAAATCTGTTCCCCTTACTAAGATGCCCAGATGTGCAGACCCCAGTTAGGAGGCCATTCTTTGTTAGGGACACACAGCTGACCTGGTACAGAGCATCAGAGACGGACGCAGGCGTCAAGGTCAGCCAAGGCTCCCTGAATGAACCACCTTGCATACCCAGCCTCCTAGTGTGCCTGGCAAAATCCTACCTCACTTCGAGTCATAACCCTTCAGCTTGCTCTCAGTTTAAACCTGGAAAGATAAGCCTTCAAAGGCCAGGCAGCCACCGTAATAAGAGAAAGCCACTGCTTCTGCCATGACAGCGTCAAACTCTTTCTCTTTGCCAAGTTTCCTGTAGCTAGTGTGTTCTTCACGAAGTTTGGTGGGGTAGGTAGGAAGAGATGACTGTTACCCCCATTTTATAGCTAAGAAAACTGAGACAAAGGAGAAAAAAGTTATTCTGTACCTGCTGTTCTTAAGCTACCAGGCCACATCCCATCGTTTCTGATGTGGAATTTGACTTAAGAAACCAAATTTCCAGAATATTTCTGAACATGGAGTTAAGAGGATTTTTGTCCCCCTACCTAATGACAGGAAAAAAAATCACAAAGTTCATTTATTCCTGTGGTCAACAGAATGTGGAAGGTTGTGGACAGGGCACTTCTCTTTTTCTGGTAGTTAGAAAATGCTGGCTCTGAAACTCCCTCCTGCACATCTACCCAAGGTCTCGGTTATGAAGCCCTTCTTCCTGCAGACCCTTCAGCTCATCTTGGCAAAAAACAGATGGTACACTAGGATGAGGGTTTAACAAAGGGGCATCACAAAGGTGTGGGCCCATGTGCAGAGGGACCATGCAGAGTGCGGGGCCATCAGCACCACTAGTCCTGATGCAGGGGGAGGGGGAAGGTTGTGGGAGTAATGCAGAAGTATCCTGGAGACAGCACCCTTGGAGGAGCTGCGGCCCTCAGTAGAAAGGTTCTGGGGAGTGATTGGCCTCTCCTTCCTCTACACATTCCCTCCTTTCTGGTCAGAGTTCCCAGTGGAAAACCCATTGAGGCATCTCATTCCAATCACTTTCAGGGACAGCACAGGTTGGAGGGTGAGCATAGAGAAGCTGTCCAGCAAGTTCCATTCTCTCTACTGCTGTAAAACCAACCTCCTTGGTAACTTTAAACAGCCATTTAATTTTGTTCATGCTCTTGCAGGTCAGGAATTTAGGAAAGGCTTCACTGGGCAGTTCATCTGTGGCCATGTAGCATCAGCTGAAGGGGGCTGGGCCTTCTTCTGTCATGTGTCTGGCACCTCTAGGCTCCTTGGCCTCTCTGTCCATATGGAGTCTCATTCTTTAAGGCTTCTCACAGAATGGTGTCCTCTGGGTGCCTGCATTTCTTACATGATGGCTGGCTTCCAAGAGCAAGTTTTCTAAGAGACAGAAAGTGGAAGCTGCCAATCTCTTCAGGCTTGGGCCTGGAAACTGGCACACTGTAACTTCCATCATATTCTACTGGTCCAAGCAGTCACAGAGCCCACCCAGACTCCGGGGGTGGGGGTGGGGATGCAGACCCCCCCATCTCTCAATGGAAGGAATGTCAAAGAATTTGTGGCCTATTATTATTATTATTATTATTATTTTGGGACAGAGTCTCACTCTATTGCCCAAGCTGGAGGGCAGTGGCACGATCTCAGCCCACTGCAACCTCTGCCTCCCAGGTTCAAGCGATTCTCCTGCCTCAGCCTCCTAGGGAGCTTGGTTTACAGGCTCCAGGTAGCCACCAAGCCTGGCTAATTTTTGTATTTTTACTAGAGAAAGGGTTTTGCCATGTTGGCCAGGCTAGTCTGGAACTCCTGACCTCAGGTGATCCACCCGGCTCGGCCTCCCAAAGTGCTGGGATTACAGTCATGAGCTACCATGTCCAGCTGTGGCCAATTATTAATCCACCACATGGCAAAACAACCAATCCCTTGAACAACCTGGAAATGAGGGGGGCCAGCCTACAAGTGATTCAATTACTCACCATATGATCACCCCTTAAATCTAATATTTCACCACTACACCTTGGGTGAACATGAATGTCAGAGGGCCATTACTGTGGCCCCACAGATCCAGAGCATCTGTGTGAAGGGACAGCTTCATTAAGGCACTGTGTCAGTCCTTGGAACCTGCCCTGCTGAGCTCTTCTGCCGTCAGTCCAGGCTTTCTCATCCTGCTGTGCTCCCAGAACTTCATCAGCCATTGGATAAATTCTTCAAACACCTTCGGGACCAGGGGAGACAGAACTATTCTCTTTTTGAAACTTGGCATGTTGCAATTCCGCATGTACTGACTTATTCATACCAGTGAAACTGAAGAGATCCAGCTCCTCAGAGTCAAGGTGCCCAAGAGATTAGCTGGTTCCTTAAGGTAGATAAGAGATGATGAATGTTGAGTGCCTCCAGAATTACCCCCATAGCCAATGATAACAGTTATTGTCACCATTAATACTCAGCTTGCCTTCTGTGGCCTCAAGCCTCCCCTCCTGGCTGGCTTTACATCCCCAGGGGAGGATGCAGAGGTATCCCGTTAATATTCCTTTTTGGACCCCAGTTCCAAGCTCAAGGATGAAGATGTCTCAGCCTGGAAGTGCTGTCGGGTGGACAGCTCAGAATGTGGCCTGAGTGTCATCTGAGAACTAACTGCGTCCAGGTCTGCAATTAGATCAGTACAGAGGTTGAAGCCTATAGTTCCAGCACTTTGGGTGGCTAAGGCGGGAGGATTGTTTGAGTCTAGGATTTTGTCACAAGCCTGGGCAATGTAGAGAGACCCCATCTCTACAAAAAAAATTGAAAATTAGCTAGGGGCCGAGGCGGGTGGATCACAAGGTCAGGAGATCGAGACCATCCTGGCTAACACAGTAAAACCCCGTCTCTACTAAAAATACAAAAAATTAGCTGGATGTGGTGGTGGGCAACTGTAGTCCCAGCTACTTGGGAGGCTGAGGCAGGAGAATGGCGTGAACCTGGGAAGTGGAGCTTGCAGTGAGCTGAGATCATGCCACTGTACCCCAGCCTGGGCAACAGAGCAAGACTCTGTCTCAAAAAAAAAAAAAAAATTAGCCAGGTGTGGTGGTGTGTGCCTATAGTCCCAACTACTTAGGAGGCTGAGGTTGGGGAATCACTTGAGTCCTGAAGTTCAAGGCTGCAGGGAGCTATGATCATGCCACTGCACTCTAGCCTGGGAGACAGAGGGAGACCCTGTCTCTTAAAAAAAATAAAAATAAAATAAATACAAAATAAAATACAAAGACTCAGAGGAGGGGTTTTAGAAACTTTTATAGCAACTTAACAGAACAATTTTGTGACTTTTGCACCTAATAAGAAAAAAAAAGACTTGGATTTTGAATATCTTTGGGTTTTTAAAATTTCATTTTTCTAGTAATTAATTTTTATTATATTTTACAAAAATATAATAATCTGTGTTGAAAAGTAAGTTTTAAAACACAATGCTTTACCACGAGAGCTAGAGAAACTATTCCAGGACCTGTTTTCAGGAGATCTGGGCTCCCCCTATTCACAGCTCTATGGGCTGCGTTCACAGGCTTGGCCTTAAGCAATAGTTTAAAGAGTGGTCATGATATGACCTCATCTGCTCTAAAGGCTCTGAGAAGCAGCCCCGCCCTTAGCTACCTGCTACCTGCTCCAACTCCTGCAGTGAGAGACGGCAGCAGGACAGGCTGAGAGATAAGATGCTCTCAGAGCTAGGCTTAGAGGGAGGAGCAGAACCCTCAGGCCAGTGATGACTATAGGCATAATGATAATGATCATTGTTCCCATCCATTGGCATTTACTGCGTGCCAGGCGCCGTGTGGAGGGCTTTCCTGCATTCTCTCCCCAAATGCACACCATGACCCGGAGAAGTAGGCATTATCATCTCCATTTTACATGTGAGGGGGTCAGGGCAACTCTTGGTCACACAGCTTCAGTGACAGAGCCCAAGTCCAAGCACATGTGTCTCTTCTAAAGCCATCTAGGACACTGCACTCTTTTAGAATGGAGCTCATTCTCAATCCTCTGTGTAGGCACGACAGGAAACCGGGTTGTGTCATCGTCACACATTTCTCCATGAAACAATGAAATGGACTTAGAAACATAAGAGCTGTGAGAACTGCTGCTCTCACAGGCAACACTAAAACCCAGAGTGAACTCCCGTTTTTGCTCAGTATAAGAATTTCAGAGAAGAGGAGTAAACTATTCTGCAGTGATTTAAAGATACCCACCAAGGGCCACGAAATGCCTTTCTCCTGGAGCAAAAAGGCAGCTCTGCACCAGGGGCCCTTAGGTCCCTGAAGAGTCTTGAGGGGCTGAGTGGAAGGTTAGGACCTCAAGTGGAAATGCACACGCAGGCCAGAGTTAGGCATGTACTGTGCCTGCCAAGCCCAGTGAGAACCAAGCCTGGCTCTTGCATCTGAACATGATTCTCTAAGCACTGAAAGGCAGGGGCCCCAAGGCTTGCTGAGTGAGTGGGCAAGAGGATGAGGAACTGGATTTGGCTTTTGTAAAGTGAGTGGCTAAGAGCACAGGAGTTGAGTTTTATGTTGAAAATTCACTAATTCAGACTGGTTCCAAGATGGCCGAATAGGAACAGCTCCAGTCTACAGCTCCCAACATGAGCAATGCAGAAGATGGGTGATTTCTGCATTTCCAACTGAGGCACTGGGTTCATCTCACTGGGGATTGTTGGACAGTGGGGGCAGAACAGTGGGGGCAGCCCATTGAGTGTGAGCATCACCTCACCTGGGAAGTGCAAGGAGTCAGGGAATTCCCTTTCCTAGCCAAGGGAAGTGGTGACGGACAGCACCTGGAAAATTGGGTCACTCCCACCCTAATACTGTACTTTTCCAACAGTCTTAGCAAACAGCATACCAGGAGATTATATCCCATGTCTGGCTCGGAGGGTCCCATGCCCACAGAGCCTTGCTCATTGCCAGCAAGCTCGAACTGGGTGGAGCCCATCGCAGCTCAGGAAGGCCTGCCAGCCTCTGTAGACTCCACCTCTGGGGGCAGGTCATAGCCGAACAAAAGGCAGCAGAAACCTCTGCAGACTTAAATGTCCCTGTCTGACAGCTTTGAAGTGACTAGTGGTTCACCCAACATGGAATTTGAGATCTGAGAAGGGACAGACTGCCCCCTCAAGTGGCTCCCTGACCCCAGAGTAGCCTAACTGGGAGGCACCCTCCAGTAGGGGCAGACTGACACCCCACATGGCCAGGTACACCTCTGAGACAAAGCTTCCAGAGGAGCAATCAGGCAGCAACATTTGCTGTTCAGCAATATTCGCTGTTCTGCAGCCTCTGCTGCTGATACTCGGGCAAACAGGGTCTGGAGTGGACCTCTAGCAAACATCAACAAACCTGCAGCTGAGGGTCCTGACTGTTAGAAGGAAAACTAACAAACAGAAAGGACATCCACACCACCAAAACCCCATCTGTACGTCACCATCATCAAAGACCAAAGGTAAATAAAACCACAAAGATGGGGAAAAACAGAGCAGAAAAGCTGAACATTCTACAAATCAGAGTGCCTCTCCCCTTCCAAAGGAAGGCAGCTCCTCGCGAGTGGTGGAACAAAGCTGGATGGAGAATGACTTTGACGAGTTGAGAGAAGAAGGCTTCAGATGATCAAACTTCTCCCAGCTAAAGAAGGAAGTTGGAACCCATCGCAAAAAAAGCTAAAAACCTTGAAAAAAGATTAGACGAATGGCTAACTAGAATAACCAATGTAGAGAAGTCCTTAAATGACCTGATGGAGCTGAAAAACATGGCACGAGAACTATGTGACGAATGCACAAGCTTCAGTAGCCGATTCGATCAACTGTAAGAAAGGGTATCAGTGACTGAAGATCAAATGAATGAAATGAAGCGAGAAGATAAGTTTAGAGAAAAAAGAATAAAAAGAAATGAACGAAGCCTCCAAGAAATATGGGACTATGTGAAAAGACCAAATCTACATCTGATTGGTGTACCTGAAAGTGATGGGGAGAATGGAACCAGGTTGGAAAACACTCTGCAGGATATTATGCAGGAGAACTTGCTCACCCTAGCAAGGCAGGCCAACATTCAAATTCAGGAAATACAGAGAACACCACAAAGATACTCCTTGAGAAGAGCAACTCCGAGACACATAATTGTCAGATTCACCAAAGTTGAAATGAAGGAAAAGATGTTAAGGGCAGCCAGAGAGAAAGGTCAGGTTACCCACAAAGGGAAGCCCATCAGACTAACAGCTGATCTCTCGGCAGAAACCCTACAAGCCAGAAGAGACTGGGGGCCAATATTCAACATTCTTAAAGAAAAGAATTTTCAACCCAGAATTTCATATCCAGCCAAACTAAGCTTCATAAGTGAAGGAGAAATAAAATCCTTTACAGACAAGCAAATGCTGAGAGATTTTGTCACCACCAGGCCTGCCCTAAAAGAACTCCTGAAGGAAGCACTAAACATGGAAATGAACAACTGGTACCAGCCACTGCAAAAACATGCCACATTGTAAAGACCATCAATGCTAGGAAGAAACTGCATCAACTAATGAGCAAAATAACCATCTAACATCGTAAAGACAAGATCAAATTCACACATAACAATATTAACCATAAATGTAAATGGGCTAAATGCTCCAATTAAAAGACACAGACTGGCAAATTGGATAAAGAGTCAAGACCCATCAGTGTGCTGTATTCAGGAAACCCATCTCATGTGCGGAGACACACATAAGCTCAAAATAAAGGGATTGGAGGAAGATCTACCAAGCAAATGGAAAACAAAGGCAGGGGTTGCAATCCTAGTCTCTGATAAAACAGACTTTAAACCAACAAAGATCAAAAGAGACAAAGAAGGCCATTACATAATGGTAAAGGGATCAATTCAACAAGAAGAGCTAACTATCCGAAACGTATATGCACCCAATACAGGAGCACCCAGATTTATAAAGCAAGTCCTTAGAGACCTACAAAGAGACCTAGACTCCCACACAATAATAATGAGAGACTTTAACACCCCACTGTCAACATTAGACAGATCAATGAGACAGAAAGTTAACAAGGATATCCAGGAATTGAACTCAGCTCTCCAGCAAGCGGAGCTAATAGACATCTACAGAACTCTCCACCCCAAATCAACAGAATGTACATTCTTCTCAGCACTGCATCACACCTATTCTGAAATTGACCACATAGTTGGAAGTAAAGCACTCCTTAGCAAATGTAAAAGAACAGAAACCATAACAAACTGTCTCTCAGACCACAGTGCAATCAAACTAGAACTCAAGATTAAGAAACTCACTCAAAACCTCTCAACTACATGGACACTGAACAACCTGCACCTGAATGACTACTGGGTACATAACGAAATGAAGGCAGAAATAAAGATTTTCTTTGAAACCAATGAGAACAAAGACACAACATACCAGAATCTCTGGGACACATTTAAAGCAGTGTGTAGAGGGAAATTTATAGCACTACATGCCCACAAGAGAAAGCAGGGAAGATCTAAAATTGACACCCTAACATCACAGTTAAAAGAACTAGAGAAGCAAGAGCAAACACATTCAAAAGCTAGCAGAAGGCAAGAAATAATTAAGATCAGAGCAGAACTGAAGGAGGTAGAGACACAAAAATCCCTTCAAAAAATCAATGAGTCCAGGAGCTGATTTTTTGAAAGGATCAACAAAATTGATAGACTGCTAGCAAGACTAATAAAGAAGAAAAGAGAAGAATCAGCTCTCCCTCTCCCCTCTCCCCTCTCCCCTCTCTCCTCTCCCATCTCCCCTCTCCCCTCTCCCATCTCCCCTCTCCCCTCTCCCTCTCCCTCTCCCCACGGTCTCCCTCTCCCTCTCCCCACGGTCTCCCTCTCCCTCTCTTTCCACGGTCTCCCTCTGATGCCGAGCCAAAGCTGGACTGTACTGCTGCCATCTCGGCTCACTGCAACCTCCCTGCCTGATTCTCCTGCCTCAGCCTGCCGAGTGCCTGCGATTGCAGGTGCGCACCGCCACGCCTGACTGTTTTTCATATTTTTTTGGTGGAGACGGGGTTTCGCTGTGTTGGCCAGGCTGGTCTCCAGCTCCTAACCGCGAGTGATCCGCCAGCCTCGGCCTCCCGAGGTGCCGGGATTGCAGACGGAGTCTCATTCACTCAGTGCTCAATGGTGCCCAGGCTGGGGTGCAGTGGCGTGATCTCGGCTCGCTACAACCTCCACCTCCCAGCCGCCTGCCTTGGCCTCCCAAAGTGCCGAGATTGCAGCCTCTGCCCGGCCGCCACCCCGTCTGGGAAGTGAGGAGCGTCTCTGCCTGGCCACCCATCGTCTGGGATGTAAGGAGCCCCTCTGCCTGGCTGCCCAGTCTGGAAAGTGAGGAGCGTCTCTGCCCGGCCGCCATCCTGTCTAGGAAGTGAGGAGCGTCTCTGCCTGGCCGCCCATCGTCTGGGATGAAGTGAGGAGCGTCTCTGCCCAGCCGCCCATCATCTGAGATGTGGGGAGCACCACTGCCCCACCACCCTGTCTGGGAGGTGAGGAGCGCCTCTGCCCGGCCGCCCTGTCTGAGAAGTGAGGAGACCCTCCGCCCGGCAGCCGCCCCATCTGAGAAGTGAGGAGCCCCTCCATCTGAGAAGTGAGGAGCCCCTCCGCCCGGCAGCCGCCCCTTCTGAGAAGTGAGGAGCCCCTCCGCCCGGCAGCCGCCCCGTCTGGGAAGTGAGGAGCGTCTCCGCCCGGCAGCCACCCTGTCCGGGAGGGAGGTGGGGGGCGGTCAGCCCCCCGCCCGGCCAGCCGCCCCGTCCGGGAGGGGAGGGGTTCAGCCCCCCGCCCGGCCAGCCGCCCCGTCCGAGAGGGAGGTGGGGGGGTCAGCCCCCCGCCCGGCCAGCTGCCCCGTCCGGGAGGTGAGGGGTGCCTCTGCCTGGCCACCCCTACTGGGAAGTGAGGAGCCCCTCTGCCTGGCCACCACCCCATCTGGGAGGTGTAGCCAACAGCTCATTGAGAACGGGCCATGATGACAATGGTGGTTTTGTGGAATAGAAAAGGGGGAAAGGTGGGGAAAAGATTGAGAAATCGGATGGTTGCTGTGTCTGTGTAGAAAGAGGTAGACATGGGAGACTTTTCATTTTGTTCTGTACTAAGAAAAATTCTTCTGCCTTGGGATCCTGTTGATCTATGACCTTACCCCCAACCCTGTGCTCTCTGAAACATGTGCTGTGTCCACTCAGGGTTAAATGGATTAAGGGCAGTGCAAGATGTGCTTTGTTAAACAGATGCTTGAAGGCAGCAGGCTCCTTAAGAGTCATCACCACTCCCTAATCTCAAGTACCCAGGGACACAAACACTGCGGATGGCCGCAGGGTCCTCTGCCTAGGAAAACCAGAGACCTTTGTTGACTTGTTTATCTGCTGACCTTCCCTCCACTATTGTCCTATGACCCTGCCAAATCCCCCTCTGCGAGAAACACCCAAGAATGATCAATTAAAAAAAAAGAAAAAAAAAAGAAGAGAAGAATCAATTAGACGCAATAAAAAGTGATAAAGGGGACATCACCACGGATTCCACAGAAATACAAACTACCATCAGAGAATACTATAAACAACTCTAAGCAAATTAACTAGAAAATCTAGAAAAAATGGATAAATTCCTCGACACATACACCCTCCCAAGACTAAACCAGGAAGAAGTTGAATCCCTGAATAGACCAATAACAGGCTCTGAAATTGAGGCAATAATTAACAGCCTACCAACCCAGAAAAGTTCAGGACCAGATGGATTCACAGCCGAATTCTACCAGAGGTACAAGGAGGAGCTGGTACCATTCCTTCTGAAACTATTCCAATCAATAGAAAAAGAGGGAATCCTCCCTAACTCATTTTATGAGGCCAGCATCATCCTGATACCAAAGCCTGGCAGATACACACACAAAAAAAACAATTTTAGACCAATATCCCTGATGAACATCGATGCAAAAATCCTCAATAAAATACTGGCAAACCGAATCCAGCAGCACATCAAAAAGCTTATCCACCAGGATCAAGTGGGCATCATCCCTGGGATGCAAAGCTGGTTCAACATACACAAATCAATAAATGTAATCCAGCATATAAACAGAACCAAAGACAAAAACCACATGATTATCTCAATAGATGCAGAAAAGGCCTTTGACAAAATTCAACAACCATTCATGCTAAAAACTCTCAATAAATTAGGTATTGATGGGACGTATCTCAAAATAATAAGAGCTATTTATGACAAACCCACAACCAATATCATACTGAATGGGCAAAAACTGGAAGCATTCCCTTTGAAAACTGGCACAAGACAGGGATGCCCTCTCTCACCACTCCTATTCAACATAGTGTTGGAAGTTCTGGCCAGGGCAATCAGGCAGGAGAAAGAAATAAAGGGTATTTAATTAGGAAAAGAGGAAGTCAAATTGTCCCTGTTTCCAGATGACATGATTGTATATTTAGAAAACCCCATTGTCTCAGCCCAAAATCTCCTTAAAGCTGATAGGCAACTTCAGCAAAGTCTCAGGATACAAAATCAATGTGCAAGAATCACAAGCATTCTTATACACCAATAACAGACAAACAGAGAGCCAAATCAGGAGTGAACTCCCATTCACAATTGCTACAAAGAGAATAAAATACCTAAGAATCCAACTTACAAGGGATGTGAAGGACCTCTTCAAGGAGAACTACAAATCACTGCTCAACGAAATAAAGGAAGACACAAACAAATGGAAGAACATCCCATGCTCATGGATAGGAAGAATGAATATCATAAAAATGGCCATACTCCCAAGGTAATTTATAGATTCAATGTCATCCCCATCAAACTACCAATGACTTTCTTCTCAGAATTGGAAAAATCTACGTTAAAGTTCATATGGAACCAAAAAAGAGCCCGCATTGCCAAGACAATCCTAAGCCAAAAGAACAAAGCTGGAGGCATCATGCTACCTGACTTCAAACTATACTACAAGGCTACAGTAACCAAAACAGCATGGTACTGGTACCAAAACAGAGATATAGACCAATGGAACAGAACAGAGCCCTCAGAAATGACACCACACATCTACAACCATCTGATCTTTGACAAACCTGACAAAAACAAGCAATGGGGAAAGGATTCCCTATTTAATAAATGGTGCTGGGAAAACTGGCTAGCCATAGGTAGACAGCTGAAGCTGGATCCCTTCCTTACACCTTATACAAAAATTAATTCAAGGTGGATTAAAGACTTAAATGTTAGACCTAAAACCATCAAAACCCTAGAGGAAAACCTAGGCAATACCATTCAGGACATAAGCATGGGCAAGGACTTCATGTCTAAAACACCAAAAGCAATGGCAACAAAAGCCAAAATGGACAAATGGGATCTAATTAAACTAAAGAGCTTCTGCACAGCAAAAGAAACTACCATCAGAGTGAACAGGCAACCTACAGAATGGGAAAAAAATTTTGCAATCTACTCATCTGACAAAGGGCTAATATCCAGAATCTACAAACAACTCAAACAAATTTACAAGAAAAAAACAAACAACCCCATCAAAAAGTGGGCGAAGGATATGAACAGACACTTCTCAAAAGAAGACGTTTATGCAGCCAACAGACACATGAAAAAATGCTCATCATCACTGGCCATCAGAGAAATGCAAATCAAAACCATAATGATATACCATCTCACACCAGTTACAATGGCAATCATTAAAAAGTCAGGAAACAACAGGTGCTGGAGAGGGTGTGGAGAAATGGGAACACTTTTATACTGTTGGTGGGACTGTAAACTAGTTCAACCTTTGTGGAAGACACTGTGGCAATTCCTCAGGGATCTAGAACTAGAAATACCATTTGACCCAGCCATCCCATTACTGGGTATATACCCAAAGGATTATAAATCATGCTGCTATAAAGACACATGCACACGTATGTTTATTGCAGCACTATTCACAATAGCAAAGACTTGGAACCAACCCAAATGTCCATCAATGATAGACTGAATTAAGAAAATGTGGCACATATACACCATGGAATACTATGCAGCCATAAAAAAGGATGAATTCATGTCCTTTGTAGGGACATGGATGAAGCTGGAAATCACCCTTCTCAGCAAACTATCGCAAGGACAAAAAAACAAACACTACATGTTCTCACTCATAGGTGGGAATTGAACAATGAGAACACTTGGACACAGGAAGGGGAACATCACACACCAAGGTCTGTCATGGGGTGGGGGTAAGGGGGAGGGATAGCATTAGGAGATATAACTAATGTAAATGACGAGTTAATGGGTGCAGCACACCAACATGACACATGTATACATATGTAACAAACCTGCACGTTGTGCACATGTATCCTAGAACTTAAAGTAGAATTAAAAAAAAAAAAAGAAAATTCACTAATTAGGTGTGTGACCTTGGGTAAAGTTCAAGAGCAAAGCTACACAACTTCCCTAAGCCTCAGTTTCTTCATCATTAATTGGGGAAGTGCTCTGAGGCTCAAATGAGGTCATGCACATAAAGCACTCGGCATGGGCAGGGCATCTGAGGGAAGCCTGAACACTTGGCATTGGGCATTGTTATTGTTCTTCCTCAGGCTCCTCTCATGTTGTTCTTTCTTTACAGCAAAGTTGGCCCGAGATGACCAAATTCACATTCTCAAGCAACACCGACGTAAAGAACTGGAAACACGGCAAAAACAATATCGGTGAGTTATGACATCAGATCGAGTGGCCACGGGGCCATGGTTTCTTCTATCTCAAGAGCATGGTATGAAATAAACCCTTTCCACAGTGTATGGCCTGTCACTGCTGGAAAGTCACCAAGGCACCAGCTCCCAGTGTGGGTGCACAATCCCCAAACTTCACCTTACCTACAACTCCAGACAAGAGATGGAGAGGAGAGTAATGAAAATAACTTTGGATCAACCATATTGGCATGTAGGAAGAATGGGCAGAAAAGCTTGAGTGTACCTTAATGTTCTCCATTGTAGGGGTTGCCTCTTACTTCTTATGTCTTCTTATAACAATTCAATTATAAAAGTGATACATGATCAGCAATAAAATTGACAACTCTTCAGCCAACTGACCAGAGGATTCAAACCATTAAAATGAGCAATAAGAGAAAATCAATACAGAAATTAAAATGAATAAAAAAGGAAAAATGAGACTCATAAAATGAGGGAAAATCAATACAGAAATTAAAATTAATAAAAAAGAATACTATGAACAATTGCATGCCAACAAACTAGTTAAATGAAATGCGCAAATTCCTAGAAAGACGCAAACTGCCAAAACTGACTCATGAAGAAATAGTTAATCTGAATAAAACAATCACAACCAAAGAGATTGAATTACTAATTCTAAAATTTCCCACAAATAGAAGCCCAGACCCAGATAGCTTCACTGGCTAATTCTATCAAACATTTAAAGAATTAATACTGATCTTGCATAAACTCTTTTAAGAAATAGAAGGAACACTTCCCAATTCATTGTCTCATACCCATATTATACCAAAACTAAAGGCATCACAAGAAAACTATAAACCAATATCCCTTAGCAATATAGATATAAACATTTTCAACGAAATACTAGCAAACCTAACCCAGAAGTATATAAAAGGCATTAAACAATATGAACATGTGGGATTTAGCCCAGGAATGCAAAGTTGGTTTAACATCCAAAAATCAATTAATTGAATTCACCATATCAATAGAGTAAATAACAAAACAAAACAAAGTACATAATCATTTCAATAGACATACAAAAAAGGCATTTGACAAAATCCAACACCCATTCATGATAAAACACTCAAAAAATAGGAATTGAAGAAAATGTCCTCAACCTGATAAAGGTTTGAAAATTCACAATTAGGCTGGGCGTGGTGGTTCACACCTGTAATCCCAGCACTTTGGGAGGCCAAGGCGGGTGGATCACGATGTCAAGAGATTGAGACCATCCTGGCCAACATGGTGAAACCCCGTCTATACTAAAATACAAAAAGTAGCTGTGTGTGGTGGCATGCGCCTGTAGTCCCAGCTACTCAGGAGGCTGAGGCAGGAGAATCACTTGAACCCAGAAGGCGGAGGTTGCAGTGAGCTGAGATCATGCCACTGCACTCCAGCATGGTGACAAGCAAGACTCCGTCCCCCCACATACACAAAAAAAGAAAATTCACAGTTAACATTATACTTAATGATGAAAGGCTGAATCCAGAAACAGGATAAAGATGTTCACTTTTGCTACTTCTATTCAACATTGTACTGGAGGGTCTAGCCAGCTCAGTTAGGGAATAAAAAGATAAGTAAAGGCACCCACAATGGAGTACAGTAAGTAAAACTACCACAATTTACAAATAACATGATCTTATATATAGAAAATCTGAAGGCATTCACCAAAAGAAATTATTAGAACTAATAAACCACCAAGATTGCAAGATACAAGATAATCAATTGTTTTTCTATACATTAACAACCAACTATGTGAAATAAAAGTAAGAAAAAGTTCAATTTACAATAGCATCAAAAACAGTAAACATTTATGAATAAATTTAACAAAGTAGTCTGAGACTTGTACAATGAAACTACAAAACATTGTTTAACATTATTAAAGAAGATCTAAATAGGTTGAAAGACATTTCATGTTCATGAATCAGAGGACTTAATTTTGTTAAAATGGCAATACCCCACAAATTAATGTACACGTTCAACACAACCCTTATCAAAATTCTAGCTGATTTCTTTGCAGAAATTGACAAGCTGTCAATTCTGCAAATTCATATGGAAATGGAAGGGACCCAGAATAGCCAAAACAATCTTGATAAAAAGAAAACAAAGATGGAGGACTTGCACTTCTCAATATCAAAATTACTACACAGCTATAGTATTCAAGACAATGTGATATCGGCATAAGGATAGATATATAGATCAATGAAATAGACTTGAGAGTCCAGAAATAAGCCCTTACACTTATGGCCAATTAATTTTTGACAGAAGCAGCAAGACAGTTTAACAGAGAAAGAATAGTCTTTTCAACAAATGGTCCTAGCAAAACTGGATAGCCACATGCAAAAGAATGAAGTTGGATCCTTAGCTCACACCATATACATAAATTAACACAAAATGAGTCAAATACCTACCTAAATGTAAGAGCTAAAACTATAAAACTCTTTTAAGAAAACACAGGAGTAAACCTTCATGACTTTGGATTTGACAAAGGACTCTTGATATGACACCAAAAGCATCAGCAACAAAAGAAAAATAGATAAAGTGATAAAGTGATGTCATCAAATTTACAAACCTTTATGTTTCAAAGGACACCATCAAGAAAGTGAAAAGATGAACCACAGAATGGAAGAAATATTTACAAATTGTATATCTGATAAGGGCCTTCCATCCATAATTTATAAAGAACTCTTACAACTCAATAAAGACAAATAGTCCAATTAAAAAATGAAAAAAATGAGTGAGGATCTGAATAGATATTTCTCCAAGGACCCATTAGTCATCTAGGAAATGCAAATCAACACCACAATGAGATACCACTTGATACTAGGATGGCTAGAATAAAAAAATCCGACAAGAACAAGTGTTGACAAGGATGTGGAGAAATCAGAACCCTCATACACTGCTGGTGGGAATGTAAAATGGCACAGCTGCTTGGGAAACAGTCTGCTAGCTCCTGACTGTTCAACAGAGAGTTACAATATGACAGCATTTCCACTCTTAAGCATATTCCCAACAGAAATGGAAACATATGCCCACACAAAAACTTGTACATGCATGATTATAGCAGCATGACCTGTAACTATCAAAAAGTGTACACAACCCAAACGTCCATTAATGGATGAATGGATAAAATATAGTATATCTATATAATTTGACCATGAAAGAAGAATGAAATACTGACACTTGTTACAACATGGATGAATCTCAAAAACATTATGCTAAGTGAAAGAAACCAGTCACAAAAGATCATATATTGTATGATTCCTTTTATATGAAATTTCTGGAAAAGAAAAATCTGTACAGATATAAAGTAGATTACTGGTTGCCTAGGGGCAGGGAATGAGGAAGTGGTCATGGGAGTGACAGCTAAAGGATACAGTGTTCCTTTTGCCGGGGATGAAAATGTTCTAAAACTGATGGTTGTCCATTGTGTAAAAATTAATACTAAACATCCTTGAATTGAACACTTTAAATGGATAAATTTTACAGTATGTGCATTATATTTCAATAACGCTGCTAGATAAATTTAAAAATTAATTCAAAATGGATGATAGATCTAAAAGTAAGGGCTAACAACATAACACTCTTGGAAGAAAACATACAAGTAAGTCTTCATAATCTTGGGTTCGGCAAAGTCTCTTAGATATGGCACCAAGAGCACAGGCAGCAAAAGAAAGTAGACAAGTTAGATGTCATTAAAATGTAAAAGATCTATGCTTCAAAGGACATCATCAATAAAGTGAAAAGACAATCCACAGAATGGAGAAAATATCTAAATCATATGTCTGATAAGGGACTTGTATCCAGAATATATAAAGAACTCTGACAACTCAATTTTAAAATATTCTGTACAAAAAACCCCGTTTAAAAATTAGCAAAGGATTTAATTAAATAGTTCTCCAGAGAAAATTTGTGAATCTCCAATAAGCACGTGAAAATATGCTCAACATTATTAATCATCAGGAAATTTCAAATCAAAACCACAAGATACAATTCTAACCACTAAAATGGTTAGAATAAAAAAGACAGATAGTAACAAGTGCTGCCAAGGATGTGGAGAAACTGGAACCCTGATGCTGCTACCGGAATGTAAGATGATGCAGCCACTTCAGAAAACAGTTTAGTGGTTCCTCAAAATCTGAAACCCAGCTACAATATGACCCAGCAATTCTACTCCTAGGCCTCTACCCAAGAATATTGAAACCACATGTCTATACAAAACTTGTACACACATATTTATAGCACCATTGTTCACAATAGTCAAAAAGTAGAAACAACCTAAATTCCATTAACTGAGGAATGAATAAACAAAATATAGTTTATCCATACAATGGGATATTTTTTGGCATCAAAAAGGAATGAATGCCAAGCGCGGAGGCTCACACCTGTAATCCTAGCACTTTGGGAGGTTGAGACGGGCAGATCACTTGAGGTCAGGAGTTTGAGACCAACCTGGCCAACATGGTGAAACCCCATGTCTACAAAAATACAAAAATTAGCCGGGCATGTTGGTGCACGCCTGTAATCCCAGCTGCTTGGGAGGCTAAGGCAGGAGAATCACTTGAACCCGGGAGGCGGAGGTTGCAGTGAGCCTAGATCCCGCCACTGCACTCCAGCCTGGGTGACAGAGCAAGACTCCATTTCAAAAAAAGAAAAGAAAAGAAAAGAAATGAACTACAGATAGATGCCAAACACTGAATGAACTTCAAAAATATGCTAAATGGAAAACTCACTTACGGAAGACCCCATATTGTGTGATTCTATCTGTATGAAATGTCCAGAATAGGCAAACCCACAGAGTCAGGTTAGTAGGTGAGTAGTTGCCTAGCACTAGGAGTTGGGGAGGGGAAACAAGGAGTGAATGTTAATGGGTTCGAGGTGTCCTCTGGGGATGAGATTATTTCAGAATTGGGTTATAATGATGGTTACACATACAACTCTGCAAATATATTAAAATCTTTTGATAGCATATTTTTAAGGGGTGAATTTAATGGTATGTAAATGTATCTCAGTAAAGCTTTTTGGAAGATAATAACACATTACAGAGTGCTCCTCTGGAAATGGGTGGCTGATGGGCTGTATCCAGCCTCTACAAGTGTTTGATGGATCATTATTGACTTATGAGTAAACAGAGATATTCTTCAGGCTTCCCCAGTCCACACTTGTCTGTTGTCTATATCAAGGTTTTCTTTCATTTCATTTCCTGCTTTGGCCCCTGGAAACATTTGAGTCTGTGCCTCCTTCCAAGGGAAGAAAGTGGAAGGAATCATTCTACATGGACAGTGAAGTTACCTGGGCTGTGGAGGGGCCTTTGGGAGCCAATATTGTGATACTTTTCTACATATCCCTCAATAGTTGAACTTCTTACAAGGAATATGTAGTATATCTGGGTTGTTTTTTTAACTCAAAAAAGTAAAAGAAGGAAAATAATATAGAGCCAGAAAAATACCTATTTTCTGTATGAATTATGAATTTTATGAACTTTTTCATAAAAATTCATGTTTAATTGTTTTCACTTTGTCTTATTCACTTTTTAAAATTTGGGATTGTGCTATATATACCACTTTGCATCCTCCTTGCTGCCCTTTAGCAGTGTAGCAAAAATCATTTTCCCATATTTTCAAAATCTCATCATAAACATTATTCTAGTTTCTATGTACTATTCCATTGGATGGATGCCTCATCATTCACTTAAACACCCAGCTTCCCTGGACATTTAGGAGGTTTCTAATTTTTGTATTCTTATAAGCAAAGTGAAAACCCTTGTATGTGAAATTTGTATACATTATTAAGTATTTTCCTAGGACAGATGCCCAGATATGAAATTACCAAATAGTAAAAGTTATTAGTATACATTGACAAATTTCTCCTCAAAAATCTTTAACCATTTGGGAGGCTGAGGTGGGTGGATCACCAGGTCAGGAGATCGAGACCATCCTGGCTAACACGGTGAAACCCCGTCTCTACTAAAAAATACAAAAAATTAGCCGGGCGTGGTGGCGGGCGCCTGTAGTCCCAGCTGCTCGGGAGGCTGAGGCAAGAGAATGGCGTGAACCTGGGAGGCGGAGCTTGCAGTGAGCCGAGATTGCACCACTGCACTCCAGCCTGGGCGACAGAGCGAGACTCCGTCTCAAAAAAAAAAAAAAAAAAAATCTTTAACCAGTTTTCACGAGCCATGTATGGGTCCCTGTTTCATCAAACACTTGCCATAACTGAGCAATATCTTCATTTTTCTTAATTTTTCTAAGTTGCAACAGCATCCCTCAACCCTGTAGCTCCTTCTTCCCCTATGCCCAGCCACCCACTGCTGTCAAGGGGTGAGAAATCCCACACCAAGAACACAATTGCCCCACCTCAAAACTGTCTTAGCTTCATCCCCCTTTTCATCAAAAACATTCCTTGAAACAGAATAAAGAAACAACAAACAGCCACACGTATGTGGGTACTGGGTCTGCTACGGAGGGCTCGGCTGATGGGTGGCACTGGGCCACTGGACATGCATCTCGAGGACAGGGGCCAGCCAGCACGGAGGGCTGAAGGAGAAGGAGAAGAAATCAGACTCCACCTCTTGCCATTCAGGAGACTCAGCTTGGGGTTGATTAGACTTAAAAGTTAAAGGCAAAACTGTAAGACATTTAGACTACAGGTGATTATTCTTCCAGGTCTCAAGCTAAAAGGATTTTTCAAACAAGACTCAGAACATATTAAACACAAAGGAAAAGATTGGTAAGTTTGCCTCCCTCAAGATAAGGACACTCTGTTCATTGAAAGACACCAGGAGAGAGTGAAGGCAAGTCATGGAGTGATTGACGAGAATTATTCCTAGTATGTGAAGGACCTACAAATCTTTAAGAAGGGGAGTGTCATTCACTAGAAAATGGGCAAGAAGTTTGAGTACTTACTGTACAAAATATAAGCAGCAAGTATACAAAAGGTGTTCAACTTCATTAGGACTCGGGGAAATCAGAAGATCACAGTGAACTGCTGCTACTACCACACATATGCCCCCAGATGGGCAACACTTCAACAACTGACAACACCTGAGTATTAAAGAAGATCCAGAGGGCTGGGAACACTCATATACCACCGGCAGGAGGACAAGTTGGTAAGACCTCCGTGGAAAACAATTTAGCAATATGTCATAAAACTGAAGCTACATTATAATCTATGACCCAGAAATCCTATAGTGGGATCCAAATTTGTGTGCATGTGCGCCTGGATACTCACAACAGCATTACTCATGATGGCCAAAAAATGGCAACAACTCAATGTCCAACAAACAGTAGAACAGACAAATTGTCAAGGAAAATTCTACACTGCAAGGAAAATCAACAAACTGCTGCTAACATGGACAAACCTCACTGACGCAGTGTTGAAGGAAAGAAGCCAGGAGCGTGTCTGGCCAATTCATAACTTTGGAATGAAATTGTTTAGGGAGGTGTGTCATAGCGGAACCTTAAACAATAACAAGAAAATGATTATCATAAAGCCGAGGATGGTCATTACCGGGGATGGAAGGAGGGTTGATTGGGAAAGGTGGGGGTGAGGGTACGGACAATGTTCTGATTTTTTACCTGGATGGTGTTCGTACAGGTGTTTTGTACATTTTTCTGCATGTGTGAGTGTGTGTGTGCATATATACATATCCATACATATTTTATATATTCTATTTCCCAATTGAAAAATCAAAAATAAAACTTACATGCCATTAGCATCAAGTGTGGGAGAGTAACCTGCTGTGCTGTGGGTCATGTTAAGGGTTTATAAATGTGTGATTTGTTTTAGAGTATTTGTGCACAAGCCTCTCAGCTCAGGCACCATATGATGTGTTTCCAGACTTCCATACCTGGTGCAGTGCACACGTTGTGCTTGAGCTCTGCCTCCCATCCCAAAGGGCTGTTGTTTCTATGCTTCTTCCTTGGCTTCCCTCCCTGTTTCAGACACCTATGGCAAAGCCCCTGCAGCCAGTTCTCAGAGCACTTCTGGCCTGTGAATCTGGGTTAAGATAAAATGCCCATAAAATTCATTTAATTTGTTATAAGCCACTAACACTTTAGTATGAATTAGTGGGGCTCTAATTAGACTTTGCTATCTACTCATCTAAGATAACACAAACTAGCCCAATTATCTGGGAGCTACTTAACATTATCATAATCTTGCAGCAGGGGGCTTCTGGTGAGATCGTTTCCCCCTTTCTTAGATTTAATCATTTTTTTCTTCCTCCTTCCACTCATCTGTCCTTTTCAGAAACCCTCCTTTGCTTCCGTTCAGGAAACACTGAACTTTGCACTGTCTGCACAATCTTGGAGTTCCTCTTTCTCAGAAGATTTCTCAGGCTTCCAGATCAGAGTTTGGAAGTAAAGCAATGACTAAGAATAGTCCACACTATGTCAGAAAGCTGGCGCTTCTTGCAGGCCCTCCTTACTCACTCAGCCACGCAGGGAGAAGGAGAAGCAGACCCAGGTCATAGCCCACAGCTTGTGCTCTCCCACTGTGACCACATCTGTCTGTGTTACATGCACACTCACACACAGCAGTAAATGGCAAAGTGTAGGTGTTTGTTAATCGATATAATTTAATCTAATCATTATGTGACCTGCACTTTTCACTCATCACTAAGTATTGAAGAGGATCTGGTTGACACAGATAGATGTGGTTCATGCAGTTAACTTCTTCATGGCATATCAGTATCTGAATAACCCATGCGCTCGTCCGCTCTCCTGCTGATGGGCAGGCGGGCTGTCTTTAATTTCTAGCTGTTGCAAACCAAGCGACAGTGAGCTTTCTCACACATCTCTCTGTGCTCTCATGGAAGAGTTACTGTAGGGAATATTCCAAGAAGTAGAGTTGCAGGGTTGCAGACCACGTGTTTTTAAGCTTTCTAGATATTGCTGATTGTTTTCCAAAGGCATTCTGCCAGTAGACACCCCAGTAACTGTTTCTGAGATTCACTGTTTCCCTGCATCATCAACACTTCGCATCTTCAGATGTTTTCATTCTTGCGTGTGAAATAGTATCTCATATATTTTCCCCTTCTTAAACTGCTACTATTTCTTGCCTTCTGGGAATGCACCATAATTTACTTAGCCATTCCCCTATTCACTGACGTTCAGTTCATTTCCCATTTGTAGATGTGTTTGTTTGTTTTGGGTATTGCAGTACAAACAATGCTGCCAGAACCAACCTTGTACAAACATCTTGATGTACTGGTGCTTTAATTAATGGCAGATCCATTTCCAGAACTCAGATTGCTGGAACAAATCAGCATTTTTTCATCTTAAGAAATACCGACAAAAATCCTTTCACAAAATTGTATCGTAATTTGCGGTCCTACCAGCTGTGTATGAAAAGATACTTTTGCCCATCCATACATTTGTCAGTACCCGATGACCTTGTTTGACAGTCTAAAAATCCCTAAGACCTTGTGGTTGTTTTAGTCTGCACTCCCCTGACCACTAATAAGCATCACTGCATTGCCTATTTATAAGCTTTTTTTCCCTATTGTTCTTTCAATTATTAATCTAAAGGAGCTCTTTCTATATCAGGATAGTATCCGTTTGTTACATATGTATAGCATTTATTATTTGTCTTCTGTTGCTTTTGCCACAGGAGATTTTAGTTCTTTATTTTATTAACTATGTATTGTTTACATCTATAACTTTTGGGTTTCCTCCTTTGCTTAAGAAAACCCTTTCCATCCCAGTGTTACACAAATACTTCCCCCGTAATTTTGTCTAATACTTTTATAATTTCCCCTTTGAGTTTAGAGCTTTCATTCATCTACCTTTTTTTTTTTTTTTGAGACAGAGTCTTGCTCTGTTTCCTAGGCTGGAGTGCAGTGGCATGATCATGGTTCACTGCTGCCTCAAACTAACCCAGGCTCAATCCATCTTCCCACGTCAGCCTCCCAAGTAGCTGGGGCTACAGGCGTGCGCCACCATGCCCCACTCCTGCCACGTGTTTTCATACATACCTGGGTGGAACTCTCCCGGTAGCATTCGTTCCTGACTTGGATGACAGGGATGATGTCTTTCCTCCTGACTTGGATGACAGGGATGATGATACCCACGGTACAAGCTGGCATAGGATGGCAGTCATGAGCTCTGGATTCGAGTGTCTGGGCTCAACTCACACTTACTGGCACTTTCTCCAGTCCTGTGAAAGTTGTTTAATCTGTCTGTGCCTCACTTCCCTCATCTGTAAAATGAGGGAAATAACAGTGCCTTCCTTTTAGGGGTTTGAGATAATAGGTTAAACCATGAAAACACAGAGAATAGTAGTAGGCACATAGAAAGCACTGGATAAGTGTTGGCGAGTTTTGTATTATGTATACATAGTCTCTGGGTCTGTTTCCGCACTTTATGTGTTAGCCTATTTTTCTACTCGAGACCCCAGCACCAGCTTTTGGTTATCATAACTTTCTAATAAATGTTAATGTCTGTTACATATCTCACTGTTCTTTCTTAAGTTTTTCATAATGAGAATTACTTTGAACTTCACATAACTGTGTTATGTGTTGGCATTTTACTGAGATTCAGTCTTTCCATCCAGGAACACAGCGTGTCTTTCCACCTCTCTAGATCCTGTGTCAACGTACTTCCATAGAATTTCTAGTTTTCTTCATGCAGGTCCTTCACCTTTCTAGCTACTCTACATTTAGCATTTGCTGTTCTGAGTAGGATATTTTTCTGTTTGCAAAAATATTGCTGGGATAAATGTAAATTACTTGTTTCTTACATTTACTGTGTGTTGGTCCCTTACTGAATTCTTTCATTGGTTCTAATCACTTGTTTTTGTTTGTTTGTTGTTAGTGAGTCTGGTTAGTTAATGTGCTCATATTATCTAAATGTTAATAATTTTGTCTCTTACTTTCCATTATCTACACCACTGATATTCTTTTCTTATTCCATGTCTGGAATTCCCAAAACAAGTAGTGGTAGTAGTGATGAACATCCCTCTCATATTTTTGTTTCTTTGTTTACTATTATATTTGCTGTAGTTTTATAATGCATATTCTTTGCTGTATTTAGGAGTTTATTGATTCATTCTAATTTAATTTTTGTTCAGCTGAACTTGTTCAATTAATTTCCTCAGAAGGTCCATGTGTAGTGTAAGATCTGAGTCTGTGCTTGTCGTCCTGTCCCCCTACCCATCCCCTCAAACAAATTCCCCTGCCCTCATTGATGACAATATGAGAGGCTTAGATGACGATCTAAAAAAAGTGTGTATACACTTCAGTCTTCCCATTTTCAGAATGACAGAGGAGAAATCTAATGATAGTTTGTTTCTTTTCCTAGAGTTTCTATCTCCCTCCCTCCCCCACTTTCTTCCTCTCTCGTTCACTCTCTGCATCTCTTTCCTTCTCTCTGTCTCTGTTTCTCCTGTCTCTTGGACATTTTAAAATGTATTCAGTATATACCTAGGTGTATCTTTTTCCTTTTTTTTTTTCCCCCCCACCTAGGACTTGTCATTGAGAAAAATGACGAGACAAGTCTCAATCATTTTAGGAAATTTATTTGCGAAAGTTAAGGACGCATGCCCGGGAGACAGCACTATGCCTTTCTCTGAAGGTGATTTTGAGGGCTCCAAATTTAAAGGGAAAAGGGCGGGATATTGAGAAGTACACAATTTTCATGTAAGAGCAGGGCAGGGAAAAATAGTTATTCATGCCTTTCTCTGGCTCAGTGAATCTGCATTTTTTTTAACATAAGATGACATAAACAAATGAGGCAGAGGAAAAATGCAGGGAGTCTGCATTTTACATAAGAGAACATAGATAAAGTAAGGCAGGGGAACAATCAGATATGCATTTGTATCTGGTGGGTGACTGCACTTGTAAAGATAAGCTATCAATTTGCATTGCCATGGTGAAATTTTAACGGTTCACTAGGAATTTCCTTGTGAGCAAAATATGGTGGAGACATGTAGCTTTTCATCATAGCCATCTTATTTAGGAACCAAAAGGGGGAGGCAGGTTTGCATGACACAGTTCCCAGCTTGACATTTCCCTTTGGCTAAATGAGTTTGGGGTCCTAAAATTTAATTTCCTTTCACAGACTTAAGATATTGAAGTATTTTTCAGCTTAAAGGAGTTCTTCTTTTATTTCTTTGATTTTTTTCACTTCTCCATATATTACTCTCTCTCCTTTTGGAGCTTTTACTCCTTGCATATTACATCTGTATCTGGCTTTCATGTCTGTTAATGAAAAGAGTCACACTCTGTGAAATATTTGAAAAGACTTATTCTGAGCCAAATATGAGTGACCAGTGGCCCATGATGCAGCCCCAGGAGATCCTGAGAACATGCACCCAAGGTGGTTGGGGTACAGCTTGCTTTTGTGCATTTTAGGGAGACATAAGACATCAGTCAATACATGTAAGATGGACAGTGGTTTGGTTTTGGAAAGGTGGGACAACTTGGGGGAGGGGAGCTTCCAGGTCATAGGCAGATTCAAAGAGTTTCTGATTGGCAACTGCTTAAAAGAATTATTATCTAAAAACTTGGAATGTCTAGGTTAAGATAAGGGGTTGTGGAAACAAAGTTTTTTATCATGCAGATGAAGCCTCCAGGTAGCAGGCTTCAGGTAGAATCAATTGTAAATGTTTCTTATCAATCTTAAAGAGTCTGTTCTAATGGGCTTAACATCTCTGTGTTGATGTGAATGCTGATCAGTTGTGCCTGAATTCCAAGAGGAGGAGAGTACAATGAGGCACGTTTAGCCACCCATTCCTATCATGGCCTGAACTAATTTTTCAGGTTAACTTTGGAATGCCCTTGGCCAAGGGGAGGGTCCATCAGTCAGTTCAGGGGCTTAGAATTTTATTTTTGGTTTATGTCTCTCATAGTTTCATTTATGGCTTCCATTTCTTTGTAGTTTCACCCTGTATTTGGGTTACATGTTCTTCTATTTTGCACAAAGCACTTCCTGGCACATAGTAGGTGCTCCATAATTAGTTGTCGAATGAACACCTTCTCTCTTCTAGGTGTTAATGAGTTTAGCTTAAACTTTTCTCCTTACATATTTTAAATTCAGCCTAAAAGTTTCTCTGTACATAGTGAACTGTAACCTAACTGGATGTGTAAACAGACTGTCACCTACTCTCATAGCAAGTAACCAAGTCTCAGCCAATCACAGCGGCCAGACTTCAGCCACTCACAGTGGCCAGCTGTTCAAACTGGGCTCAAGTAAGGCAAATGCTGAGCCATCACCAATCTGGCTGTTTCTGTACCTCACTTCCATTTTCTGTACATCACGTTCCTTTTTCTGCCCATAAATCCTATCCAACTATGAGACAGCATCAAAGTCACTCGGAGCCTGCTCTGGTTTAGGGGCTGCCCTATTCTTGAATTGTTCTTTGCTCAATTAAACTGCTAAATTTAATTTGTCTAAAGCTTTTCTTTTAATACAAGAGACCAAACATCTCACAGTGATTATTCTCTTTGTCTGTTTCTCTATTGAAGTCTTCATTCAGAAATCATGTTTGTGGTTACAGAAAGTCTTTTTACACTCCAATTATACTAACTGCATCCCCTTAGGATCTCTCTGTCTGTCTGTCTCTCTCTCTCTCTCTCTCTCTCTGTCTCTCTGTCTCTCTTGCTTTCTCTCTCTCTCTTTCTCTCTCTCTCTCTCTCTGTCTCTCTGTCTCTCTTGCTTTCTCTCTCTCTCTTTCTCTCTCTCTCTCATTTTTTTTCCAATAAATTAAATGCCTTTCTACTTCTTTGTTCCTTCTGCCTGGGTGTTCCACTTGGTCTTCCTCAATGGAGTGGGATTCCATCTCCACCAGTTAATGTCTGTGGCCATGCAGGCCTTCGGCTCCTGTGCAGGTCAGCCTGTCAGGGTCTCTTAAGCAGCAGTGACCTGCAGTGGAAGGGACATAAACATTTGGTTTCAGGGGGGCAGTAGTGAACTAGCAAGCAAGCTGTCCTGTCTCCATGTGCTGTGAGGCCATCATCTTCTAACCACACAAGTGGGGCATTTCTGCCCATTGGTGCTGCCACCCTCCATAGACCAGGGCAGGGCATGGGGCAAGAAGGTCTTTTTGGTGCTGAAGAAGTATTCCACATCCGTCCAAGTGGACTATTCACTTAAGAAAACATTAATGCCATTTGCTGGCACAGATGCCCTTGCATGGCTCATTGTTTACATACTGAAAAACATCTAGCTCCACTGAGCTTTTAAAATTAACTAGAGCCCTTGAACTGTCCAGGCAAAGAGAAAATCATCAGTAATATTTAAATTGATATGACTAATGATAGCTAATTAATTGATCATTACTACCAGTGAGGCTACTGAATGGCTCAATTTTAGATATATATTGGAGATGCCTTGAGTCATTTTCCAAAACAAACAAACAAAAAATGTGTAGACTTGTCCACATTTTTATCCTTGTTAATATACTATCATTGGCATTAATACAAACAGCAAAAATGGAAGGTTTTCTTAAAATCTGAGGACGTAGAATATTCTAAATAAACCAACAGTGAGAAATGTAAGGTGCCACATAACAGAAAACACTTGACAAAATGCCTTTGCTGTCAGAAGGATCATACCCGGTCCCTGTTCACTTCTTGTGATCCTAAGGAGAGGCTACTGGGCCAAGAGGACACTGTGACAGTTGGGATTTGGGGAAAGTCAAAGCACAAGATCATATTAAAATAACTCAGGACTTTTTTAAGACCCAAAATCTCGATATTTTACTTTCCTCTCAAAAGAAAATTTTAAAAGGAAGGAGAATTAGGAATATAAATGAAAAAGCTAAAACCCTAAAATGTAAAATCTGGTTTTTAAACAAACACAAAATCATTCTCCCTCCCCAAAGAAACTAACAGGATTTCATTTTGTTTTTGTTACCAGAAAGGGGTCCTGATCCAGACCCCAAGAGAGAGTTCTTGGACCTCCACAGGAAAGAATTCAGGGTGAATCCATAAAGTGAAAGCAAGTTTATTAGGAAAGTAAAGCAATAAAGAAAGGCTACTCCATAGGCAAGGCAGTAGCATGGGCTACTCGACTGAGCATACTTACAGTCACTTCGTGATCATGTGCTAAACAATGAGTGGATTATTCATGAGTTTTCCAGGAGAGGGGTGGGCAATTCCAGGAACTGAAGGTTCCTCCCTTTTTTAGACCATATAGGGTAACTTCCTGACATTACTATGGCATTTGTAAACTGTCATGGCACTGGTGGGAGTTTCTTTTAGCATGCTAATGCATTATAATTAGCATATAATGAGTGGTGAGGATGAACAGAGGTCACTTTCATCACCATCTTAGTTTTGTTGGGTTTTGGCCGGCTTCTTTACCACAACCCATTTTATCAGCAAGGTCTTTCTGCCCTGTATCTTGCATCAATGTCCTGTCTCATCCTGTGACTTAGAATGCCTAACCTCCTGGGAATGCTGCCCAGTAGGTCTCAGCCTTATTTTACCCAGCCCCTATTCAAGATGGAGTTGCTGTGGTTCAAACACCTCTGACATTTTCACAATTTAAGTTTACTCAATAAGTAAACAAAAAAGCAAAATAAACATTTTTCAAAAACACAAATGCCCAATGCCACGGGATACGTTTCAAGGATGTCAGGATCTGAGCATGTTTACTGGATGCAGTCCGTGGCTTGTCTTTGGGGAAGCTGTTTTGATTGTAATAATCTCTAAAGCTGCTATTGGCCAGCAGGTGAGAGAGGGAAGCCTTTTAGCCATCTGTGCCTGGGTCCCTCTCCCAGGCCACCTGCTGCCGTGTCGTCCTATTGTGAAGGCAGAAGAACTGTCCCATTTCCCCAAATGCCACATGCAGGACATGCACGCAGTCCAGGGCACACACTGATCAAGTTGGCAGAATGGTGGATGTCCAGGTTGGGCGTGGCTGGGCAGCCTTAATACCTTCTACCTCCAGTGACTGGCAAGGCAGGCCTCTACTGTTCAATGTCACCTCTAGTAAGTGAGGTCTCCCTAGACTACCTACAGAACTTTTTATGCAGTGGTGCACACCTGTACCACTATAAGCCCAGTCTCAGGGTTCCCACTCTGATGCTCAGGGCACAGCAAAGTTGGTGCGACTGGACTTTGGAAGAGGTCCCAGAACCTTACTGGACACAGGGTCAGCCTATGATGTGTTGACTTTATTTTGAGTACATCAATCTCCCTGTGTAACATCGTCTGACAGTGTGGGCGGCCCTCAGCTGAGGGGGCAGACCAAAGGCTGGCATTTAACTCAATTTCTTCTCCTTTCTCATGCTCAGATGGATGGAGTGGAACCCTGGCTTCCCCTTGAGCATCGATGCCAAATGCCACAAGGATTTACCCCGTGATATCCAGTTTGATAGTGAAAAAGGAGTGGACTTTGTTCTGAATTACTCCAAAGCGTAAGTTTACGAGAACTGAGGGACTCTGGGCAGCCCCTCCAGTGGCTGGTGCTGGGGGTGGAACCCTCACTCCTTTCCTCATGGGGTCCTTGGGTTGGGGGAACAGCCTAGCTGAGCCAAACGCTTTGATGATATGTTGGCCATAGAGTGGATTCTCAACGCACAATTGCAGGACAACCGGTATCTTAAAAAAGGCATAACCAGAGGACTCCAGACACCAGACATACATGTGTTTTTGGCCCAAAGCAGGGGTCTTTAGTTGGAATGCCTCCTCCCCATCCATATCTCATGCTCTCTATGGCCACTTCAAAGGTGTGAAGGCTTTGTGTCCAGGCTGTCACCAAGATGGCAGGTGCTATGGTAAGAATGGCCAAATTGCCAGTGCTGATCCCAGGACATATGTCCCCTGTTCCTCCGTCACAACCCCACGAGGGAGCCACAGTCATCATCCCCATTTTACAGTTGAGGAACTGAGGAATACGGAGGTTGACTACCTTCCTTGCCTAAGGCCCCCAGCTAATAAATGGCAGAGATATAGGTTCTGTGCACCTTTGTTTCATCCGAATGTCCGCAGGGCTTTTTAAAGCTTGCCCAGGCTATCGGGAGACTCTAGGCTGCTTGTTAAACATATGGATCCCCCGACCCTATCCCAGGACTACTGAGTGTAGGGATCTTTAAATCTGCACATTGACCCTATAGGGAATTTTAAAAATCATGTCAGTTTGGCGAAACTATTCCAATCAATAGAAAAAGAGGGAATCCTCCCTAACTCATTATATGAGGCCAGCATCATCCCGATACCAAAGCCTGGCAGACACACAACAAACAAAGAGAATTTTAGACCAATATCCCTGATGAACATCAATGCGAAAATCCTCAATAAAATACTGGCAAACCGAATCCAGCAGTACATCAGAAAGCTTATCCACCATGATCAAGTGGGCTTCATCCCTGGGATGGAAGGCTGGTTCAACATACGCAAATCAATAAATGTAATCTAGCATATAAACAGAACCAATGACAAAAAACACATGATTATCTCAATAGATGCAGAAAAGGCCTTTGACAAAATTCAACAACCATTCATGCTGAAAACTCTCAATAAATTAGGTATTGATGGGATGTATCTCAAAATAATAAGAGCTATTTATGACAGACCCACAGCCAATATCATACTGAAGGAGCAAAAACTGGAAGCATTCCCTTTGAAAACTGGCACAAGACAGGGATGCCCTCTCTCACCACTCCTATTCAACATAGTGTTGGAAGTTCTGGCCAGGGCAATCAGGCAGGAGAAGGAAATAAAGGGTATTCAATTAGGAAAAGAGGAAGTCAAATTGTCCCTGTTTGTAGATGACATGATTTTATATCTAGAAAACCCCATCGTCTCAGCCCAAAATCTCCTTAAGCTGATAAGGAACTTCAGCAAAGTCTCAGGATACAAAATCAATGTGCAAAAATCACAAGCATTCTTATATACCAATAACAGACAGACAGCCAAATCATGAGTGAACTCCCATTCACAATTGCTTCAAAGAGAATAAAATACCTAGGAATCCAACTTACAAGGGATGTGAAGGACCTCTTCAAGGAGAACTACAAACCACTGCTCAACAAAATAAAAGAGGACACAAACAAATGGAAGAACATTCCATGCTCATGGATAGGAAGAATCAATATCATGAAAATGGCCATACTCCCAAGGTAATTTATAGATCAATGCCATCCCCATCAAACTACCAATGACTTTCTGCACAGAATTGGGAAAAACTACTTTAAAGTTCATATGGAACCAAAAAAGAGCCCGCATTGCCAAGACAATCCTAAGCCAAAAGAACAGAGCTGGAGGCATCATGCTACCTGACTTCAAACCATACTACGAGGCTACAGTAACCAAAACAGCATGGCACTGGTACCAAAACAGACATATAGACCAATGGAACAGAACAGAGCCCTCAGAAATAACACCACACATCTACAACCATCTGATCTTTGACAAACCTGACAAAAACAAGCAATGGGGAAAGGATTCCCTATTTAATAAATGGTGCTGGGAAAACTGGCTAGCCATATGTAGAAAGCTGAAGCTGGATCCCTTCCTTACACCTTATACAAAAATTAATTCAAGATGGATTAAATACTTAAATGTTAGACCTAAAACCATAAAAACCCTAGAAGAAAACCTAGGCAATACCATTCAGGACATAGGCATGGGCAAGGACTTCATGTCTAAAACACCAAAAGCAATGGCAACAAAAGCCAAAATGGACAAATGGGATCTAATTAAACTAAAGAGCTTCTGCACAGCAAAAGAAACTACCATCAGAGTGAACAGGCAACCTACAGAATGGGAAAAAAATTTTGCAATCTACTCAGCTGACAAAAGGCTGATATCCAGAATCTACAAACAACTCAAACAAACTTACAAGAAAAAAACAACCCCATCAAAAAGTGGGCAAAGGATATGAGCAGACACTTCTCAAAAGAAGACATTCATGCAGCCAATAGACACATGAAGAAATGCTCATCATCACTGGCCATCAGAGAAATGCAAATCAAAACCACAATGAGATACCATCTTACACCAGTTAGAATGGCAATCATTAAAAAGTCAGGAAACAACAGGTGCTGGAGAGGATGTGGAGAAGTAGGAACACTTTTACACTGTTGGTGGGACTGTAAACTAGTTCAACCATTGTGGAAGACAGTGTGACGATTCCTCAAGGATCTAGAACTAGAAATACCATTTGACCCAGCCATCCCATTATCGGGTATATACCCAAAGGATTATAAATCATGCTGCTATAAAGACACATGCACACGTATGTTTATTGTGGCACTATTCACAATAGCAAAGACTTGGAACCAACCCAAATGTCCATCACCGATAGACTGGATTAAGAAAATGTGGCACATATGCACTATGGAATACTATGCAGCCATAAAAAAGGATGAGTTAATGTCCTTTGCAGGGACATGGATGAAGCTGGAAACCATTATTCTCAGCAAACTATCGCAAGGACAAAAAACCAAACACCGCATGTTCTCACTCATAGGTGGGAATTGAACAATGAGAACACTTGGACACAGGAAGGGGAACATCACACACCAGGGCCTGTCATGGGGTGGGGAGAGGGGGGAGGGATAGCATTAGGAGATATACCTAATTAGGAGTTAATGGGTGCAGCACACCAACATGGCACATGTATACATATGTAACAATCCTGCACGTTGTGCACATGTATCCTAGAATTTAAAGTATAATAATAAAAAAAAAGACATACACGGAAAAAAGGAACACAAATCCACAGGAACAGTTGGTGGACTGTGCCTTTTTCCGAAGATGTCTTTAAGGGCATCAATATTTAAAGGAGAACAGGCTGGAAGGAAGAAAGGGAGGGCATGGTCACGTTACTGAATCCACATGTTGCAAAAGAAAAGGAGCAGGTAGGGGAATAGTCAGTTATGTATTCCTCTTGCGCTTAGTACATCAGCACTTGATAAGGTGAACACCAAGAGCTACCTGTGGAGGTTTTCACCTTTTATCTGTAGCTATCTTCGTTTCTTGCATCACTCAGCTTTCAGCTTAATTTTTCCCTTTTGGCAGAGTGAATTGGGGTCCAAAGATTTTCATTTCCTTTTACACCTAGAATCCTCTGAGGAGCATTAGCACCTGCTAGTGCCAGGCCAACCCCACACCCACAGATGACAGTCTATGAGGGTGGGACCCTGGCTTTGAGTCTGCACACCCAGCAGGTAGACGAGGCTGAGAACCCAGCCAGACTTCAAAGCTTAAAATAATATTATTTATTTCTAAACATTGTGTCGGTGTTTTGGGGGGTACAATAATCTATTTTAAGCTTCATGGCCATCCTGGGAGGTAAATAATATTATTGACCATTTCTAGGTGAGGAAACTGAGTCTCCAAGGGGTCAAGGTCAAGGAGTTTGCCTAAAGTCATTTAGGCAGAAATTGGCAAAACCAGGATTTGAATCCAGGTCTGTTTGTGTCCAAAGCTGGGGCATTTTTCTCCTACCACAATTGGGGTCTACTGGAGAGAAAAATTAAAACCTAACATCTGGATTAGTAATGCAGCAGTATCCACCATCTCCCTGGAAACATCACGGCAGTTAGGGGCTCACTTCCCTTCCCCTACTCTGGGATTGGGATTGTTGATCAAAGCCATGTAGCTTTAGTGGGATAGGTCCCAGACCAGGATGGGACAGGCAGGACAGAAGGCCCTTGTGAAAGAGACAGTTTGGAGGGAATAATAAGGATGGTGAGGTAGTGAGGTGGAGAGTACTGCCACCCAGTTTGGAGGGAATGGAGGAATACTGGACAGATGGACAATCAAACCGATGGACAGGCAGATGGATGGGTTGAGGGATGGATGATGAATGGATGGATGAAGGGAAGGAGGAAGGATGGAAGAAGAGGTGGATGGGGGATGGATGGAGAGATAGATGAGAAATTGATATACGGATGGATGGATTCATGGATGGTGGATGGATGGATGGATGACAGATAGTGAGATGGATGGATGGATAGATGGGTGGATGGATTGATGGGTGGATGGTGAATGGATGGTGGATGGATGGAAGTATAGACAGAGAGATGGATGGATAGATGGATGGATGGATGGATGGAGGAATTAATGGTGGAGTGAAGGCCAGACTGTGCCTTTCTTATCTCTGTTCAGTGTTTCTGAAGGTCATTGTCATCTCTGTATCTCAGGAGCCTCTGTATCTTAGCAGCTGTCACAGAATAGGTGCTCATTAAATCCTATTAAAATGAAAGTGTGACCCACCTGGCCCCTGAGTGCCCCTGAGTGCCAGCTGGGTCACAGTCCATTTTAACAGGGTTTAATGAGCACCTATCCTGTGGTATAGAAGGTAACTGTGCACCTCCTTTTCATGTATCCCCATCATGGCTAACAACAGCCTAGACATATGGTTCTCAATCCTGTGTGTTTAGTGTTACAGACTCCATGCTGCCCACTCTGCACAAACTGTGGAACCAGGGGAAGTCCAGCACAGTTATATTTTAGGGCTACTGGTGGATTCCAGTGTATAGCCAGGATTAAGAACACTGGCCTGTAATGCCTTTCTGGGCCTCCCCACCCCCCACATATGGTTGCATCTATTTGCTGAGTCAAGTCCATCTGCTGGGTCCCAGGGAGTGCCTCCTCCTCTCCCAGCTCCACCATCTCTCCTGAGTGAGGGCAGGAGCATCTTTCCAGCTGCCTCCCTGGGCTCCATCTCTCAAGACAGTGGGAGGGCTTATTCTCAAGTGCTTGTATAATTTGTTGGAGGCTCGCTCTAAAAAGTAAATATAATTTCTTGGTTGGCTCAATTGCAGGTGAGAGCCCAGATGTCTCTGCCCAGAAATGGAGATACATCCATAGGGACGCACCCGCCCCTGCCATCTCTCAGGTCCTACATGCATAGGATGCTCCACCGTGGGGAGCCAGCAGGGCTTTGCAGAGCATCTCTTGTCTCTGACCTAGCTGTTTCCTTTGCCACACCCACCCTCCCCACTTCTTGGCCAAGACATGGGTGAGGGGCCCCTTCTTGCAGAAGCTTCTAGAAGCCTCTGGCCCCAGTGAGGTCCCCTCCCCTGTACTCCCCAGTGCCGCCCACCCTGCCCTTGGCCCCAGAAGTGCTGCAGCCCACGTTTCTCCACATCGTCCTGTCATTAGCCCCTTGAGTGATGGCCTATTGGCAGGAGCAGAGCGAAGGAATCCTGAGAGGGGCCCTTCTGCCCCTCCTGGCCCAGCAGGCTGGACAGTAAGCTTAGCCCCACTCTGAGCACCGCCTCTGTGCTGGCACAGTGGATGGAGACCCTTGAGTTCTGCGGGGGAGAGAAGAGGTGTCCCTGTATTTGAGGAGCTGAGCCAAGGGGGCTGGACCACAAGGAAGCAGCTTAGAGGAGCCTGTGTGGGGATGAGGGGTGCCTGGGAGAGGGCCCTGGGCCGGTGGGGGTTGGGGGGACCCTAGGAAAGTCGTCTAAGTTCCCTGAGCCTCGGTGTCCTCAAATGAACAATGAGACCCGGCCCCAGCTCCTCCCCAGGGTTGTGAGATTAAAATGGGATCGCACACATCAGCCCCTCAGGGAAGTTTCTCCCTAAAGACAGCCTTTGTCTTCTCCATTCTTGGTTCAGGCCCTCTGGGACCGCGTCTCCACCATCACACACCGGCCTAGGGCTGCACTCTTGGAAGGGCCCCTGCGCTTGCAGGGTGGGCAGGGGACCCTCGCTTCACCTGGGCGTCCTCTCTGATGGGGCCCAGGAAGGCTTTGCAGCCGGGGGCCATCTGACCAGGTCTTACTGGGCCCAGGCAGAGGTACGTGGGGCCTGGAGAATGGCACAGGGGGCTGCAGCGGAGAGAGACTGTGGGCACAGGTGTGGCGAGGCCAGGCCGCCGAGAGCCAAGTGGTTTGCGAAATTTCCTGGTGGTGTGGAGGGAGGAAAAGCTGATGTGTTCACCTCCCCACTCGCTGTTTGCAGCCTGGAAGACGATTGCAGGGGGTGGCAGGGCTGAAAAGACAATGTCCTCATTAAAGGAAATTGAGAAAGAGAGTTTCCTTCCCAGTGGGGCGGGACAGTGCAGAAATGCGGCCGGTCCTGGAAGAGGTGGGGGCGAGGGGTCGGGGGCTCACACGCCCTGCGATTTCCTCCCATGAGAATGGGCGGGGGCAGCTCCGGGAAGGGTGGCGGATGGAGCCGCCCTCTCCCCAGGACCACAGGGGCGCTTTCCAGTGAAGGCGCCGTAGGAAACGCCAGTCTGTGCCGCAGTGTACGTAGAGGCGCTATGAGCCCGAGTTTCCCACGTCCAGGGACAAACTGGGAGCCGTGACTGTCAGGCCGCGCGGAGGCTGCCCTGGCCGCCTTTGCGGTCAGGTGAAGGCGCAGAGGCAGGGAGGCCGGGCGAGCGCAGGCGGGCGGAGAGCAGACCACGCGGAAGAGGCCGAGAGAGAAAGCGGGGCACCCGGCCGGGGGGGTCATTTACAAGGGACGCTGGGCACGAAGGAGGCTGGGGCGAAGATGAGTCCAGGGGTTGGGTTGAGAGCGCTGCGCAGCCGGGCTGAGAAGAGAAGCTGACGAGTGACTCCCGACAAGGGACGGGGGAGAGGGAACCTGGGGGCAGGCAGAGGCCTAGGGGGTGGGCTCTGAGGGCAGCCACTCCCACCGGCCCTCCCCCAGCCCCGCAGGCCAGCCACATGCCCCGTGCTCCAGACGACCCAGCTACATGGATGGCAGCGTCCTGAAGGGGGATGATCGGTAGGGAGTGGGTGCGGAGGCTCACGCCTGTAATCCCAGTGTTCGGGGATTCCCGAGCGGGAGGATCGCTTGAGCCGGGGAGGTGGAAGCTGCAGTGATCTGCGCCACTGAACTCCCGCCTGGGCGGCAGAGTGAGACCCTGTTTCAAAAGGCACCAGGGGTGTAGGGAAGGAGCGATATCCCCCAGGCAAGGAAGGCTGCGGAGGGGCCAGGCCAGGAGAGAAGGGCCCTGAGCTCAGTGGACGGGCAGGGTGCCTGTGGAGGAAGGGAGGGACGTAGCAGCAGGAGGAAGGGTGAGGACCCAGGCTGGGGATCGGGAGAAGTGATGGCGGAGGAAAGAGAGGCCGGAAGAGGAGGGGGCCTGCTGGCCTGGCACTGGAAAGCAAAGCGTGGGTTTGTATATGGGAAGAAGACCACATCCCCTCTTATCGTCATCCCAACTCAGAAACCATTTGGCCCCAAGTCACCAAAGCACTCATAGGAACCACTTTTCCTGTGACACAAGTAGGATTCTCCCACTTTTAACTTCCCAAATGCTACCCGAAAGCCTCTGAAATCCTTGGAAATTTAAAAAATAATCCCCTTCTATTAACTGATGCCTATAAAACATATTGACTTTCATTAAATTTTGTTATGAAATCAGGGATGTGTCCCATTGTAAAATAAATTTGTTTGGAAAATGTAGGGTGGTATCCCATCTAAAAATCAGACGAGGCTAGAAAATTTCAATTTTATTTGCTAAGGTAGCATCATGTTGTTAAAAATGCATCATAAAATAAGACCAAGAGTTAATACAAAGCATGAAGTCATGTTTCCCTCAAAAAAATGATTTGTTCTGTAGTCAAATTAATTTGGAAAACATTGCAAACTCTTCAGCAGTGGTTCTCAAAGTATAGCTTGCGTCAGAATCCCCTGGGGCCCTTGCTAAAATCTGGATGGCTACACTCCCCGCCTAGAGTGGGTTAAACTCAGTGCCCACTGGCAGGAAACTGAAACTTGGCTGAAGTCACCGAGGAGGCCTTCCCCGTTAAACCTCTGGCTGGCGACAGCTTGGTTTCCTCGCCGCTGCTTCTGAGTAATTCTGGCACGCAGTTCCTCCTAGCCACCTGCTGTACCTGGAAGGGGGCCAGCCCTCCTCAGCAGGCTTTGCTCCTGCCCTGCACAGCACAACTGTGGCGTAAAAAATGGAAAAGCTGGTAGCAGAAGGAAAGAGCAGGGAGACAGAGGTTAGGTGAACCTCAATGGCCTCATTAAAGCAAATTGAGAAAGAGAGTTTCCTTCCCAGTGAGGCGGGACAGTGCAGAAATGCGGCCCGTCCTGGGAGAAGTAGGGGCGAGGGGTGGGGGGCTCACCGGGCACATGGCCAACAGCTGGTGCCCAGCCTGGGCCACAGTTTGGCACAGGAGAAAGCTGAAGATGCAGGAGAAAGCTAGGTCACTGCCCCTAGGCCAGGTGATCAAGGTGGCTGTTACCTGCCTGTGTGGCCTTGAAAAAGCCTGGTGCCCTCTCTGGCTTGCAGGGTCCTTCTTTTTACAAAAGCGGGTCTTCGAAGCCCTGAATATTCCAGTTATCTGTAAGGATATAGAAATATTTTGCCTCTAGATGACATGTAAATATGTTCCTCCTAACTCCACTTCTTCCTACATCTGTGGCTTCTTCTGAGAACTACCAGACCCACCCTGTTTTCAGAGTAAACCTCCTGTTTTGAGGTCAAACAGACCCAGCTGGGTAATTGGTGACTCACTCCTGGTTCCTCCAAAGAACAGGGGCAAGGGACCACCCGGGACCTCAGGTGCCCCAGCACAGGACCTCTTTCTGGGGCACCCTCTGGCACTGGGCCATCTTCAGGCCCTACAGGGCTCTCGGGGCCTGCGTAGGCCTCTCATCTCCCAGAAATAAGTTCTTTTCCCCACCCAGACTGACACCAGATGCTACAGTGAGGTTTACCCCTCCAGCTTGACAAGCATTCCTAGCCCAGAACACTCAGCTGACGAGGGGTGCTGGGGGAGGAAGGAGGCAGCAAGGCTGAAAGAAGCTTCTCTGGGTATTCCAGTGCCTGGCTGCTGGTCGTAGCCATGGTGAGACCACAGCAGCCTCCCTGGAAGCAAGCACCTGTGTAAAAGCCCCTCCTTCCCCACAAGGGGCTGGATCCAAGTGAAGAAGGTACCAGAAGGACTGGAAGATGATGCTGGTATTATTCGACAGCTCCAGGGTGCTGTAGCACTGAGCACCTACTGTATGCAGCCCATCACAAAGCCAGCCACACTGCCCAGGCTGTGCCATGGCAACTTCCAGCAGTACACCCTCTCGGTCACCTGCAGGCTCCTTGTTCATCCTGACACATGAGGAGAAAAAGACAGTACTCACAAAGGCCTCTAGCCTTGTGGCCCCAGGACCCTCTCCTGAGCATCATGGCCTCCTAGGAGACCCAGGGTAGCCAGGACAAAGGAGAGAAGCATTTGCTAAGCTAAGAAAGGATGGAAGGGGATTGCTGTTCTGCCTGGATGCACCCCTAGACCTGGCAGGGCAGGCAGGAGAGACCCCCAGTGTCTCTTGCTTATCCTAGGAGTTCCCCCCTGTGGTTGCTCCAGTTTGCTGCCTTCATGCATGTTCACAGGGTGATTCCCCTGAGACAACAGAGCTGGGATGTCACCAAGCCCTGTGTCCCATCAGCCAGGCTCTCCCCAGCCTCCATCCTCTCATTCTGCTGGATCAGGAGGATGTGGGGAGGTCCCTGACTCCCCAGCTTTCCCCATGACAAGGTGTGTGTCTACAGCTCAGACCCAGCCATGCTCCACCTGAGAAGTGGGTCCAGGCAGAGCACTGGGTCCTGGCCACCTAGGGCTGCCTCCTCAGGGGTGGGCAGGAAGGGGAGCCACTGGAGGAGTGCCCCGGGCACAGTCCCCTGCACCAGGTGAGGTCACCTCTTAGTCCATGAGGCGATGCTGCATGAGCCCCTCTGGACACTAGAAGGCCTGGGCTCAATGCTGAGTAAAGTGCAGGCATGACTGTGCCCTCAGCATGCATAGGGCAGCAGGCATAGATTCATACACGTGAGTTTGCACTTAAGCTGCAGTAAGAGCTACAGAGGAAATGAACAGAGACAGCATCACTCCAGTGAGCCCTCCAGATACACCCCATGTGCGCAGTAAGAGAATGGCATAGTCTATTGGGACAGCCACATCAAAATACCACAGACCAGATGGCTTAAACGGCAGATATTTGTCTCTCACAGGTCCGGAGGCTAGAAGTCCAAGATTAGGGTGCCAGCCAATCCACTTGCTGGTGAGGGCCCTCTTCCCAGCTTGCAGATGTCTCTGTGTTCCCACAGCATGGTCACGTGGCAGAGAGAGGGGGACAGGGCATGAATAAGCCCTCGGTGCCTTCCTCTTCTTACGAGGATGCTAATCCCATCACGGGTACCCCACCCTCGTGACCTCGTCTAACCCTAATCACCTCCCAAAGGCCCCATCTCCTAATGCCATCACACTGGGGGTCAGGGCTTCAACACATGAATTTGGGGAGCACAATTTAGTCCACAGCAGAAAAGAAAGGGGCACAGAGCATTCCAGCCTGAAGGAAACAGATGTGCAAAGGCCCAAGGCAAAGGCCTGAGCTCTGAGGGGCAACCAGAGTCAAGGCTGAAGAGTGGGCAGTGATTGAGCACTGACGGTGGAGAGGCAACAGGCTATCTTGTTAATCTCAGTCTTTTGTGTGCCAGAGAGAGAAACTGAGGCACAGTGTGTCATGGTGAACACTGGGCAGCACTCCCACGCTCCTGTCCTGCACTCTGCAGGGTTATGGAGGAAGCCTGGGAAGTCTCTCCCCTCTTTTCCACCTTTCCTGGACCCATCCCACACCCTGCCTCCTCCAGGAAGCCCTGGGGATTGCTCATACACTCACATCTCACTCCTTAGTACCTGCAGCCTGCATTCTGAATTTAGCAAGCTCTGGCCTTGGGTTTCTATTTTCTTGTCCTGTGCAGTGAGCATTTGGAAACTTCTCCTCAGCACCAAACACGGAGCCATTTAGCAGAAAATACATGAGTTTTCAAGTCAATTGAACTGTTCATCGCCCCAAAAGCCAGGCAACACGGTAGAGCAGCTGGATCTCTGTTCGTAGAAGCTTTCTCAGGGACTGGCCCACCGAGTGGGGGACTGCAAGTGCCCGATGAGTGAATGAATGAACACATGTGTGAATGGAATTCAAGGCACTGCAGGCTATTCTGGAGGGTACTGGCCTGTCTCTTCGACAGGTGAGGTGCAGTAGAACAGCATCCCGTATAGATGCCAGTTTCTGACCTGGTTCTGAAAAGCCAGTCACCTACCTCTGCAGAGCTGCCTGGAGGGGGCGGGGGTTGTGAGGACCCCTGAGAGCTTGGTGTGAAGGGGCTCTGCAGAGGGAGGCATGGCTAGTGTGCGCAAGGTGACCTCTCTCCTGGTCTGCAGGATGGAGAACCTGTTCATCAACCGCTTCATGCACATGTTCCAGTCTTCTTGGAATGACTTCGCCGACTTTGAGAAAATCTTTGTCAAGATCAGCAACACTATTTCTGGTGAGTGTGCCTCTGGGGGCCCAAGTGGTGCTGGGGACAGGGGATGCTGCTCTCCTGTCTGATACTTGCCGGGAAATTGACAAGGGCCTTCCTGCCTGCTGCAGCATGGGGGCCTCGCTGCCACCATGCCACCCTGGACAGCACCCCCTACACTCCACACCTTTTACCATCACTGTGGTCACCCTTGTGCCCAGAGGTTTCTCCTCCTCAGATATTCAAGCTCGAGCACCCTCAACCTCATTTCACTATCAAAAGTCTCAAAAGTATCAGAACTTTTTCTTGGCACAAATCAATCATTTGTGCTTCTGAACAGAGCAAAGGCAGAACTTGGCTTGTGTTTTAGGTATTTACACAAAAGCAACTTTGGGTTCCTTTGGACTAGGATGTGTTTGATGAGAGCACTAGCTTCATAGTGGCCAGTCATGGCATGGGAAGGACGTTAGGAAGGCAGGAATGGCTGGACAAGAAGAGGTGCTGAAATCAGGACATGGGGAACCAAACTTGGCAAACTGCCCCCAGGGACTCTCCTCCACGCCCTCCTTCTTCCATCCTGGACACTCCATGCTGGGCTGAAGGACCTGAGTGCTCCAGGAGGCTTCTGAGCCACGAAGGGCCAGCTCAGGTATGATGAGTTGGTGCCACAGCCTGACCCAGTGATGGGCAGGGGGCAGCAGTTGGAGCTGTGCCCATCCAGGGAGCACTCGGGAGAGGAGACCAAGCAGGGACTCTGCTCTTAGGTGAGGTCAGGAGGGCCATGGCCCTGGCTGCCCTCTACTCAGAGCTCAGGGTGGGCCTCGCTTTTCTCCTGGTAGAGCGGGTCATGAATCACTGGCAGGAAGACCTGATGTTTGGCTACCAGTTCCTGAATGGCTGCAACCCTGTGTTGATCCGGCGCTGCACAGAGCTGCCCGAGAAGCTCCCGGTGACCACGGAGATGGTAGAGTGCAGCCTGGAGCGGCAGCTCAGCTTGGAGCAGGAGGTCCAGGTAGGGGTTGATGGGCTGGGGAAGTGGCCAAGGTCACAGTCTGTCAGGTGGAAGCCAGTTCCTCCTGGCCAGTGCTCATAGGCCACCAAGACGCTAACTGCAGGCCCATCTGGCCTACAGCAGCCGCTTCCTTTTCCTGGCAGCAGTGTCAGCCAGGGTCCTGGGCATTATGCAGACTGTCTTGTGCAACATCAGAGGAGGAATTGCGGGGAATGTTTCTCCATGATGCTCGAGTCTGGGAACATAATGTCAATATTTTCACTATCAGTATCAATAATTACAGGAGCTACCCTTGATTAGGGGCCTGTGGTGGGACAGGCATTGTGACAGGTGCTTTACACACAAGGTCATCAGTTGTCACCCACCTTGCAAAGGGGAGAACACTGGAGAAAGAAGCAGACCTTGTGTGAGAATAAAAAAGGGGCACGAGGAGAAACCCAACAGAATGGTTGATTTTCTCGTTAGAAATGCTGCTGCCCATGCTCCTGTCGCACCCTCCTCCCCACCCTCACCTGCAGACTCAGCTGCCTCCGGCTGCAAGGCTGACCTAGTCTTGAGACAGAAGAAGTTCAAACCAACTCCACCTGGATCTGGTGGGGCTCAGCAACAGGCGCTGGCCCATCAGCCTGCCTCTTCCCCATGGATCCAGCGTGATGGGGCCTCCTGCCACCCAGGCCCTGCTGCCTATCCCCAGGTGTCCAGGTGGCCTCTGCTGCTTCCAGTCTTTTGAGCTCAGCTTACCCTGAGGCCCTAGTTGGAGAGGGATGGTTGGTGCCCTTTAGAGATAAACCTACAGCCCCAGTACCTGGCCCACCTGAATCTAGAGGGCCACCCACCCAGCTGAAGTCCCTGGGCAAGTCTCCTGCCCCAGTGCAGGCAGTGTTTCCTAACCTCCTCCTCCTCCTGCACCCAACCAGGCCCAGAACACTTCCTGGTCATGTGAACAGCTGACAGTTACAATCCCCCACACACTGAGAGAGCATCTGTGTTCCTGAGTGGACTGAATTGCTAGATGTAGTAACATTGATTTGGTGGCTATAGGTTTCAAACTTCAAGTCAGAGATCATAGAACTTTAAGCCATATAGAATCCTAGAATTGGAAGACTCTGAGCAGCCATCTCTGCACCCAGCAGCCAAGGAGTGGCCATCCTCAGCACCTGGCAGGGCATCAGCCTCCCACTGGGAGTCCCGGCCACCTCCAGGGCACGTGGGTTATGAGTCACCTTTCCTTTGAGCTGACCCACCCCTCACTGACTAGACTCTTAAACACACACTGCCCCGTCTAATACACACCAGCATGATTCTTAATCCCCACAGTCATTCACGCTGCCCATCTGGCAGCACCTTAATGATCTACAGCAAGCTTGTGGCCTACTAAAAACGCCTCCATTGTTTTTTAAAATGTGCAGTTATTTTCCGGATCATGAATAGAGAAATTGTATCCCTGTTGTTGGTATTGATTCAGTGTTCCAGCTCAAGTTTGAGTTCTTAGACTTTATATTTGGATTCTTTGGTTTCAAATCACAAAAATCAACTCCATCTGGTTTAATCCAAGAACTCTATTGGCTCAGGCAACAGTAAAAAGCAATGCTAACTCATTTGGGACCAGGGCTCAGATCATCCCCTGCACTGTCTCTCTCTCGCTCCATGTCTCAATCCTCTGCCTCTGGTGATTTTTTCCTTAGGAGGGTTTCCTTATGTGGAGGTAAAAAATGATCACCGGCAGCTTCAGATTTACCTTCCACCAGCTTAGCAAACACCACCCACTCCCAGCAAGAAAGACCCTGTTTCCCAATGCTCCCAGCAGATGTCTTAGGCCATCCTCGGGCCTCACTGATTCTGTGAGCCAGTGCCCACGGCCAGGAGAATGGAATACACTGACCTAGAGGGGACAGGGACTCTAGACAGGCAAAAACTCCACTGTCAGAAGCAGAATCCTAAAATGTCAGAACTGAAAGGTAGGCCCGCCCCTCGTTTTCCAGAAATATGAAAGGGAGGCTTGGGATAACAGAGAAATGCTGCAGGCATTGGCCCCAAATCTCAGGCCTCCTATTCCCAGTATCACCTTCACCAGCCTGGGTGGTCTCAAGATTGGATTAGCAGCCATTCCTTCTGGGTAGAGTCTGATGGTCACTTCAGCTCTCAAAGTCCAGCTATCCAGCCATAGTCCTAGAAGGCAAGACATCACTGTGCCCGACCAACCCAAGGGTCTCCACCTGCCCCCCTCAACACAAGGTGCCCTGAGTGCCTCCGCGGGGATAGTCCCCGTCCCCACCCCTGCTTCCCCCGCCCATCGCGACAGATGCTCAGAGCTCATCCCTGGTGTCACACCACATAAAGGAGGAGGGCGGTGGCCAGGCTCCGAGCTCCTGCCGTCCTGGGTGGGTGGCTTCTGTCCTGCGTGCCGCCGGGCAGCCCGGGGGTCCTGCGCGCGGGCGCGGTCGGTGGAGCTGCAGGGGGGCGCTCTGGGATGTCTCCAGGCAGAGTAGATACTGACCCCTCCGCAGCCGGGACCCTCACCCTTTCCTTCATCACTCAGGAAACAGAAAAGGCTTCAGAAGGAGCGGCCATGCCCCCGGCCTAAGCGCTGCGTTCCCGGCCCAGCAGGCCTACCCTGCACCTGGCGTTCCTAGGGGCCCCTCTGCGGGACCCACTGCGCGGCTCGCAGCGGCCGCCCGCCTCCCACTTCACCGGCACGCTCGTTGCGTGTCGAGGTGTGTTGACTCCTACAGCAAAGGGCACGGATCCGCGGGTCAGCAAGCCCGACGAATTTACACCAATGACCCGCCGTGTCGCCAGTCTCAGACCAGGGCACAACACGCCAACCCTGCAGACCACCCCCACCTCCCCAGCCACTGCAGACCCTTCCCCCTCTGCTTCTGCAGCACCTCTCCCGAAACACGCTCATTCCCGCCCCCGCAGACCTTCCCTACCTCCTGGAGACCCCCCTCAACCCCTGTAGAGTCCCCTGCCCGTGCAGAATCCCCTCCCCCTTCCCCCGCAGCCCCCCTACCCCACCCGGCGGACAGCCCCGCCTCGCTTCCTGTCTCTTCCTCCCAAGGGAGACCCCTGTCCTGGCTCTGACTGGGGTTGAGTTCGCCAGTTTTGACTTATGTGTAGAGTCCGGCAGCATCATTTTTTGGCATTTAACTCGTCACATCTATTTCACCTAACCTCTTTCTTCTTAGTAAACTGACACTCGGGTCGGTCTCTCATCTTTCGTGCCAGTCAAGCAGGTTTCAGACACCACAAATGCCGAATGAGCTGCTGCCATTCCTTCATCTTACCCCGAACTGCCACAACCTGTGAACACCTTCCATGTGAATCAATCAGCCTTGGAGTCAGAGGAGAGAAGTACACATTCTGAGCTCCGCTGAGTCGCAGGAAAGGGAGAGGGGTGCCCAGAGGTCATCACTCTTTCCCCAGGCCTGATTTTTGGTCCGTCTGCTGAGCCTGATTTGGACACATCTCTCTGCCTCCTGCAGCAAGGGAACATTTTCATCGTGGACTTTGAGCTGCTGGATGGCATCGATGCCAACAAAACAGACCCCTGCACACTCCAGTTCCTGGCCGCTCCCATCTGCTTGCTGTATAAGAACCTGGCCAACAAGATTGTCCCCATTGCCATCCAGGTAGGCTGCTGGGGGGCACACCTTTCTGAGCAGCTCAGTCCTCTGCGATCCAGGGCTCCTGGGTGGCTCCATTCACACTCCAGCTGAGGAAGCTATGTCTTGAAAGACACTAGGGCTTCCTGCAGGCCCTGAGGTGGGCTGTCCATAGGGGCGGAGAGGGTTCTACTCCCCAAGGCACACTTGAGAAGCCCCTGGCCAGTCGAGGCACACTGTGGAGGACCTGCCCTGGGATCATATTCTGCACTCTCCACCCCAGCACCCTGACCAAGGGCCCCCAGTCAAGGTGCTGCCAGGGGCCAGGCAGGTGAAGCTGTGGACTAAGCTGGAGACCAAGACCACTGAGGGGCACCATGGGTTCTGGGGTCAGGAACCAGGCCAGTCCTGGTATGCCACCTTTGATGATGATGTGAGTTCTTATGTCCACCGGAGATGAGGCAGGAGGAAGAGGGAGACCCTGGAGGAAAGGCAGGCGGGCACAGGGCTTTGTCTCCCCCTGTTCCTGGCACCAGCCTGCTGCCAGGCTGGGAGCTGGTGTGCAGACAGCAGGGGCCAAGGCCAGGACTGGACTGGGCATAGGTCCCTGGGAGTAGGGAGGAACTGCGCAGAGGACACCGTGGGAGACTGGCAGATGAGCATTCAGCAAATAATGTCCATGAACTGGACCTTGGGAGCTGTGGACACAATAGCAGCTGGATAGGTCAGGCACCAGCCACATGCCAAGGCTATCCTATGGGTTAACCTGCACAGTCCGCAATCCCTTACCCTCGATTCTAAATCTAAAAAATCTGAAAACTGCTGCATATTTCAAAACTGTGCAGCAAATTCATTGTTTGTAAACAAACCTTCTTTGAAGCAATAGGTGAGGTTATTTAGAGGCTTTTTCCATTCAATGTGATATGTATGTGGATCACTGCAGAAATACTGCTCTGTTCGATTGTAAAATAGTATGTTGCCCTAGACTGGGGGTGGGAGGGGGTATGGCACATAATGAAGTATACCCACTGCTAAAATCCTAAAAATTCTGGATTCTGAAGCACATTTGACCACTGGGGTTTTAGATAACCTATCTTTATTTGTGTAATCATCACCACAACCATCCTAGGTAGTGGGCTCTATTGATGTTGATCATTTTACCCAGATAAGAAAACTGAGACACAGGTGCCCACAGCCAGCCACAGAGCTAGGATTCAAGCCAGGTCATCTGACTCTAGATTCCAGCCTCCCCACAGTCTCCCAGGGGCACGTAGCCTCAGAGGAGCTTCCTGTCTGTTACCAGAGAGAAGCCCTGTGCCTAAGAAACTGAAGCAGCAGGTAAAGGGACAGGTGACCTAAAAGAAGACAAAATTGCTGGGAGATCCCCGGAGATCCCAGGCACCACTGATGGTGCCTTCAAAAGCTTGGCTCAGAGATCTCTTGGAGCAGCCTGGAGTCAGGGGCCTAGCTTAAATTCCAGTTCAGCCACTTGCTAGCAGGCTGTGGGACCTTGAGCAAGCCACAGAATGTTCCTGGGTCTCTTTCTTCTTCTGAAAATGGAAACTTTGCAAACTATAAAGACTCAAGCAAATGAAAGCCAGAGGATAGTAAATCCAAGATCTGGTTCTTTGAAAGGTCCAAAAAATAATAATAATAACCTCCTCATGAGGCTGATGGAAAAAAAGAGATAGAAAAAAAAAATGCAAGATTCGGAATAAAAAAGGAATCATAAAAAGAGTAATTATAGCCAGGCACCATGGTGGTACACAACTGTAGTCCCAGCTACTTGAGAGGCTGAGGCAGGAGGCTCACTTGAGGCTGTAGTGTGCTATGATCACACCTGTGAATAGCCACAGCAGTCTAGCCTGAGCAACATATCAAGACCCCGTCTCTTAAAAAAAAAAAAGAACAGTAATTATGATTACATATTTTTTAAATGAGAGTAATATGGCAAAAATTTGAAAAATTAGAGAAATGGATAAAAACCTAGGAAAAGATAAATTAGAAGAAATTGTAGAAAATAGGCCAATTTCCATATAGTGATTGGAAACAGACCTACACAGCGAGCAGCTGAGTCTCACCCAGCCACTAGACAGCTGACATTTCCAGGGCTCTTTATCAGCCCCAAATTGATCATATAAAGCTGGTGTAAGCTTAGTTCTGAAACTGGATACAGGCAGGCTTCAAAAGAAGGCTGAAGACCAATCCAAGTATTAAATAAAGATTTAAAAGAAAACTAAAGGTGATATTAGCGAAGTGAGTGCAGCAGTGTATTAAATGACTATATGTAATAACCAAGCAGGGTTTATTCCAGATATTTCAATATCAAGAGAGCTACCACCATAATTTATTATACCCATAAGGATAAAGTTTATGATTATATCAATTCACACTAAAAGGGAATTTAATAACATTTAATAGCCACAACTAATAAAAATTAATAGGAGGAACCTTACTTTATATGATAAAGATAGCTAACATCAAAAAGGTGCAACTCTAATGCCATTTCCATTAAAATAATAAGAATGCTGATATCACTGTTTTTATTCAACATTATTTTAGAGGTCATACCACATGATAAAACAGGAAAACAATCAATAAACATATTGTCAAAGAACAGGGAAGATGATCTTTTCTGGTAATGCTATGGTAGACCTAGAAAACACAAGAGATTCTAATTTTTTTAAAAGCTACTAGATTAATAAATTCATTTGGCAAAGTGTTTAGATAAATATATTTCTCAAAAAAATCAATAGCCTTTCTCCATACTAACAATAAAATATAATGCCCATATAAGGAAAAACTATAAAGTTATTTATTTATTTATTTATTTATTTATTTATTTATTTATTTGAGATGGAGTTTCGCACTGTCACCCAGGCTAGAGTGCAGTGGCGTGATCTCGGCTCACTGCAACCTCCACCTCCCAGGTTCAAGCAATTCTCCTGCCTCAGCCTCCCGAGTAGCTGGGATTACAGGCACCTGCCACCACGCCCAGCTAATTTTTTGTATTTTTAGTAGAGACGGCATTTCACCATGTTGGCCAGGCTGGTCTCGAACTCCTGACCTTGTGATTTGCCTGCCTCAGCCTCCCAAAGTGTTGGCATTACAGGCGTGAGCTACCGCACCCGGCCAACTATAAAGTTATTTTAAAGGATATACAATGAACTCTTAACAGTGATTTGATATTGGGGAGGAAACTGTAAAAATGTCAGTTCTACCAAATTCTATTATAAAAACTTAATGCACTTCCAAGTAAAATTTCAGCCAGAATTTTTTATCTTTCTTGGTGGGGGTGTGGTGGTGGTGAAGAGGAACTAAAAAGGAGAGAAAACAATTAAAAAATTGAAAGATTCATATGGAAAAAGAAATCTAGCATAGTCAAAAATTTTTTGAAAAAAATTAAAACCACATAGAGAGGCAGGGCAACCAAGTGAGACCTCATGTCTTAAAAAAAAAAAAAATTAATAGAAAAAATTAGGTATGGTGGCGCATGCCTGTAATCCCAACTGCTCAGGAGGCTGAGGTGGGAGGATGGCTTGAGTCCAGGAGTTTGAGGCTGCAGTGAGCCATGGTCGCTCCACTGCACTCCACACTGGGCAACAGAGTAAGACCCTATCTTTAAAAAAAAAAAAAAAAAGTAAAAGAAAACACAGAAGGAACACTTTCCTTGCTGGATTTGTAAGGTTACTGTTAAGCAGACACTGTGCTTGAAAACAGAGAGAATTGGGGGACAGTATAGAGTAAGATCCAGAAATGGACTCCCCCACAGAGGAATTCAGTGTATCACAATGGAGGTTTTTCAACTCAGTGAAAAAGGGATATTATTTTAATGATGCTATCACACTGCCTTTGCATGAGAAGAAAATTAAATTGGACTGCTCTGTCATGCCATTTACAAAAATAAATCTCATCATGTAGAGGAGTTGCTTAGAAGAAAAAGAAAAAATTCAGATGAAGTAAAAATTAAAATGAAAAAAGTAAACGAATTTAGAAAAACTAATTACGCAGACACTCAGAAGACTTTTAGAAGGAAAAGGAAACCAAGAAGTTATAAGGGGAAAGCTAAGCATATTTGATTATGTAATGTTTTAAAACTTGAGTGATAAACCATAAACAAAGCCAAAAAGCAAAACAGAGATTAGGGTGAGTAACCATAACAGAAGTGACAGCTAAGAGATGCCTATCTATGATACACAGGTAGCTCCTTTACATTGACGGGAAAATACCAATACTCCAGTGGAAAAATGAGCAGAGAATATGAATAGGCAATTCACAAAAGAAGAAATGTAAATGGGCAACCAGCATATGGAAAAACTCCTAACTTCACCTGTAGTTAGAGAAATGCAAATGAAAGTTAACAATGAGATATCATTTCTGACATGCCTGGTTGGAAAAACAAAGGGGTAACTCCCAGACACCAGCAAGGACGGAGCCCCATGCTCTGCTCATGAGTTGTTGCAGCCTGGCAGTGTTCACGGGATAACTGGTGGGCCTGGGCAGCCCAAGGTCAGAGCTTCGGCCAGCACCGGAGCAAGGTCAGAGCTTCGGCCAGCACCGGAGCAGATCCCACAGCGCCTGCTGTACCAGGTGCATGTTGCAGTGGGCGGTCAGAGGGTCCTGGGGTTGAGGCTGTCGTGGCGAGGACAGTTGTGTTACCGAGCTGGACTGGGATCTGCTTGCCCAGTGCAGCAAAACCAAACACTGAGATTGGGATATAATCTACGAGAACACAAGGCATTTATTGCGGGGACCAAAAAAGGAGAATTGGGCAGCTCACTCTTAAGACCGGAACTCCCTGATGGCTTGCAGGTAAGGGTTTTTAAAGGCAGAGTGAATTTCAGGAATTGCAGAAGTTAACAGGCAAAATCATTAATCAATACATGGAGGGTACACATTGGTTTTGGCCTAAAAGGGCGGGATATCTTGAAGTGGGGGTGGGCTTCCAGGTCATAGGTAGATTCAAAAATTTGTTGTTTTGAAATTGGTTAAGGAAGAGAAGTTTCATTTAAAAATTTGGGTTACCAGAAAGGAATGTTAGCTGTGGCTTGTGGGCGGGACTTCCCCCAGGCCCCCCAGGAAGAAATTTAGAACAAAGAGCCTGCTCAGAGTTCAGTCCTCAGTTCCGTCTTATCTGAGGTCTCTGTGCCAGTGGATCGGTTTGGTGGGGGTCTGGGTTTCTGAAAAACAACTCAGAGACACATGTTCAGGGGTTCTCTTTAGTTTCCAGAGGGAACCAAACAGCCCAGGACTCTGGCTTCCTTGGCTGTTGTTTTAGGCTGCTGTTACCCTCTTGTTTGTCAAGTTGCTCATTTATTTCTCAGGGCTAGCTAGGTGCCTGGAACTTCCCTTCAAGGAACTCGGGATTTTCCTTCATTTCCATGCCCTGTTGCGGGGCTGGGGGGCTACAGTGCCCTAAGAGGAGGCCCCTGCCCCGTCTCAATTGGAGGAGCACTGGAGGGGACTTTATTGTTTAAGTGTTCTGACAGCCAGTAGCACTGAACAGGTGTGCACCAGGAGAGTGAAACTGTCTGAGGAACAGTAGGGCAGGCACTGTCTACTCGAAAACATACCCAAACCCCCAAGGCTCAGCCTTCGCTAGCAGCCACTCAGCAGAAATGAAAGCACAAATGTGTGTGGGTAGCAACAGGAGCATAGTTTGTGATGGGGAAAAAAATTGAAAACAGTCTGAAGGCAGAAGAGGATTGAGTGAGTGAGCCCTTCCATGTCCTCACCATAAAATGTTGAGGCGTCTTTGAAAGGAATGCTTTGGTTCCCTTCCAGCTGACCTGGAGGGGTCTCCACAATGAGTTAACAGTGGAAAAACAAGACACAAGGGACCGATAAAGGATACATATCTGTCGTATACAAATAGCTCCTTCAAACTGCTAAGGCAATGGGCATGGTCTCACTTATGTAAAATGAATGCAAGGATGCAGCAGGCCTACTGTGCCAGCATGGGGACACAAGGACGCAGTGTCACCAGGTAGGAACACAGTGATGGCCCAGTGGGGGACAGGTGAGCAAAACAAAGAGACAGATGTTGATTATAATCATATTCAGTTGATGGAAAATTGGACAGATAAATGTGCACACATGCAAAGACCTATGAAAGGAGGCTCCCCAGAATTTGGTGGTTATCCCTGGGCGCTGGAAGATGAGATGATGTTTTCTTTCTCAGGCTCTCCTGTCATGACTCAGATTTCTTTTTACGATAAGCACATATTCTTTTCTAATCAGAAACGCAAAGCTACTTCCTTACCCAAAAAACAAATTTAAGAAACACAAATTGCTCAGGGCAAGTTCTGGCATCCCATGGCAGGCCAAAATCCTGGACAGGAGTGGGAGGATGTGAAGGATGGGTTGGGGAAGGCCCAGCTCAGTGGTACAAGAGCTCAAGGAGATGGGCAGGTGAGGCCCGGTCAGGCCGGGAGGTGAAGAGAAGCAGAAGGGAGAGTGATGGGCTGAAATAGGCAGAGCACTGGGCCCATCCTCATTCAGCTCTTTTTTTACTGGTCAGAACAGTTTTTTTTTTTTTAATATATAAAATTTTAGATTCAGGTACATGTGCAGGTTTGTTACATGGTTATATTGCATAATGCTGGGGTTAGGCTTCTATTGAACCCATCACTCAAATACTGAGCATAGTACCCAATACCCAGTTTTTCAACCCTTTCCTCCCTCCCTCCCCTTCCTGGAGTCCCCAGTGTCTTTTGTTCCCACTTTTATGCCCATGTGTACACAATGCTTAGCTCCCACTTATAAATAAGAACATGCAGTATTCGATTTTCTGTTTCTGGGTTAATTCACTTAAGATTATGGCTTAAGTGCCAATCCTAAGCTGCATCCATGTTGCTGCAAAGAACACGATTTCATTCTTTTTTATGGCTATGTAGTATTCCTTGGAGTACATGTATCACATTTTCTTTATCTGGTGCCACTATTGATGGGCACCTAGGTTGATTACATGATTTTGATATTGTGAACAGTGCTGCAATAAACATATGTGTGCCTATGTCCTTTTGGTAAAACAATTTCTTTTCCTTTGGGTAGGTACACAGTAATGGGGTTGTTGGGTCAACTGGTAATTCTATTTGCAGTTCTTTGCAAAATCTCCAAACTGCTTTCCACAGGGATGGAAGTAATTTACACTGCCACCAACAGTGTGTAAGCATTCCCTTTTGTCTGCATCCTGCCAACATCTGTCATTTTTTTACTTTTTAATAATAGCCATTCTGACTGGTATCCCTTTGTGGTTTTAATTTGCATTTCTCTGATGATTAGTGATGTTGGGCATTTTTTCATATGTTTGTTGGCCACTTGTATGTCTTCTTTTGAGAAGTGTCTGTTCCTGTCCTTTGCCCACTTTTTAATGGTGGTGTTTTTTCTTAAGTTCCTCATAGATTCTGGGTATTAGTCGTTTGTGGATGCATAGTTGCAAATATTTTCTCTCATTCTGTAGGTTGTCTGTTTACTTTGTTGATAGTTTGTTTTGCTGTGCAGAAGCTCTTTAATTTGATTAAGTCTCATTTGTCAATTTTTGTTTTTGTTGCATATGCCTTTGAGGTCTAGTCATAAATTCTTTGCCTAGGAAATGTCCATAAGATTTTTTCCTAGGTTTTCTTCTAGAATGTTTAAAGTTTGAAGTCTTACATTTAAGTCTGTAATCCATCTAGAGGTAATTTTTGTATATGGTGAGAGGTAGGGGCCCAGCGTCATTCTTCTGCATATAGGTAGCCAGTTTTTCCAACACTATTTATTGAATAGGATGTCCTTTCCTTATTGTTTATTTTTGTTGATTTTGTCAAAAATCAGTTGGTTGCAGGTATATGGCTTTATTTCTGGGTTCTCTGTTCTGTTCCATTGATCTCTGTGCCTATTTTTGTACCAGTATACCATGCTGTTTTTGTTACTGTAGTCTTGTAGTATAGTTTGAAGTCAGGTAATGTGATGCCTCCAGCTTTGTATTTTTGCCTAGGATTGCTTTGGCTATTCGGCTATTTTTTGGTTCCATATGAATTTTAGGATTTTTTTTTCTAATTCTGTGAAAAATGATGTTGATAATTTGATAGGAATTGTGTTGTATCTGTAGATTGCTTTCTTCCAACCCATTAGCTGGGATGTTTTTCCATTTTTTTGTGTCATCTATGATTTCTTTCATCAGTGTTTTATAGTTCTCTCTGTAGAGCTCTTTCACCTCCTTGGCTGGATACATTCTTTGGTATTTTATTTTGTGTATGGGGGACTATTGTAACTGAGATCACCACGTTCCTGATATGGTTCTCAGCCTGAACCTGAACATTGTTGGTGCATAGAAATGCTACTGATTTTTAGGCCAGGCACAGTGGCTCACGCCTGTAATCCCAGCACTTTGGGAGGCCGAGGTGGGCAGATCACCTGAGGTCAGGAGTTTGAGACCAGCCTGACCAACATGGTGAAACCCCGTCTCAATTAAAAATACAAAAATTAGCCAGGTGTGGTAACACCTGCCTGTAATCCCAGCTACTTGGGAGGCTGAGGCAGGAGAATTGCTTGAACCTGGGAGGCGGAGGTTGCAGTGAGCTGCGATCACACCACTGCACTCCAGCCTGGGTGATAGTGAGACTCCGTCTCAAATAAAAAGAAATGCTACTGATTTTTGTACACTGATTTTGTATCTTGAGTGTAGAAAGTCAAAAGTTTTTTTTTTGTTAAGGAGTAAATTATGTGTTAGAAATAATAGTTTTTTCTAAAGACTAACTTTTTTTAAGCCTTTTCGCTTTGTGCTAATAACTTTTTGTTAAGCCCTATCATATGTAGCTGTTAGATATAAGGGAATGAGTACATTCTATGTCCTTGTACTTTAACCAAGATATTTGTGCTGGACGTGCTCACAGGCATGTCCCAGCTTGCAGCCCATGCCCCTTCCTTATTTGGAAATGTTATTACTTTTCTAAGTCCTTTCATAAGCAACTTCCTCTTTTCCTTTGTCTTTCCACTGCTTTTACCTATTTAGAAAAGTTTTAAGTTATTAGCCAGTCGGGTTTTAGTTTAGACTGTGAGGTTTGGCTCCAGCCAATGGAGACAGGACACGGTAGCAGGGACAAGCTGCGTAAGGAATAAAAATTGCTTCTCTCCATTATTCAGGTGTGCTCTCGCCATTGTTCCATCTGCGAGGAGCACCCTTTCTGCAGAAAGTAAAATTGGCTTGCTAAAAAAACTTTTTGTCTAAATGCTGATTTTTCCTTGCAGTACCGAGGAACAAGCATTCTGTTTCTAAACAAGCATTTTACTTATAACATTGAGACTTTACTGAAGTTGTTTATCAAGTCTAGGAGTCTTTTGGAGGAATCTTCAGGGTTTTCTAGGTATAGAATCATATCATGGATGAACAAAGATAATTTGACTTCCTCTTTTTTTTTTTTTCATTTGGATCCCTTTTATTTCTTTCTCTTGCCTAATTGCTCTGACTAGGACTTCCAGTACTCTATTGAATAGGAGGGGTGAGAGTGGACATCCTTGTCTTGTTCCAGTTTTTAGGGGGATTGCTTCCAATTTTTGCCTGTTCAATATCATGTTGCCGGCTGAGCTCTTTACCTACTGTGTGACTTGGGAGAGCTGCTAAACCAGCTGGAGCCTCAGTTTCCCCCCATGTAAAATGGGTACAGCAAGGAATATCTGCCTTGCAGGGTCAAAGTGAGGATTAAGTGAGATAGCATGGGTAAAGCCCCTAGCACACAACAGGGGGGCTCCTCGGCCCCAGAGGATGTCAGGAACATGTCAGTGTCCCAGAGCCATCAGGAACATGTCAGTGTCCCAGAGCCATCAGGAACATGTCAGAGCATGTGGGGACATGTCAGAAAGTGTCTCAGAGCATGCCAGGCAGCCCAGCATTCTAGGGCACAGATCAGGTATCAGTGGCCCAGGCATCTCATGCAAACGGGTGTGGCAGTGGGGACCCTGAGAGCTGGGACTCTGTAAAAGGGACAAGAGCGTAGTTCTGTGAGAACCTGGGTGCAGAGTTCTGAGACCTTCTAATTTTTCAAGAAAACCAGGTCATTCAAATTTTTATGTGAAACTGTCTGGTATTTAAAAGCAGCCAACTAATCTCAAGTATAAACAGACAGGCACGCCTAATGTGCAAGTCACACTCTGCTCTCCCTCCTCCCTCCCCCCTCCTTGGTCCTCAGGGAGTGCTGAGGCTTCTGGGGTCTCTCTGACCAGGGTGGAGCCACTGGCCACCAGGGCTCTGGAGCACTTGGGATTTGGCTCGTCCAAACCAAAACCTGCTGCAAGTGCAAAGTTCACACCTGATTTTTAAGACTTAGAATAAGGAGGTGGGGAATGTGAAATATCTCATTTAATAGTTTTAGATTGGTTTCATGTTGAAGTGATAATATTCTGGATATATTGGGTAAAATAAAATTATATTATTCACCGGCATTTCACCTGTTTCCTTTTATTTTTATTAATATGGCTTCCTGAATATATACAATTCCATGTGTGGGGTAGCATTATATGTCTATTGGACAGCACTGTTTTCGAGGGAGAGACGCCCAAGGACCCCACCTTCCACAATACTTATAGCAAGTGACACAGCTGTGTGCTCTGGGACAGTTCTCCCTCCCCAGCCATGACCACTGTGCTGCAGTGACACTGGTCTTTCCCAGCACCTAAAGTCTGGCCATGCCCCTTCCTGGCCGCTCTTGGCTGCAGCCCTGCCACCCACCTCATTCTTTCTGTCAACCCCTCCAATACCCCATGTCTTCATGTAAAAATGGGCAATGCCAGCACCTGCTGCCGGCTCCCGTGAGAACTCACTGTCGGGTGCTGAGGCTGTGCTGGGCTCTCAATAAGGGGGCAACGTGCAGGGCTGCTGGCATGGAGGGACCTGGGGCTGGGTGCTGGTGTGGGGGCACGAAAGTGAGGCTGTGTGTACAGAGGCATCAGCAACCAGGTCACCACAGAGCTTGGGGATTTTATTTTCTGGCATTAAGAGGTGATTGAGGAGGCAGTTAACATGACATGATTTGCATTTTGGAAAAGAAAAAAACTCACCTTGTCCCAGTGTGGAGTGGAAACTGGAAAGGGAAGACAGGTCCAGCCTCTGCTACAGGAGGTGCCTGGCCACAGGTGTGGGCTCCAGGCAGAGCTCAAGCTGCAGACCCTGATCTGGGAGGCTCAGTACCAGGAGGGCCCCAAGCCTTTAAACAGGAGGAGCTGACTTAGGGCAAGAAAAGAAGACAGGAGCACCAGGGCAGACCCTGGGGAGCTCCAGCATTTCAGGGAAGAGGAGAGGGAGGAAAGTATGAGAGACCAAGGAGAGGCAGTAGAAGAGGGAGCAGGGCAAGGAGGGAAGAGGGGGACAGCGATCCTCCCCCTCCGCTGCTGGGCCTTCGGCCTGCCCGCTCCTTCCATGCTGCCAGCTCCTGAGTAACTGTGAGCCGAGCGATCACTGTCCCCACATGACAGATGCTGAAGCCGGAGCTTAGAAAGCCCAGTGTGTCATCCAGAGTCATGCAGGTTGTAAGTAATATGGCTGGGACAGGAAATACCACCGCAGGGCCCTTTACCCCCTCCAGGCTCTTCTGATTCCAAAGTCACTGTTAAAGAAATTCAGATACTTCTGGAACTTCCCAAGAGGCGAAGTTCTCCAACAACTATACTCTGAAGTGAAATATAGCAGTGTGTTTCCTTTCCCCCAATGTATCAGCTCAACCAAATCCCGGGAGATGAGAACCCTATTTTCCTCCCTTCGGATGCAAAATACGACTGGCTTTTGGCCAAAATCTGGGTGCGTTCCAGTGACTTCCACGTCCACCAGACCATCACCCACCTTCTGCGAACACATCTGGTGTCTGAGGTTTTTGGCATTGCAATGTACCGCCAGCTGCCTGCTGTGCACCCCATTTTCAAGGTACAGCCAGCTACCGCCCCACCTGCTATGGGAGGGCATCTGAGATGTGGAGTGGGAGGGATCACTGACATCCCACAGGGGGACCTGTGGCTGGGAGTGGGTGGCAGAAAGGGAGCCCTGGAGAGATGTTCTCAGAGTCAGTAATGCCCCTAAAGGAAGAAAACAGCTAGGAGCCTGCTGTTCCCCAGGACACGCGGCTGGGGCATGGGCCTGACACACGGGCCTCGCTGGCCAGCCAGTAGAGTTGGAAAAGGCAAATGAGTTCATGGTGATCCTCGGCTGATGCTGATGGCCGCCCCTGCCATCACTCTCCGTCCCTGTTCTCGAATCCTACAAGCATTGGCTGCTGGGGTGACTGCATGCTAAAAGTACCCATGTGCCTCAGTTTCCTCACCAGTAAAACAGGTCAAATAGTACAGCTGCCTTACAGAATGATGGTCAGATTAAGACAGTGAACTCAGGGAGCAAAGAGGTAAGCATTGTACAAGTGCTGGCCAGGACCCTCTGAATCATTATCATGCTTAGTAAGCATCAGAGGGGTGCAGGCCTCCAGCACTTATTCAGCAGAAAGATCAGCACCCAGCCTTCACTTCCTCCCTGCGCCCAGCATCATCCTATAGGGCAGGCCTGGGTGGGGGAGCTGCGGGTCCCTGAGGCACCAGGTCACCTGACTGGGCCCCCTCTGAGGCCTCCTCCTCTCCCCTCCCCAGCTGCTGGTGGCACACGTGAGATTCACCATTGCAATCAACACCAAGGCCCGTGAGCAGCTCATCTGCGAGTGTGGCCTCTTTGACAAGGTGGGTGCCCTCCTACCCTACTTGTTGCCTGGAAGAGCCCAGCCTGGCCGCCTTCACTCCCTATCTGAGATCTAGACACCCTTTCAGGAGGCCTGGAAGGGTGAAGGCTGGAGTCTGCTCAGAGCACTGGCTCCAGCATCCTCCTGATGTCTCCAGCCCGTGCCATTCAGCCAGGAGCACTCCTCCAGGCGCACCACCAGGTCTTCCTTCTCACTGATGGCTCCTGGTCCCCTCCTCCCACCCCTCCCCTCTCCCAGCCTCTGGGACCTGGGTGTAGACCCCCCTCTGGAACACACTCCTTATGGCCCCCTGACCTCCTACGCACCAGGAACCTGTGTCTGCCTCTTAATCTGCCACACCCCTGCCACCCTGACCTGGACCTCCCCAGCACTCTGCTTCCCGGGTCCCAACCCTCCCAACCCACTGTCTCCTGCATCGGGGACTCCAGGCCCTGCCCAGCCCTCGCATCCCTCAGGTAGCACCCCACCTCGTTTTGAGCCCTCTGTAGCCTTACCAAGCTTGGACTCTCACATGGGCCCTTGCCCCAACCTTCCTCCTTTCCCCAGCCCATTAGTGACCAGGCCAGATGACCACTGAAGTTGAGACACTGTTTGGGCTGCAAATGACAAAACCCAACTCAAACCAGCTGCAGCTGGACAAGACATGCCTTATCTCAAATACCTGGACACAATAGAGGGTCGGGGGCCTCAGCCAGAAATGGATCCAGGGACTCAAGCAATGCCCCAGGGTGCATGCACACTGGCTCCCTCTTTCTGTCTCTTTCACCTGTGTTGGCATCACACTCTCCTGCTGCAGACAGGCCCCCATGGGAGAGGGCACAGGAGCTCATCATAGTAGCTCCACCTCAGGTTCTCATGTGGCCATTATCTCCCAGCCGCATCTAAACAGAAAGTGCTGGGGGGCAGCTCTGGTTGGTCCTGCTTGGGCTGAATGCCCACCGTGGACCAATCTCTGGCACCCCAGCACCCAAGTCCTTCTTCAAAACCTCTGTGGCACCGACAGCCCAGCCCCCTGGGTGTATTTGCATGTGTGTGTGTGCACGTGGACACACATATGTGCCAGTGAGCTTGTGAGTGTGTCTGCATCACTCAGAAGCCGGGATCGGGATCAGGACCAGGATCCCTCCTTGTGGGTCTCTCCAGCCCTCACCTGAGCACACAACAGGCCCTCAACAGAGTTGCATGGGTCCTGGAAACTGAGGGTCACTGAGAGCAATGACTGAGGGTCGTGTGCTCAGCACTAGAGCAGACTTCACAGCCCAGGCCCGCTGGTGCTGGGGTCCCCCACACACCTGCCCACGCCTGCTGCCCTCCTGTGGCTGGGAGCGCACCCTTCCCTCTTGTACTCTGCAGCCCCACGGTTCAGTCCCTTGCATTGGATTGGGCGGGAGGCTCCTCCCTAGCACCTCTCCACCCGGCTGCCCTTGTCATTCTCTGCGTTAAACATCCCTCCCCCATCTCACAGGACAAGGGCTTGCACCTCTGCCTGCCTGGCCTCCTCGCCTCCCCTGGCACATTTCCTCAGGGATGGGTCTGGACAGCTGTGGGAGGAGCCACCCGCTCAGGGCACTCTACCTCCCACTCCAGGCCAACGCCACAGGGGGCGGTGGGCACGTGCAGATGGTGCAGAGGGCCATGAAGGACCTGACCTATGCCTCCCTGTGCTTTCCCGAGGCCATCAAGGCCCGGGGCATGGAGAGCAAAGAAGACATCCCCTACTACTTCTACCGGGACGACGGGCTCCTGGTGTGGGAAGCCATCAGGACGTGAGCGCCCGCGGGGCGGTGGTCCTGGGGGAGGAGCCGGGACCCCTGCCTGACTACCTGGGGCGGGCCTGGCCCCTCCACCGCTAGCGCTGAATGGGGACGGGGTGGGGGAGTCCCAGCGTCCGTGAGGGGGTTGCCGCCGGGCACCGCTCCGCAGACCTGGCTGGGTCGCCCACCCCGGCTGCGCCCCCTGAGCCAGGTTCACGGCCGAGGTGGTAGACATCTACTACGAGGGCGACCAGGTGGTGGAGGAGGACCCGGAGCTGCAGGACTTCGTGAACGATGTCTACGTGTACGGCATGCGGGGCCGCAAGTCCTCAGGTAGGGCCTCCGGGACGTCTCCGGACCCGGCTCCCCCGCAGTCGGCAGCGCTGGCCCCTCCGCCACCCCTCCGGGGTGTCCTGCCCAGGGTGCCCTCCGGCCTTGGGGCAGGGAATCCGGGCACGGGGTGGGCGCCGGGCCCTGGGGTCCTCAGGGACTGGGCCTCAGCCCGCCGGTGGTTCCACCCTAGGCTTCCCCAAGTCGGTCAAGAGCCGGGAGCAGCTGTCGGAGTACCTGACCGTGGTGATCTTCACCGCCTCCGCCCAGCACGCCGCGGTCAACTTCGGCCAGGTAGGCAGGGCCGGGCCCGCTGGGCAGGGCTCCCTTCTCAAGGCCGCTGCCTCCTCCCCCGCCCCGGTTCTGCACGCGTACTGCACCCTCGGACAGCCTCGGGGCCTGGCACGGGACTTGCAGGATGGATTCTGCCCGCTCAGCCAAGGGCGCTGGCCGCGGGGAAAGAGGATGGACGGACTGCAGGGCCCGCTGGAGTTGGGGGGCACGGGGAGGACGGGGCCCAGGGGGCAGCTGGGCAGCAGGGCTTCGGGGGTGCCCACGCTTGCTGGCGGTCGTCTCCGCAGTACGACTGGTGCTCCTGGATCCCCAATGCGCCCCCAACCATGCGAGCCCCGCCACCGACTGCCAAGGGCGTGGTGACCATTGAGCAGATCGTGGACACGCTGCCCGACCGCGGCCGCTCCTGCTGGCATCTGGGTGCAGTGTGGGCGCTGAGCCAGTTCCAGGAAAACGAGGTGAAGCTGGGCAGGGCGGGGCACAGCCCCAGGTCACCCCAGGTTAAGCGGTTCCTCAGCCTCAGGGCTTTGTGACTCGGGCCCCAAGGCTCACTTGGAGCAAAGGAATCCTGACTTCCAAGGCTGGAAGGGCCCAGAAGGCTGCAGCCGCCACCAGGTCCCCCGGCCTCAGCCTGGACAGAGCTCAGGGTGTGCAGGGCAGGAGAGCACACAGCCCAGGCTTTGCTCACTGTCACCAGAGGGTCGTGTGTGACGCCCCCTCCCCCCAGCTATTGACAAAGTTCTTGCACATGTGTTTTACCCTGGTACTCCAGAGGGAATGACCAAGAGTTTCCTGGGTTCCTTCCGGACACGTGCATCTCATTTAACCTAACAACTGAATCCGGTGTGTCTTCGTGGATGCACCCGCTTTGGGGTAGCTCAGTACTGCATAGAATGGCCGGACCAGTCCAACCTGCTCCAGACTGCTGGGTGTCTGAGTTGTTCCCGGCCAATGTGTTGGTCCCTCACTGGACATCCTTGTTTTTGTGGCTTTGCACATGTGTTCAGTATGACCGCACACATTCCTAGCAGACAAATTCCTTGGTCAAAGAATATTGATACTGAATTGCCCTCCACAAACTAAATTCAAAATCCCATTATCAATAGCCTATGTTTCTTGGACCTTTCCAGCTCAGAAGCTTTGTGATCTTAATCCAATACAGTATTTTTTTAAAATGATATCTAGCTCTGCCCCGCAGACATCTGTGTGAGAATGCAAATAAGCACAGGACCCCAACAGGGCAGCCACCCCTTCAGGCTCCCTGGCCCGCTTTCTGCCTTCCTGGGCTGGAGAGGCCAGTGCTGGCCCCAGCGCCCCTGATGGGAGGTGAGAGTGCTGCGCAGGGGTGGCCCAAGACAGCAGGATACCATGGCTGCAAACACCAGCAGCCCCCAGCTTCATCTGCATCATCTCGTAACCACTTGGCAGCAGGCAGTTATTTTCCCACTTATCCATGAAGCCCCAGCCCTGGAGCCTTCCTTAGAGAAGCAGGTTGGAGGCGACGACACTTGCCTTCCCGAGGCCCTCTTGTCAGGCAGCAGAGGGTGAATATGGGGAGGTGAATAGATGCTCCCTCCTTCATCTCCCAAACGGTGGCTGGCCCCTTGGGATGAGACAGGCCTGTCAGTTTACACGGGTAGTGGATTGACCTATGTGTGTGTCCATGTCTGGGCCCTCAGCTGTTCCTGGGCATGTACCCAGAAGAGCATTTTATCGAGAAGCCTGTGAAGGAAGCCATGGCCCGATTCCGCAAGAACCTCGAGGCCATTGTCAGCGTGATTGCTGAGCGCAACAAGAAGAAGCAGCTGCCATATTACTACTTGTCCCCAGACCGGATTCCGAACAGTGTGGCCATCTGAGCACACTGCCAGTCTCACTGTGGGAAGGCCAGCTGCCCCAGCCAGATGGACTCCAGCCTGCCTGGCAGGCTGTCTGGCCAGGCCTCTTGGCAGTCACATCTCTTCCTCCGAGGCCAGTACCTTTCCATTTATTCTTTGATCTTCAGGGAACTGCATAGATTGATCAAAGTGTAAACACCATAGGGACCCATTCTACACAGAGCAGGACTGCACAGCGTCCTGTCCACACCCAGCTCAGCATTTCCACACCAAGCAGCAACAGCAAATCACGACCACTGATAGATGTCTATTCTTGTTGGAGACATGGGATGATTATTTTCTGTTCTATTTGTGCTTAGTCCAATTCCTTGCACATAGTAGGTACCCAATTCAATTACTATTGAATGAATTAAGAATTGGTTGCCATAAAAATAAATCAGTTCATTTAAAATGGGTCTTGTTCCATGTGTTATATTCCAATCACCCCAAACAGCTCACTGCCATCTCCCACACCAAGAGAAAAAAAAAGCCATAGTCACCGTGATTTTATCAAGGCAAAAGCCTCCCCACCCAAGTCTGGATAGAAGGTGCTTTTTCCCTCAAGCAGTGTCTACTCTCTTTGGAACACATCCCAAATGTCACCACCTCTGGGAAGGCATCCTTGGTTCCTGTCTCTACCCTGGATTTGTCAGAACCTCTGTTCTTGCCCCCTCTGTGGTCTCTCCCTTGGGACAGGAGCCCCTGGAAGGACAGAAAACCCACTTTATTTATGTCTGTGCCCCAGGGCTGGCATAAGGCACCAGCACTCAGCTGTTCTCTCCTTTTCCTCCTGGAAGGGCACCTAGCTAATGGATATTAGGCATTGTCTTGGGAGCTGGGGGCTTATTTTTTCCTGAGGCAGGGTTCTTAACATGACATAAAAAATAAAAATGGGCAGGGCGCGGTGGCTCACGCCTGTAATCCCAGCATTTTGGGAGGCCAAGGTGGGAGGATCATTTGAGGTCAGAATTCAAGACCAGCCTGGCCAACACGGTGAAACCCCATCTCTACTGAAAATACAAAAATTAGCCAGGCATGGTAGCAGGTACCTGTAATCCCAGCTACTCAGGAGGCTGAGGCAGGAAAATTGCATGAACCTGGGAGACAGAGGTTGCAGAGAGTGGATATCGCACCACTGCACTCCAGCCTGGGCAATAGAGCGAGACTCTGTCTCAAATAGTTAATAAATAAATAAATTAAATTAAATAAAAACGCATTCTCTTTCCCCAGCCCCAAGTAGCAGAGCCCGCTCTGAGCCTGGGCATGGTGACCCATTCTCCTCGTGCTCACATGCCCAACTCCCAGCCCTCCAGCCCCTGGCTTCGGAATCATGTCATCAGGGTCTCCCATGTCTCTGGAAGGTGCTTCCAGTGTGGCAGGCCATCAGCTCAGTGTCTGGGTAAAGGCTTCTACAGGGCCAGCATGGCATAGGGGGGAGGTGTGCATGCGTTCCTGAAGCCACAAGGTCTTCTGAGGAGACCTGACTATTGGGGTGGGGACTAGAGACTGAGGTCCAGCCCCTTAATGCCCCAGACTCCCTGCCATCCCTCGGAGAATTTCCCACCACACTTATGAATGATCTTCGGGACAGGTGACATAAACATACAGCTATGGTAGAGGCATTCAGCTCCATGCCACTGTGAGAATGAACATACCAACTTTTAGGCAACAAGGCCATGTGGTCAAGGAGAGAGGAGAAACGAATAGGAGTAGGCAGGGGTGGTGAAGCAGGTCTGACATTGGCAAAAGTGACAGAGAAGGATTGGGTTGGAAGGGCTTCAGATGGCAGAGAACCTCTGAAAAAGTCTCATGCCAGCTAATGAAGAGTCCTCAAAGTCACCATCACAGAAATCTTACATCTGGCAGAAATGACAGCAATAGTTTGGCATGAACCCCACAGTGGATCCAAACGTGTGGCAGCTGAGATCGTCAGTTAATTATGTTCTCTGCAGCTGGTCCTTCTGGTTCCCTGGAGCTGGGTATCTGAGTAGCACAGCTCCACTGCTACCACAGGAGAGGGAGAATCCCAAATTCTGTGCATAGACTGTCTAAACCTCTGGATGACCCCTAAGACACATGTACATAAGGCAAACTGCAAACAGCCCAATTTAGGATAAAACAGCCTGTCTTACTCTGTTTGTGCTGCTATAATAAAATACCTCAGACTGGGTCATTTATATAGAACAGAAATTGATTCCTCACAGTTCTGGAGGCTGGAAGTCTAAGAGGAGGCACTGGCAGTTTCAGTGTCTGGTAAGGGAGGGATCAGTGTCTGCTCCCAAGAGGATGCCCTCTGTGCTGTGTCCTCACCCAGCAGAAGAGCAAAAAAGGGCGAACATTCTCAAAAGCCTCTTTTATAAGGACATCAATCCATTCATGAGGGCAGAACCCTCAAGAATTAATCATTTCTCAAAAGGCCCCTCCTCCTAATGCCATCACCTTGGGGTTTAAGTTCCAACACATGATTTTTGGAAGGACACATACATTCAAATCATTGCACAACCAAAGTGATATTTGAACTTTCAAATAGTTTGCAGTTTGAGATCAACTAAGTTAATTGCTTGCTTGAATAAAAACATCACAGCCGGGCACGATGGCTCACGCCTGTAATTCCAGCACTTTGGGAAGCCAAGGTGGGCAGATCACTTGAGGTCAGGAGTTCGAAACCAGCCTGACCAACATGGTGAAACCCCATTTCTACTAAAAATACAAAAATTAGCCAGGCGGCCGGGCGTGGTGGCTCATGCCTGTAATCCCAGCTCTTTGGGAGGCCGAGGCGGGTGGATCACAAGGTCAGGAGATTGAGACCATCCTGGCCAACACAGTGAAACCCTGTCTCTACTAAAAATGCAAAAATTAGCTGTTGAGACTACTCGGGAAGCTGAGGCAGGAGAATTGCTTGAGCCGAGATCGTGCCATCGCACTCCAGCCTGGGGGACAAGAGCAAGACTTCGTCTCAAAAAAAAAAAAAGAAAAGAAATTTTCTGGATTAGGATAATGTTCTATATTTGGATAAGGGTTTAGGTTACCTAGATAGATACATTTATCAAAAGTCATCAAATGGTACACTTCAGATGTACGCATGTCACTGTATGTAAATATTACCCCAAAATCAACAAGAACCATGAGCAAATACTGACTTCTAGTGAACGACATGCATACTGAAACTTTCGTAGTGAAGTATAATTATGGCTGCAGTTGACTCTGAAATACATAAAAACCTAAGTTGATGGGTGAATACAGTGATTAATAGATAGAAATCTGTGGTAAAGCATACGGAGAAAAATGTTAATTGTAGATTCTAGGGTTTATATATATTCTCACTATATAATTAAACGTTTTTATGTTTAAAAATTTTTATAATGTTGAAAAACCATGAAATCCTACCTAACGCAGTAAGACAAGAAAAAGAGATAAAAGGTATATGTACTGGGAAGTAAGAAATAAAACCGTCTTTGTTAGCAGATGACATGCTCATCTATGTAGAAAATCCAAAAGAATGGATAAAGAAACTCCTGGAACTAATAAGTGGTTACAGTAAGGTTGTAGGATACAAGGTTAATATACAAAAGTCAATCACTCTCTTATTCACCAGTAATGAACAAGTGGAAATTGAAATTCAAAACAAAATACTATTTACATTAATACTCCAAAAATACATACTTAGGTTTAAATCTAATAAAATACATACAAGATCTTTATGAGGAAAACTGCAACCCTGATGACAGAAATCAAAGAGAAACTAAAGAAATAGACATAAGTAAATATTCCCCAGAAAGACTCAATATTGTCAAGATGTCAGTTCTTCAAAACTTGACCTATAGATTCAATGCAATCCTAATCAAAATCTCAGCAAGTTATGTTGTGGATACTGACAAACTTATTCTTTTTTTTTTTTTTTTTTTTTTTGAGACGGAGTTTCGCTCTGTTGCCCAGGCTGGAGTGCAGTGGCGCGATCTCGACTCACTGCAAGCTCCGCCTCCCGGGTTCACGCCATTCTCCTGCCTCAGCCTCCCATGTAGCTGGGACTACAGGCACGCGCCACCATGCCCGGCTAATTTTTGTATTTTTAGTAGAGACGGGGTTTCACCGTGTTAGCCAGGATGGTCTCGATCTCCTGACCTCGTGATCCACCCGTCTCGGCCTCCCAAAGTGCTGGGATTACAGGCGTGAGCCACCGCGCCCGGCCAACTTATTCTAAAATTTAGATAGGGAAGCAAAAGACCCAGAACAGCTAACACAACAATATAGTAGGAAAACAACAAATTTGGAAAATGGATACTACCCAACTCCAAGACTTACTATAAAGCTACAGTAATCAAGATAGTGCCGTATTGGTGAAAGAATAGACAAATAGATCAATGGAACAGAATAGAGAGCCTAAGAAATAGACCTTCATAAATACAGTCAACTCATCCTTGACAAAGTAGCATAGACACTACAATGGAGCAAAGATTGTCTTTTCAACAAGTGGTGCAGGAACAACTGGATATCCACATGCAAAAACAAACAAACAAGCATGAATCTAGATACAGACCTTATGCTCTTCACAAAAATTAACTCAAAATGGATTATAGATCTAAATGTAAAATTCAAAACTATAAAATTCCCATAACATAGGATAAAATCTAGATGACCTAGGTATGGCTATGACTTTTTAGACATAACACCAAAGCCATGGTCCATGAAAGAAATAATTGGTAAGTTGGACTTAATTAAAATTAAAACCTTCCGCTCTGCAAAAGACCACACTAGGAGAGGGAGGAAATATTTACAAAGACACATCTGATAAAGAATTGTTACTTAAATTATACAAAGCCTTCTTAAACTTAACAGTAAGGAAACAATCTGATTGAAAAATGGGCCAAAGACTTTAACAAACAAAAGAAGATATACAAATGGCAAGTAAGTATGTGAAAAGAAGCTGCACAGCTGGGGGGCGTGGTGGCTCACGCCTTTAATCCCAGCACTTTGGGAGGTCAAGGCGGGCAGATCACCTGAGGTCAAGAGACCAGCCTGTCCAACATGGAAAAACCTGTCTCTACTAAAAATATAAAATTAGCTAGGCATGGTGATGCATGCCTGTCATCCCAGCTACTTGGGAAGCTGAGGCAGGAGAATCGCTTGAACCCGGAAGGTGGAGGTTGCAGTGAGCCAAGATCGCGCCATTGCACTCCAGCCTGGGCAACAAGAGTAAAACTCTGTCTCAAGAAAAAAAAAAAAAAGCTGCACATTCTATGTTATCAGGGAAATGCAAATTTAGAATAACGCAATAACAAGATACCACTACATACATATTAGAATGGCCAAAATTGAGAACACTGACAGCACCAAATGTGGAGGAGGATGTGGAGCAACAGGAACTAGAGAGAATGCAAAATGGTATAGCCACTTAGGAAGACAGCTTGGCAGTTTCTTACAAAACTAAATATACTCTTACCACACAATCCAGCAATCACACTCCTTGGTATTTACTTACATCCCAACAAAAACCCTCATATGGATGTCTAGAGCAGCTTTGTTCATAATTGTCAAAACTTGGAAGCAACCAAAGATGCCCTTCGGTAGGTGAGTAAATAAATAATATCCAGACAATGGAAATACCATTCAGTACTAAAGAGAAATGAGCTATCAAGCCATGAAAAGGCGTGGAAGAAACTGAAGTGTGTATCACTAAAAGTCAATCTGAAAAGGGTGCATAAGTTTCCAAAGATATGATATTGCAGAAAAGGCAAAACTGTGGAGACAGTAAAAAGATTGCCAGGGGCTAGGGCAGTGGGAGGGATGAATAGGCAGGGCACAGAGGATTTTCAGGGCAATAACACTACTCTGTATGACACTATAATGTTGGATACATGGCCAGATCCACAGAATGTAGAACACCAAGAGTGAACCTTGAACTATGGACTTTGAGTGATGAGGATGAGTCAGTGTAGGCTCATGGATTGTAATAAATGCACCACTGTGGGGGGGGGGGGATATTGATAACTGGGGGGCTGTACATGTGTAGGGACAGGAGTAAATGGGAAATCTCTACTTTTGTTACCGGTGGAGGGTGTACCGCATTTTGAACAAAAAATTGGACAAAACGCACAAAGCAAGGAAAGAATGAAGCAACAAAAGCAGAGATTTATTGAAAACGAAAGTACACTCCACAGGGTGGGAGCAGGCCTAAGCAGGTGGCTCAAGGGCCTGAATACAGATTTTTCTGGGGTTTAAATACCCTCTAGAGGTTTCCATTGGTTACTTGGTGTATACCCTACGCAAATGAAGAGGATGAAGGGAGGTTACAAAGTTATTTACTTGGTGTAGAAAATTAGGGTTTTTCCCTTTTATTTAGTTGTAGGAAGCCCTTAGGTTACCTGCCTCCAGACCCTATTCTCCTGCCTCATTTTATTCCTAATTTTGTTGTGAACCTAAAATTGCTCTAAAAAATGAAATCTTTTAAACAAGAAAATAAACTTATAAATTGCAAATATGTGTCACTTACATAAAAACAAAGAATTAGTGTCCCTACATCAGGAAAAAAACACCTATAATTCAATGTAAAAATGCAAAAAAGCCAAGAGAAATGGCCAAGCCATGGAAATTCACAGAAGTAGAAATAGGCAGTAAATAAACAATGCTCAATTTCATTTATCTGAGAAATGGAGAGTAAAACTTCAGTGACATACAAAGGAGTAACAATCATTTTAGGAACAATTTTAAAAATAACACTTGTGATGTGGCTCAGGAAAGATTCATATTCTCACTGTAGGAAGGTAAGTGAATCATTTTAGAGGTCAGTTTTGCAACTTAGAAGATCAAATGCATCTACCCTTTTTCTACTTCTAGAAATGTATCTTCAGAAGTGCCCCTCCCTCCCTCACACACCCCCAAGTGTACAAAAATAAATGACATGGATGTGGACTGCAGCCTTGTTTCTAATACCAAAAATCAGTAAACAACCTAAAAATCTGTATCCATGAGGATTTAAAGAAATCCTGCATGAGTTAGAAAGAATAAGGTAGATGCCTGGGTTCTAACATAGAAAATATCAAACTGGTTGTTAGATGAAAAAAGCAAGTTGCAAAGTGAGGTAATGTGTAAATGCAGTAAGCAAAATACATCATATATATAGTACTTTCTATGTATTTACCTATATGAGCGTGATGCCTCCAACTGCATAGCTGTGGCTCCGGGAGCAGGACCTTGTAACAGAGCCTCTGCCCCTGACTGTCCTGAGGGGCCTTTCCCTGGGAAAGGAACCAGGTTTGATTTTCAGTCTCTTTTGTTATCACCATGCTGACAGCTTTGCTTGTCATATGCCTTTCCCTCCGCTGTACTGATTTTACCTTACAGAAGCTCTCCTTAGTGCTTCATCAGACACTCCCTCTTTTCCAAAGAAAAGACAGCCGCATTCCATGGTCATCTGGTTGAGCTCGAGGTGAGCCCCAGGGATCATGTGCCTCCCACCAGGCTGACACCCCAGTGGTGAGGAGTTGCCCCTTGGCTTTTTCGAGGCCAAGCAACTCAGAGGTGTGGCAGGATTGCATGTCACAGTGGCACTTCCAAGGCCCTGGAGAGTGACTCAACGCCTCTGTTATTAAGATGTCACACAGGCTGTGCAGCAACAACTCTAGGGACACCCTTCACACTGACAGAGTTGGCAAGCTTTTCCTATAAAGGGGCACACAGTGAATACTGTAGGCTTTGTAGGCCATACTATCTGTCCCAACAATTCAACTTTGCCCACTGTAGCTGTGAATCAACCGTAGATAATATTAAGTGAATGTGCACTGCTGTTTGCTAATAGTTTATTGACAAAAACAGCTGCTTTTGAGCAGTTTGCTACCCCGACAGAGACTGTGGGGAGTCCCTGGTGGCAGCGAGCTACAGGCAGCCAGTACCCCATCAGTGTGGCTGGTTCCATCCTCTCAAGCCTGCCTGCACCCAGACACTGTCGAGTGTGTCTTCAGAAAAACTCCTAAAATTCCCCAAAAGCACAGTGGCTCCCCGAGAGCCACCTCCCTCACCTTCTTACAGGGGCAGGTTCCTCTTCCGGTTCCACCCTCCTCAGCACGGAGCTCAGGGGCCATCCCCACCTCCTCTTGGCCGCAAGCACAGACCTTCCCACACAGGCTCAGCAGCTCTGCGGGCCTGTCCCCCACCTGGAGCTGCAGGCCTCCACTCCTGGGGACAGCTGTGACCATGGCTCTGCAAAGCAGCCTTGTGCCTAGCTCCCAAGTCAGCTGGCAGCCCAGAGTGGAACAATTCTGTGGATCACCTCTGAGACAGCAGCACATCTGGGCAAGCCTGGCTTCCCACCCCTCACCTCCTGCAACCTCTGACCCTTGCCATGCATGTGGTAGGGAAGCTGCAACCAGGCCTCAGCACTCCCAGACCTGTGGGCGGTTTGCTGTCTGAGGATCGTGGCACTGCCTTCCCTCAGAGGCCTTGCCAGAGCCAGGGGATGCAGCGTGGCAGAGCTGTCACTGGCAACCCTGCTGGTCTCCCTGGTGCTTTCTCAGCTGGGCTGTGGGTCAGGACAAATTTCTATGGATAAGGCTGGATCATAATCTAGTGCTCCATGGTCATGCAGCGACAGACTCGAGTCTGCCTTCTCTCAGGGTGGTGAGCTCAGGTAGGAACGGGATGTTTGAAGCAAGCACACCTGTGAGAAATGCCTGTTTTCACTCCCATCCCACACACTCGTCCAGACACTGCCAGCCCACCCCCGACACACGTGTCTGAGGGAGGCTGAGGAAAACAGACACCTCCAGGAGCCGCATACTATTTCCTGATGTGTAAGCCAGACAACCCTGGAAAGGAGGTCAGGGAACCGGAGTGCCTGCCAACGTCCCCAGCCTCCCTGCAGCAAAACACTCTCATGGCAAAACTCCTTTTTAAAGAAAGGCTTTATTGCTGCAATTAGACATCCCAGTGTATAGCACAAACCCCCCTGTACAGAGAATTATTCAAGTGGTAATACTGAGAAACAGTGAACACACACAAAAGAATACAAAACTAGACATTTAGATCACTAGAAACTTTCTAAGGTAAGAAAAATTTCAAATGTGAAGTGCCTTTTAGAAACTACACCACACATGCCAGTGTAAATTTGGTTTAACAATCAATTTCTATAAACATTGCATCTAACTGTGCACTGATCAACTGCACAACTTCAACAATTACTTCCAAGACAAAGATAAATGCTTTTATTTCCCTATGTTTTGGTCTTTCCTTGGGCTAGAGACAGAAGCTGCATGTTTCAAACCAGATTCAAAAGGGAAAGCACTTCAAAACAGAAAGTACTTCAATTGTGTATTTGCCTTCAGCCACATCCAGAGACTTGTGGATCTCACCCGGTTGGTCCCAGCCCTTCTCCAACCCTGAAGCCCACAGCAGGGGTGCAGAGGCAGCCCCAGATCGTGCAGACATCACCCGAGGCTCCCAAACTGGCCCAGCTGCCTGAGGCCTGCATGCCTGTGGCCAGGTAGGACACATGTGCAGGTTTGAAAACTAGGCCTACAAGACTGAAGAGTGGACTGAAGCAAAAAGGGGAGAAACATTAGAGGCCTACAGTAGGAAGAGACCTTTTATAGAGTTTTCAGGAAATTCTCACAATAAACTTGGGCACAAAGACCAAATTGCTGAGGCCAGAAGCCTGCTTATGGTACTGTGACTTATGGGGAGTAGAGGCCAAATCAGAGAGGGCTGGCTGGTGATACCCCAGACCACTTGCCTCTTCCCCTTCCCTGGCCTACAAATACCAGGCCTCCTGGCCCTGAGACCTCATTCTGGGTTTCTATATGGGTCAACCAAATGCCATCCTTTCACTAAACCCAGGTGCAAAATGGGGGGGGAAGGGGGGAAGCTGGGGAGTACACAGCACCCAAAAGAACCGAGAGAGCAAGTTTTCCAAGGCTACAGGAACATTGGCAGAGCTGGTGGCCACACCAGATGGGAGTACCACATCCCCACCAGGCTTCATGCTTCACTGCTAGATGCAGGGGGCTAGAAGGGTCTGATGAATCAGGAGCTGAACTAGAACCTTCAAGAAAAGAAAAGGCAAGGGGGTGGCTCTGTGCCCCGCCAGGAGAGGAAAGAAGAATGTGTGTGGATTGTCCACAGTGAGGCCAGAAACGATGAGATGGTGTTAGGCAGAAAAGAAGGGAGAGGGCTTCCCATGAGAATCTGGCTGGGCATGGGAGGGATACAGGGCTCAGTTATCAAGGCACCTTTGCCATAGTGGGGTGCCAGCTACATTGGGTGGGATGCCCAGGGGCTGTCCCTACCTAAGCACTTTCTTGTCTACAGGAAGTCTTGGTGCTTTTCAAGTTCAGCATAAGGGGTTCCATATGTGAAGTGGGGATTCACACTTAGAAAATCTATCCTGGTCTTCACCTGAAACACTCATCTACTGCTGGGTGGCAGGAACAAGTATACAAAACCAGGGGCCTTGCCTGGGCAGTTCCTAAGGGACATTGGCAGGGCTGACCTGGGATTCAGCTCCCCTGAGTGGACAGTCTGTGGTTGCCTGGGGTCCCCAGGCTGAGAAGGGGTATGGGTAATTGCACTTCGGGGCACAGTGAACACAGGCACGGGCTGGATGTGCCCTGGGAGACAGAAAGGAGAGGCTGACCTATTCTCAGGAGCTGGCTATGGCTGGACAGTGCCTGCCCGGCCAGAGGAAGGCCACAGCAGAGCCACTCCACAGACTAAGACCTGTGTTGCCAAGGAATCAGACACTGGCTTGGAGGAGACAGGAGGACAAAGCCTGCTGCTATTAAGCCCACACCGTAGCTTAGAGATCCTTCAGCCTCCTGGCCTTCAAAACAAACTCCAGGGCTTCCACTCTGAAAGGCAAAGGAATCACCTCGTGTTTGCTTCATCCCCTTAGCAGGATGAACGAAACGCCTAAGGCCCAAAAAGACTGAGGGCAGGACCCCCAGCATCTCCCATCTCCTCCGTGCAGGCTGGGTGAGAGAATGGCCTGGAAAGGAAGCATCTGCGCTACATTGTGCTTCAGGCCCCCCCAGCAACTTTCCCGGAGGTAACTATTTGCCTGGAAAACTAGGAAACTGGGTTTTAAAAACAGAATTTTAAGCAGACTTTTTAGAGGGACAAGGCCATTTGATGGTAGTGATTTTGGTTTTGTTTTATGAAAATGGTACAGGTGGTAATCCCTGATGACAGAATGCACTGAGAGTGGGGCCAAGGGCCCTGAAGGATCCTGTCTGTTCAGTCTGGTTAAGGCGACAGCTGGGCGGGCATGTGGCCGGGGAGCAGTGGCACAGCGGACCCTGGCAGTTTGCTCACACCTGGCCCTCGTCCCAGAGCCAGCCCACCTGCCTCTTGGCCCTGGTAGTGACTCCACAGAACTTCCCCGAGCAGAAGCCTCACAGTGGGCCAGCACCCATCTTGCATGCAAGGGAGAACCTGCATGCAGTGCACACACCCCGGCCAGGGTGGCACATGGCTGCTCTTTCAATGTGAAGCCAACACCAACTGGAGAGATTTAACTATAAAGGAATATTTTTTAAATATTCAGTTTTGTTGTCATTACTCACTTCCTTTCCTTCCATTTCGATCTCAGAAACTGTTCTTTTTCAGTGTTGACAAAAAAGAAATGTATGGGCCAGGTCTACAAAGTAACACCTTGTCATAAAACAGGCTCAAAAGCATAGGAATCATGCTTTAATTGCCATTTAGCATCCACTAATTCCCATGAGATCTGTGATTAAAAAAAAAGCCTCTGGCCTGCTTGTCCTGTCTTAAAAGTCATGAGTCTGTTTTATGAACAGAAAGAATGCCACGCTTCTTAGCATATGTAAGGCAAAATGGATTTTTGATCTCTCATGATGTAAAGGAGATACAAAGGTAAGGAAGGGAAGATTTCTAAGTGAGACTTTTTTTGAGTGTCAATCCCGCTGGACACACATATTACAAAATAAAGATTTTCTTCTGTAAAGTGCTGTTTGCTCAGTGAATCATGCGCCACCACAGAGCACCATGGCTCCACCTGCTCAAGAGCATGGAGGAGGCAGCATCGGCAGAGGGCAGGCAGGAGTCTGTGTTTGGGGGTCTGTTTCAATACCATCTCCTGGGGTTCGCCGTGATGCAGAGGGAATCTTCTCGTCATGGCTAGACACTCCCCAATGCTCTGCTCCAGGCTGGGGACCACTGCAAGCTGGAGGCGGCTGGGTATCAGGGCCTGGGCACCCCTGCTCCTCCTCTTCCCTTGGGATTGGCATTTTATTCTCTCATTCAGCTCAAGACCATGGGCAGGAACTCTGCTGGCTCCCCATGATGTCATCATGGGGTCTTCCACTTTCCCACAGAGCTGCCAGGCAGAGGCAGGACCCAGGCATGCCTGGCCCACAGGAAGGTTTTCTAGGAGACTAAGGAGGGTTTAGAAAAAGAGAAGCCACTATAAATAGTCACCTGTCCAGTCTATGCTATTAAAGGACATAAGAAAGGTATACAATTGGCAGTAAACAATTTCCTTCAGCTCTTCATGGATGTCCAGGAAAATGACAACCCGCACACAATCAGACGTGAATGATTTCTGCTCCAGTGTCTTCAGGCTCTGTGCAACAAGAAGAGTTTGTGTCGGAATGACAGATTCCATATCCATGTTTATTTTCAAAGTTGGGCTCTGTTAGTGGAGATTTTTCAAAAATATTCTTTTTGCTTGTTTCTGGACAGTTTTGAACATAGATCACTCTATTATAGGCCTTGAGTCTCTTCCACAATTGCACATACACTTTACACTGAACATACATAAAAAGAAGTCCTCCGGTGAAGCCGATGGCCACAACCACCAATTTAGTCCAAAAGGGCCATTCTAGGATTCCTGGAAGGGAAAAACTCAGCCTATTAGATTTTATTTAAGATATGAAGTAAAGAAAAACACAACTTCTGAACTTCCCATAATCAACTGATTCTTTGTTGTTGTTGTTGTTTTTTAAGAGATGGAGTCTTGCTATGTTGCCCAGGCTGGAGTGCAGTGGCTATTCACAGGTGTGATCATGGCACACTACAGCCTTGAACTCCTGAGCCTCAGCAATCCTCCATCCCTCAGCCTCAAGTATCTGGGGACCACAAGCCTGCACCACTGACCAATGGATTCACAACTCATCCAATGTTGCTCAGTCAAAGAAGAGTGGAAGACAGTGTCCAGCTACTTCCTGCTTTTATAGGATGTAGTTTGCGGAGATTCTCATGCTCCAGAATATGAACTCTCCTGACTGGGTTTCAAAAACTACCACCACAGCAAAAGAAATGCCAAAAAGGAGGCTAGTGCCTCCTAACTGATGTCCCTCCTCCGGAAACCCAGACGTTTTTGGCTAACTGGAAAATCCTCTGACCCCAGGACTCCTGTGAGCTATCCCGGCCCCCATGCTGAGCTTGCTCCAGCCTGAGAACTCACCTGTTGCCTGCCCCTGCTTGATCTCCTCAGCAGTACGGTCAATGAGCACATACAAGGACCAGACCACACATGTGATGGCAATGACGTGGAATGTCACTGAGCACATGATCTTCCTGCGCTCGCTGGACGTCATCTGCAACTTCTCCCACTAGAAAGACAACACAGAGTGTGAGGCTCAGGCTTCTGGGGAAGGGCTCCGGTGGGGTGAGAGCATTGTAGGTAGGTAAGATTGGCTTTCCACCCCACTTCTCCCTTCCCAAACTAGATGCATTCCCCCAAGTATTGTTCTCCTAAAACCACTTGGCTTCAACCAGGTACCAGGTGCAGCCAACTTTCTATGCAATGAAAAGAAGCCAGGATCAAGATGAATGCAGAACTACCATCAAAAATCCCCTTGTCTGCTTATTCTTGCAAGCAGACATAAGATGGCCTGATAAAGAATTCTATGATTTCAGTCCTAATGAAAACAGTATGTTGGCCCAGGACCCAGGTACTACGTTTTAAGTCTCCCTGATGTGCTGACTGGCATGGACGAGCGGAAGAAGAGGGTTGATGATGCCACAACACACTAGCAGATGGGTCACACTACATTGTGAAGGTGAATGGCAGAAGACGCTCACTCTTTGGTCCTTGCTACTTTGGCAGCAACAGCTCGAAATCGACGCTAAGAGTTCCTGGTACAAGCAGACTCTGCTAGTCCCATCTCCTCTAGGAGCTCATTAATTTACTCCAAATAGCCAGACTTTCTTTTTCATTTACTGGTTTCCGAATCAGGAGAAAACACATAAAGGTAGAGAGAAAGAACAATGTGTAAACACTCTGCACATATCCTTTGCCAACCCTAGTCACAGCCTCTTTCCAGATGAGTCTATGCAGGGTAGTTGAAAATAGAGCCTCAAGGACTTCCCATGTTGAGAGATTAGCATAGAGTAGGCACCCAATAAATTACAAGGTTTCTACTGGGCAAAACATTTTTTTAAGCAGTTTGCACAAGCCTTCTCTAAATCTGGTTGTTTTCTGCTGGGATTTTATACACTAGCAAGTTCCCTGGTCTTCCTACCTATAATACAGAGTCAGTGCCTCAGTGCCCCATGCTCCCTGCTACTTCCTACAACGCACGTAGCTTGACACCCTGTCAATGTTCACCTTCACCTTTCTAGGGTATGCTTTACTCCACAGACAGCCTGACCTCTCTAAACTCCTTGCACTCTGCCTCCAAATCCTAGTGATCCTTCAAGAACTGCTCTAAAACCCAAACACCCTATGAGGCTACCATCGCTCCACTTCCCCAGCACTCTAGCTCATAATGAGCATTTCCTTTTCTGAATGACTGTTATGCTCTACCAGCACACCATTTAGCATTTAATTGGCTAGTATTTGATTATGTGACTTATCTTGCAATTTATATATTAATGTTCTGAGATAGGAACAGTTTTTTATTCTTCCAGACAAAACCTTTTGTGCTGGGCATCTAGAGAGATATATGAAACAGTCAAAATTTAAACAGGAAGCCAGTGTGGCGGACAAAGCTCCTCTCAGAGGGAGCAGTGACATGGGCCTCCAGACAGCTGCGTGTCATGCAATGCCTGTGGGTCCTTTCTGAAGACAGTTGCACATCACGCAACGTTTGTGCTTCCTTTCTTTTCCCTATCCACCTACTCACACTCCCATCCAGCAAATAGTTATCATGGGTGTATACAAATAAATTTACTGTATGCTACACTGTGCTGGGTGCTGGGGAGATACTAATCTCCAACAGACAGTCCTAATCAGAGAAGCAGGACGTCAACAGTTAATATGTATAAAATTAGGTGCTAAGATATGTCACAAACAGTCTGTAGTCAAAGGCCAGAGGACTGACACCGACAAGCAAGCAGTCTTACTTTGAAGGGAAAAGAAGGATTATGAATGGTCAGAAAGAGCTTCTTCCTGAGAAGAGGGACTTGAAAATCAGCACCAGAAACAACAATCTCTACAATGCAAATGTAAGCACCAGCCCCAGCTTTTTAAGGAAATGAACGCAGGCAAGCCATGACCTCATGATCTGAGACACCAGCTTTCTGGGGGTCACTGGTTTCAGGAAGGGTGAAGCATCCCTTCCTCCCACGTACTTTTCTCAGTGGCTTCAGCTTGGTCTCCATGATGAACTCATACTTGCAGAGCTCGCAGCAGCGCGTGTCGGAGCTCTTGATCCACTGCTGCAGGCAGGCCTGGTGCACGAAGTGGAGGCTTCCTGTGCAGTGGCAGGGGGTGATCAGGGGGCTCTCATCATCTCCTTCACAGTGGCAGATCCTATGGTGGAAGGAAAACCTGTCATTCCAAGGACAGTCCCATGACAGGGAAGCTGACACTTCAGTGGCAGGTTAATCCCCCCAAAGGAAACTCAGAAACGAACATTACAGAAGTGACTATGGGCACAAAAACATACAAACACAAACGAAAACAATCACTACAAACTAAAAATGTCTAGCTTACCGCACCAACATGGAAAGTCTGGAGGGCATTTGGCAACAGAAAGGAAAAAACGATGTAAGAAATGACAAAGCTGTCATTTTTTGGTAAGAAATAAGAACTTCACTGAAAGATGAATTTAAAGCAACATGGAATCATTTTCCAGAACATAAGATGGTAAAATAATTAGAGGGAAAATTTCTATGTAAAACAAAACCTGCATTCCAACATCCAAAAATACCAGTGACCTTAAATGACGTTTGCTTTTTAGCTATAATCACTGACTTTACCTTCATACCCCACAACTACACATTTCTGTCGTCTCTCAGCAAGTAAACAAAGATGACAGTACCTCTCTCCTAGACCTAAAAAACTCACCATTACAAGATGCTGCAATTTCATCTCTTTTTCTTGGGACCACTAATAGCAATAAGTGAGAAATTAATTTGAAAGCACTCTCTATTTCCAAGGAAGTATGCAACAAGGTGTAGCTACTAGCCTGAAGGAACTTAACAGGCTTTTAAGAAACAGAGGGGTCTTTTCCAGCAGCTAGAGAACAGGTTGGGGCACTCGTCCTGGAAGGAGCCAGGCTCTCAGGCTGTTTTAGTGAGGGGATCTCTGATCCAAATGTTAGAAATGATGACAGCTGGCACTAAGGAGCGGAGACTGGAGAAAGGTCAGAATGAGGAGGGCACAAGAGTCATGACAAAAAGTGAATTATGGAGGCCAGACAAGGATGCTGCACAAGGGAAGATAAAGGGGGGAAACAGAGTTAGGATGGGACATAGGTGGCTACACCTCAGTTAAAAAGAAGGAAGGAAGGAGCTACTGGAGAACAGCCAGTCCCCACACACCTTTTGGGGGTAGGTAGGGAGCAAGGGTTAAAAAAGAGGCTGGGAGATGCAACAATGCTTAAAATCTGGACCATCAGGCTGGAAAACTGAAGATACTAGTTTCTTTCTTCCAGTTTCTTTATGCAAAGTCTACTTATTTTTAGTTTAGAAGAGTCAGCTTGGCCTTTAATATGTGTAGCTTCTTCCTCTTTTTTTTTTTGTTTTGTTTTGTTTTTTTTTAGACAGAGTTTCACTCTTGTTGCCCAGGCTGGAGTGCAATGGCGCAATCTTGGCTCACTGCAACCTCCGCCTCCCGGGTTCAAGCAATTCTCCTGCCTCAGCCTCCTGAGTAGCTGGGATTACAGGCGCCCGCCACCACGCCCGGCTAATTTTTGTATTTTTAGTAGAGACGGGGTTTCGCCACGTTGGCCAAGCTGGTCTCAAACTCCTGACCTCAGGTGATCCACCCGCCTCAGCCTCCCAAAGTGCTGGGATTACAGGCGTGAGCCACTGCGCCCAGCCAGCTTCTTCCTCTTTTATCATTTGTAAAACTATCTTGGGACTCACATCATAAAAATTAAGTTTTTCAAACGATATTGATACTCCATTCTTCTGGAGAAAACCATCAACCCACAACTGGTTACAACTTCCTATTACTTCATTTTCCTGAAACTTCACATACTAAAGCAAGAGGAGGTTCCTGATGCGAGCAGAGATGGCTAGAATGGCACTTCCTGGCAAACCAACCTGCAGACATCCCCTGACGTGGACACGGGAGATATGGGGGGTAATTTTTCAGAGAAGGGAGAAGGACAATCCAGGTCGCTGTCCTTTTCCGTGGAGCAGAGGGGCGCCCGCAGAACCCTACTCTTCAGTTTTGCAGATGTGCTGTCCTCAAAGACATCGTCGTCTCCCATCTCGTCAGAGCAGAAGCCCATACTCCCTGCCAGCCCGCTGGAGGACTTGGCAGTGTGCAGGCGAGCAGCGCAGCTCTCCAGCTCATGGAACCTGTGCAGGCTGCTGGCGCTCAAGCCGTGCGAGAGTGAGAACAGGTACTGGAGCAGTTGCCGGCTTCGGGACGTGGCCTCACCATCCGCCTTCTCTTCCAGCAGCAGGCCGGGCCTGCCCCCCTTGCCAGCTTCCACCTCTGAGGCAGTTGAGCGACCGGCAGAAAGGCATGAAACACAAGAATGTTTGGAATTGCCAAGAGGTTTGTGGTTCAGGGTTCTTTTTTCTTTATGATGAAACCTGTTAGTTCTGAGACACGTATCTTGAGGGAGTATTAATTTCCCTTCAGAACAAGTTCTTTCCACATAGGCAAAACTTTCTGAAGTATCCTGCGCCTTCTCACCCACATCATTGAGGGACCTTGAGAACTTTAGTGTTCTTCTGGCTTTGGTATTCTTAGCAGGCTTCAAGGCCTGGGCCCATTCTGAACCAAAGGAATTTCTCTTTGACGCCTGTAATGTGTCCTTACAGATAACTGTCACAGTGAGCCCTTGTGTCAGAGAACTCTGGCAGTGAGGAGCTTTCGAGACAACAGCAGACTGCACGGAACTGTGGTGACAACACTCAGAAAACACTGCACTGGAACTGCATGCAGAACAGTGGGATAAAAGCACAGAAAGTAAAAACAATTTTAAAAGAGAATAGACATCATAGTGAAGAAATGAGACTAGCATGGGTAACTTGGTGAGCAAACCACACATAAAACTCGCCAACTGTTTAGACCAAAGGCAGATTGATTAAGCAAATGGAAATTCAAGAACCTACAGACACTAATGCTTATTTCTGGCTGCACACTGATCATGGCAGCATCTGAAGCAGAGTGTTACCTGCAGATGTCCTGGCTGGATGGCGTGATAGAAGTGCGAGAGAAGGAGGACACCGGAGCCGGAGCTGATGCTGACGGAGGACTCCCAGCCTGCAATGACAGACCTGTGGTCAGTGTTCAGGTAAGAGCCAAGGGGATTGTGTGCACTGTCTCCTGAATGGTGACAGGGAGAAACCCTAGAAATGTCTGCTGCTTCCCGCTGCTCAACGAGTAACACATATTAGATCCTTCTAAGCCTTGGCAAAACAAATCAAATATCACTATTTTTTTCTTATCTGTGGATAAAAGTGTAAGAAATGTCTAAGGCTATGGAACACCACTACTAATCTCTTGCAGGTCCAGTGGCCGTTTATTTTCTAAGCATCTAAATTGAGTTAGTTCATATATAAGTCAAAAAACGAAGTACTAGAAGGTATCATACAAATGCCAAAGAAATATGAGGCTCCAGGCCTGCTGGCACTGGCTTCCCTAGCACTCTCTCCTAGTTCCCAAGATCAACAAGGCTGGTAGATTTAAGAGCTCTCTCCCACCTCACAACCTCATACATAGTGCCAGATGCTCCCTGAGTTCCACAAAACCTCACTGCCCTGCCACAGCTCTTCACACAAAAGGGAGTCCAGACCACGTCACCATGGGGGACACCAATCCATAGCTCAACCAGGGGCTGAGGTAGAGCACAGAATGCTCCCAACAGATCTAATCTTGAAACTGTAAATTAAGAAAAATAATCAAGAAAATTTAGATTTGAAAGAAAGTACAGCAAGAGGTCATGGGATAGAACAGAGTCTCTGGGGTGGTGAATAGTCAAACTTAGAGAAAAAAATCTAGGAAGGAGAGGAAGCACTGCAGTGAGGAGAGAAATGGACAGAGAGAAATAGGGACAGTGAGTGGCACTGAGCTGAGGATGCACCACCACCGCTAGAGGGCCCCAGACTCCCACGCCAGCCTCGGATTCCCCAGGCTCCACAGCCCCACAGACCTATGCGTATTCATAAAAAAGCATTCTTCCCTCCTTAAGACAGTAAGCCTGAGTAAGAATCTGCTCCATGCAACCCCAACAGCCCCAGGAAAACAGTGCCACGAGTCTGTTATCACCAGAAAGGCCATATCACCACCCACCTTCTGCAGGCCCACCTGCATGGCCCTTGGCCCTAACTCCTTGATACAAAGGAGCTCCACCCTGGCCCACCATTCCCTGGCTGAGGCCTAGTCCCCACTCTTTCTAAGTACCATCCCCAAGGGTGCACTCTCATCCTGGAACTCCACCTTTGGGACCCCCGACCCTTGGTCAACCACCAGAACAGATAAGGCCATTGCCTGGAAACTCCTCCTCCCCCTACCCCTCACAGCAAATGAAGCAGCCTGGAGAGAGCCAGGATGGCACTCGGATTAAGGCACCCATCGCATGGCTGCTCCCACTCCCAGTGCAGAGATTCAACAGCACTTTAATGCAAGTCCACCTGAAGAAACAAGATCCAAGAAGCTCTCATCAGCATGCTTCATGTGTACACTGAGATCACGCTGTGCCACTCCATGAGCACATCTTCGAATTCACCAAAGAATCTACATTTATTTTCTAACTGAATGTGCATATGGGCATGAGGTACACGGTCTTTAAAAGCATTAGAGGTCAAAGTTCTTAGGAATCTTAAGTTTACTTGGACACATGAAAATAGCATCCTTGAAATAACCCTCCCATCACTACCTTTGTCAATATTCTTCCTGAAACAAAATGAAAGACATCTAGGGATGCCTGTGGACACTATGCTGTGACATCCCTTGCATCTTCTAGGCCTGACTGCATAAGCCATTGTCCTTTTTCTCCAACTGCCTTAGACACTGTCCCCTCTCCAGCATCCTCCTCTCGGGGCACCCATCACTGGCTCCACCTGCCCCAGAGACAAGCACTCAAGGCCTTTTAGTACAATGGGCTTTACTGTTTATACCACAGGGGAGCAGATTGAGAGGGTATCCATGCTAAGGTCCCCAAACTCCTACAGTCCCCCTGTTCTCTGACATTTAGTCCTAACACTATTCTGGGACTGAAAGCCTTCCTGTACTTATTGCTCTCTTCTTTTATTTCTGAGGATGACCAGCTCTGTTCAACACACATAGGCAAGGCTAAAATGTGTCATGAAGACCAAAGCCTGATCACGGTGTATTGCAGAGAAGTAAGCGTCTTCATCACCTGTCCCCAGGTAGACTTTGAGGAAGAAATACCCAGCAATATCCACATGCTTGCCCCTCATTGCTATGAGGTCACTTCTTCCTCTGTGTTGCTGGGTCAAGCATACTCCCTGGAACTGATGAGGCATTGAAGGAAGCCCCCTTCCTTCAAGGGATGGCAGCAGAGGAAAGTACCTAGTCACCCTCCTCCCTTTTATCTTAGTAAGAGCATGGTCCTCTTGGAACCACGTGTACTTTCCTGTATTCTGAAGGGAAGGCAAACCCTGTTGGGAGGAGGTAAGGTCTTATCTGGAAAATCGTGCCCAATCAAGGTCAGTGTCCTGGGTCCGGGAGGCAGGTTTCTGATGGGAAATTAAAGTTCTGAACTCCAGTACTAAACTACAAGTAATCCAAGTCAAAAAGTGTACTCTGGGGTAACGATTCCATCCTTGCATGCCCATGATGAGGAGCAAGGCCTGAAGGTAGGAGGGCAGAGCCTCGTAACAAAACAAAGCCTGGATCAAGGAAGCAGCCACACCAGGCACACACACACGTCAGGACATGTGTTCACTTCCCTGTGTGGTTCCCCATGTGTGTGCACTTGTAGCAGATGTCAAGGCCAGCATGACAGTGACAGCGGACCCAAGGAGGAAGGGAGTTCTGGCAGGGCTGGGGAGATTCTGCCCTGCTCAGTTTTACTTAGGAAATAGGAAACAGCGTTGGCATCCTCTGCCTACATTTCTGCTCTCATTTCACCATTTCCAATCTTATGAAAACATTACAGGATACTCTCAGCAGGTATGTCCGATCCTCATCAAGCCTCCCAATGACAGAGAAAGAGTCTCTCTTCTTATTAGATCACAGAATTTAAAGAAAAATTTTAAAATCTACTTATTGTTATTTTACATAAATATAAACTTCAACAAATGCTAACTCTTCCAATAAAAGCAAGAAAACCAGTGAGATCTGTGGGGTCTTCACAGCTCCCAGAAGAGGCTCCTTCTGTCACGATCTAAAGGACAGCAAACATTTCAAAGGTCAGAACCAATCCATAGGCAGAATGGTCAAGAAAATAATTTTAAAGAGCTTTATTTGTTGCTGCTATAGACCTGAGAGAAATCTATCAACCAACAAAGACCTAAAAGACTGGCCTGATCAACAACAAAATGAAGCTGACAGCTTCAAATAATGGTTCCATGGTCAGATTCTGGAAGCCAGTGTAATCAAAGGCCAGCAATCCCCTCTTAGGAGCTCTGCAGGACAGAACCTTACTAGATGGGACAGGACCTCACTAGATGGGACAGGACCAGCCGTCCTGCTCTTTCTGAAAGCAGCAGGCAGTGTGGCACGTGTGAGCCGGGGGCAGTACTAGCTCCAGAGAACACCTACACTCTCCTCTCCATAGGATCAGACCACACACGACTCGACAATTACTAATAAAAGTGCAAATGTTCATCATGCAAAAATCCAAATGTGTCAAGAAAACTTAGGCCCTCTGTTCCTGAAGTTCTTTGCGGGTTGCCAAATGACAGACTCTCCAGTCATGAAAAGGAATATAAAGCAATCTCACTACAAAAAAAAAAATTCTTGTAAAAATCCTCCCTTCTTCAGATGTTGTAATTAATTATGCCAAAACAAACCTCTGGATTTCTATCCAAGCCTAAATCCCAGTTTATTTTATTTCTTAGAAATGATAAATACTTTTTGACAATTTGTTTTGCTACATCCAAGTCTTTTAGTGGCTGGCTTTGTTATCAAATTCACCATTTTAAATGATTTTAACAAGGTTGCCAAAGAACATACGGGGAAAAAAAACTTTTCCATATATCCTTGGCAGAAACTGGCATTCCCCTTTTCTCAGTTCCCTTCTGAGAGTGCCTGCTGTCGCTGGAGCAGCTATAGCAGTGTGTTTACCCAGTTGATAGTGCACACATCCTTCTCACTGCAGGACACCAGCGCACCTTCCTTGGCCTCTGGCGCCTTCTGCCAGGTTACTGCCCAGCCTCCTCTATTACCCACGCCCCTCATTTTCTGTGCAACCCCCAACTGGGCCTCCTTTTCACTCATCAGCTAAGCTACTTTTAAACATTTGGGTCTCAGGCCCCTAACAAAAGCAAATTTGCCCATCTGATTTATTTCAAAAGGGAGAGGGCCACAGGAATGATCTGTTTGAGTGAGCTTGTTTTTAGGCAAGGAGGAACGTGAAGACAGGCTGGATAAGGATGGTTAAGAGGCCAGAAGAGCTCATGTTTACAACTCATCACAAATTACAGTACTGCAAATCAATGACTTAACAGAAACAATGGGAAAAGATGCACAGATGGCTCTCAAAACATGAAAAGATGCTTCATTTCTCTCACAATGAGAAATACAAATTAAAACTACAATGAGATACCATTATCAGCCAAGAAAATTAATCAAATAATATGTGTTGGCGGAAGTGTTGGGAAGCAGGTATGCTTATACATTGCTGGTGGGAGAGCAAATGGTAAACCTCCACAGGATGACAACTGCCCTCAGGATGACAAAGGCACATATACTTTGTCTCAGCAATTCTTTTAGGAATTC